>NC_000023.11:77614057-77917087 GCF_000001405.40 Homo sapiens | reverse complement strand
GTAAACTCCACAGAAACAGGACCATATCTGCTCTGTTCACTATCATACCACCAGTGAACATGGTGGCTACTCAATAAATCACTGTTGAGTAAGTAAATGAACTGAAGTCCCACCTCCTTCATGAAAAATCATGTCAAATACTCCTAGCCACTTTCTTTTTAAATTCCGAATACCCTGGAATCAGTTTCATAGTTTAGTAGTACCTAATTTCTCTCTGCTTGGTATTAAACTTCTTTCTCTTGCTAGACATTGGAACATATGCCTTATGCTTCTTTGTATAGCTCACAGGAAACACTGAATATGCAATAAGCACACAATAAAAATGTACTAATCAAAGTGCTGACATGCTTTGTAAAAATTCAATTTACACACAACTTTGTAAGAATGCAGCTATTTGCAGAGTAGGTTAGACATACATAAGGCCTTTTCCCTTGCTTACACTGTATCACAACTTATTCAGTACAAGTATGGTTCAGCATTTGACAATTAGGGAATGTGGAAAATCTCGATGGCCTAGAGTCTGTGGCTCACTAATTACAGAAGCAGATTGTTATGAGTTTTCTTGATAGGGAAATAGGATGAGCACATCACAGTGATTTGATTTGCCAGCTGTAATAATGAGCTTTAAGATGCCATGTTAGCATATGTAGGTGTACTATAGGCTACTGGGGGACCCTCTCAATCTGAGTTTTCCATTTTCTTTCTCTTTTTTTTTCTTTTTTTTTTTTTTTTTGAGACAGGGTCTCACTCTGTCACCCAGGCTGGACTGCAGTGGCATGATCTCAGCTCATTGCAGCCTCAACCTCCCAGGCTCAAGCAATTCCCCCACTTTAGCCTCCCCAGTAGCTGGGACTATAGGCGCATGCCACCACACCTGGCTATTTTTTGTAATTTTTGTAGAGATGGGGTTTCACCTTGTTGCCCAGGCTGGTCTGGAACTCCTGAATTCAAGCAATCTACCCACCTCAGCCTCCCAAAGTGCTGAGATTACAGGCGTGAGCCACCGCACCGGCCAATTTTCTATGGTGTAAGTTAGAAATTAAGTATTGTGCCGGGCGTGGTGGCAGGGCCGGGAGCGGTAGCTCAAACCTGTAATCCCAGCACTTTGGGAGGCTGAAGCGGACAGATCACCTGAGGCCAGGAGTTTGAGACCAGGCTGGCCAACATGGCGAAACCCCATCTCTACTAAAAATAAATAAATTAGCCGGGTGTGGTGGCACACGCCTGTAACCCCATCTACTCGGGGGGCTGAGGCATGAGAATCGCTTGAACCCTGGAGGCAGAGGTTGCAGTGAGCCGAGATCGTGCCATTGCAACTCCAGCCTGGGCTACGGAGCAAGACCCTGTCTCCAAAAAAAATTTTTTTAAAGAATTTAAATATTGCTTGCAAGTATTGATTGATTAGTATATTGATCCTGTAGTCTACTAAATTTATAGTACAGCAAAACTGTAATTTATAATTTTATTATATAGGATGTTAAAATTACTTTTACAGTAAATAATATATTAAAATATTAAAGGTAACTACATTTTATTGTATGTTTACTATCTGCCAGACACCGTACATGTATTAGATCATTAACAATCCTGTGAGACAGGTACTGTTATTGTCCCCATTTTAGAAATTTGAAGGAACTGAGGCACAGAGGAGTATGAAATCTGCGCAGGGTCATACAAGTAGTAAGCAGAGGGGCTGGGATCCCACCTAGACAGTCTAGCACCTGGACTGAGCCAGACAAGACAGGCTTTTTTTTTTTTTCCGGACAAGACAGGGTCTCACTCTGTCACTCTCTCATCCAGGGTGGAGTGCAGTGGTGTGATCTCAGCTCACTGCAGCCTCAACCTTCCAGGCTCAAGCGATCCTTCCACCTCAGCCTCCTGAGTAGCTGGGACTACAGGCACGTGCCAACACACTCAGCTAATTTTTGTATTTTTTGTAGAGACAGGGTTTCCCTATGTTGCCCAGGCTGGTCTCGAACGCCTGGGCTCAAGCAATCCGCCTGCCACGGCCTCCCAAAGTGCTGGGATTACAGGCGTGAGCAACTGTGCCCCACCTAGCCTCCACTCTTAATCCTATATTATACTGTCTCTCCAAAACAATATATCGCAATACAATGGTGAAGTTAAGATACCTTGAAGCATCAAGAGAATAATATCTAATACTCCAGAAAATGTTCAAAGATATTACTGTCAAGATGAAAAAACAAACATAGACCATTTCACTCCAGCCTAGGTGACAGAGCCAGACTCCATCTCAAAAATAAATAAACAAAAATAAACATTAGGTGTTTTAGTATATCTAAATATACATTTAGTATATCTTTTCTTTCTAGGAGAATCTGAGAATACAATTAAGACACCATTTTTAACACTAGGTGTTTTAAGGCCTGGCACAGTGGCTCATGCCTGTAATCCCAGCACTTTGGGAGGCTGAGGAGGGTGGATCACTTGAGGTCAGTCAGGAGTTCGATACCAGCCTGACCAACATGGCAAAACCCCTTCTCTACCAAAAATACAAAAACTAACCAAGTGTGGTGGCGCGCACCTGTAATCCCCGCTACTTGGGAGACTGAAGCAAGAGAATCACTAGAACCCAGGAGGCGGAGGTTGCAGTGAGCCGAGATAGCACCACTGCACAGCACGATGCTGTCTCTACAAAAAGTTTAAAAATTAGCTGGGAGTGGTGGCACACACCTATAGTCCCAGCTACTCAGGAGGCTGAGGTAGGAGGATCGCTTGAGCCTGGGAGATCGAGACTGCAGTGAGTTATGATGGCGCCACTGCACTCCAGCCTGGGTGACAGAGCAAGACCCCATCTCTTAAAAATAATATTATTTAAAAAATAATAATTAATTAATAAATAAGTAGCTAGGCATGGTGGCATGCGCCTGTGGTTCCAGCTACTTGAGAGGCCAGAGGATCATTTGAGCCCAGGAGATTAAGGCTGCAGTGAGCTATGATTGTGCCATGGCACCCTAGCCTGGGCCACAGAGCGAGGCCCTGCCTCTAGAAATAAATACATAGATAAATAATAACAATAACATCTTTTAAAATAAAAATAAAATAAAATAAGGTTAATGGCCAGTCTAAAACAATATCCCTACAATGTGAAATAACCCATTTATTTCAACTGGTAAATTGTTAAAAATGCACTCCTGATTATAGGTCTGAAAAACTGGACTTCTACACTAGAGATTAATAGTAAAAATAAGTAAAACTCTTTTTTCATCCTTGAGACATAGCTGTATAATTTTAAATGTGAACAGAAAATATGGTACAAAGTACACATAACTGACTCAAAATGGGGTATTTTACCCTCATTTCCTTCAAGGAAAGAGGTATCTGTGAAAACTGATGTAGTCTACCAAT
Organism: Homo sapiens; assembly: GCF_000001405.40. NCBI lineage: Eukaryota > Metazoa > Chordata > Mammalia > Primates > Hominidae > Homo > Homo sapiens. Next base: position 77,913,718 of record NC_000023.11, on the reverse strand, counting down.
ATCTCATACATTTGGGCACAAAAAGATTAGGAAATCACTTCAATTTGCAAACAGTGCTGGAAAAAGTAAGAACATTTTATAAAATCAGAAACACAGGACCCTTTTACTTTAATGAAACACATTCTAAAGGAATTTTGATATTTTTCCTGCCAAACTATCTCAGCAAGTTAAGTAAGCAAGTAATATCACATTAAATCAACCTGAAGACTGAGATTTAAGAGGGAAAAACATGATTGCTGGGATGGTAGAGTGAACTAAAATACTCTGCCTAACCATTGCCTATCACTCATCTGTCCCCCAGCCTCCCCCTTGCCCCGGCCCCATGTTGAGCTATATCCTAAGAAATATCGTTGTCTAAAAACAAAACGCTAAAACCTGAACTGCCCTTTAACAAAGATGAATAGAAGGAATTTTGAGACAAAACTCCCAAATACTATTCTCATCTATGCTAGTGCTTCTATGAGTTCAGACAAAAATCTCTCCTTGCAATTTACTTTCCCAACTGGCAAATGAAGATTATTTTCACTCATCAGGATGTCCAAAGTCTTGATTAATAAAGTTTGCCAAGAGCTTTTAAATATATAGATAAAAGGAGTTATAACAAGGAATTTATTTTTTTAAAATGTATTTCCTTTAGCGCCCTCACAGAAGTGAAGGTTGTGGTGTGTTAGCTGGGGTTATTTTTGCACTCTTTTCTCTCTCTCTCTTGTTTTGTAAGCAAATTTTACTGCTTCTGCAAGCATTTTTCAAAGAAAATCAACCTTCTGCTTTAGAGAACAGAGATGTTAACCTATCCTTTGGAGGGATTAGTGTTTAACCTTATCTTGAGGGCAGGCATCAAGATCTTTCTAAGGCTGTGATCGGAATAGAATAGTTCCTATCAAGTTAAGAAGATCAATAGAGAGAAATCAATTTAGAGGAAAAAAGGAAAAGCAGAGATTCCTTGGGGAAAACCTGGAACAGTTGCTCACTTCAGAAAATGTTATTCATTCCCAACAATTTTAAAAATGATTCCAAATTATATTTAAGGCACAACACTCAATCAGAATTAAAGTATAGCGAGTTTTACATTTTTTCTCTTTTAGATTTGAGTTTACATCAGAATTAAGCCTCATACATTAACATTGCTTTTGTCATTTCCATGTATTTTTTTCTCTATATAAGCTTTCTTATTGGCTGGAGGGCAGTTGGATATGTTTGTGAGCTGACTAGTTTTGTATTCTATATTTTTTCTAATTTTAATCAGTGACATCTTGGAAGATGTGGCTGTTAGAAATAGGAATATTGACTTACAGTGTGTTACTGGATGTCGGGCAACTTTCCAGACCCCCATGGCTTTGCTCACATTATTTCTTCTATCTATCAGTCCAGATAGATGTCTTCCTCTTCCTCCATTCCTGCAAAGCTAAATCCTATCTATTTTTCAAAGCCCAGTTCACATGCTCCCTTCCCTGCACTCTCATAACACCTCCTGTTTCTAATATATAACGTTAGTGAGATTTTTTAAATGTTTAGGTAATCGTGTATCTTTCTTTCCTACTACATTGAGATCCTCAAGTACAAAAAAAACTCTCTCATGTCATGACCTTAGACACCAGAAAATGTTAAATATAATAAAATGCCAGTTCAAAAATAACCATTGAAAAGGATGTGATAAGCAACCTAGTAATTCAGTCAGTGGGGCTGCTAGAAACCGTTGTCTTCATAGCTGAATTCAACTGACTCAATTCGGACTCAATTGTATGTAAACTGTTTATTTTTCTTTCTTCTTTTTTGGAGACAGTTTCGCTCTTGTAGCCCAGGCTGGAGTGCAGTGGCACGATCTCGGCTCACTGCAACATCCGCCTCCCAGGTTCAAGCGATCCTCTTGCCTCAGTCTCCCGACTAGCTGGGATTACAGGCGCCCGCCACCACGCCCAGCTAATTTTTGTATTTTTAGTAAAGACAGGGTTTCGCCATGATGGCCAGGCTGGTCTCGATCTCCTGACCTCAGGTGATCCACCCTCCTCGGCCTCCCAAAGTGTTGGTATTACAGGTGTGTCAGACACTGCGCCCAGCCTACTGTAAGTAAACTCTTTTGAGGCCAGGAACTCTGTCTTATTTCTTGTGCATCACCCCCTCCCCACCACCCCCCCGCACCCGGCAAAAAAAAAAAAAAATTAATAACCTCAGTATCATCTAATTCAATGTTCTGCACATATTCTCAATACAAAGCCATACTATTGTAGATAAAGAGTCTGTGATTAAAATAAAGATCAGATCCTGGACAAACGCTGAATTGTGAAACGATAAGTGTTTGTGCTTAAGATAATCTCAACGTCTACAACGAAGAAAAGTGTCAAAGATAAGATGCCACAGGGTCGGACAATGGACAGTAACTTTACTGGAAAGGGGGCACAATGAACAAAACTAAGTGGAAACAAGAGTTCTCTCAGTTTACCTTACGCTCCCAGAGCAAGACAAGAAGCCAAATATCTATTTTTCAATTATTATTTCATCAATTATGGTCATTTTAGTAACCTTAGCTTCCAAAGTATAAAGAGGTGTCACTAAGCAAAGACCCCAGTCCATGTGACTTTCAATGCCAAACACAAACTTTCTTGTACCCTCAATTAATTGGGTAACGTAGGCCATGGATGATCAGGACATTCTCTCCAAGAGGGTACAAGAAAGTGACACAGGTCAGGATTTAATTTCCCCTCCTCTATCCCCTGTTAGGGGAGGTAAAACATAAATGTAGTTAATACCTGAATTGTGAATAAGTGAAACTTTCGAGACTGCCCCAGACTAACATGACCTTCTCACCACACTCGTAGTACAAACTGACAGCACAGAAGACCCCCTCCAGGAGAAAGGACGACGGGAAGCCAATGTAGGACTTACCTGGTTTCTCTATCCTATGGTTAAACCTCTGGAGCTACGCAGACCGTGGCAGCGATAAATCCACGTACGCAGGCTCCAACAAAGCTCACACAATCGGAGAAGTCACAGTAGCTGCGGCTGCGGCGGCGGCAGCAACAACTCCTCCCTCTGCTTCTCTTTTCCCACCCCCCGCCGCGGCGGCCAGCCGCCTTTACCCCTCCCTCCCTCGACTACCCCCACTTCCGGGTGATGCCCCTGCCGGAAGCAGGGCCGCCACGGGAAAGAGAGCGACTGGTCACGTGAAAAGGAACGCGTGGTCTAGAGCCAGCTTCTCCTGCCCCCTGCTGCCCCCGGGCCGACACGCAGCCTCGAGTGGGTCTTTGTTAGGGTACGAGTCCACTATCCCACCCCGCCCCCACGACAAAAGCGAAACCAGAAAACCCATACTAAAACAGTGCCTTTGTCATCTTTAGTTTCCTAACCTCAGGCCAAGATGTAACATAAAAGATCCTTATAAGTCATCTTCCACATAGTTCATCTTTGCCTAGCATGAAATTCACGTGCATCTGTTAGACTGTGTTAACTGCCAAGATGTAACATAAAAGCTCCTTATAAGTCATCTTCCACATAGTTCATCTTCGCCCAGCATGAAATTCACGTGCATCAGTTAGACTGTGTTAACTGCCAAGATGTAACATAAAAGCTCCTTATAAGTCATCTTCCACATAGTTCATCTTCGCCCAGCATGAAATTCACGTGCATCTGTTAGACTGTGTTAACTTGCTTCCCGTAGACTGTGTAGCCTAATTCCAGATGTAAGTGCCAGAACTATGAATTTATCCTCTTCCCTCCATTGAAAAATTACATCAAGAGGAAAATGTTTATAAATTCATAATTTTTATATGTGTGTTGAGGGGGTAGGGACGTCACTTCACCACCTTCATAGCGCCATTCCAAGCTCTGAACCACTCCCCCATTTATTCATTCACTCGTCCATCATTTTACACACCTAGAAGATTCCGGTGATGCAAAAGTGTTACAGTCTCTGTTACCATGAGTTCATTTAGAAATGAGATGCATAAAATGTAAACAATGCAATAAATGGTACAGAAAACATTTGAAAAAAGGGTCATTTTATTCTTGCTTTCCAACTTAACATTTTGAAAAGCAGCAAAATTCTAGGATTTTTAAAACTATGAACATTAACAGTAAAAAGAGGGAGAGGCTCCATCTCACTTATTTCAAAGCAAGATGTGGCCTTTTCATATTTCCTTTCATGAAGTATCTGTCATAAGATGTAGAACAAAACTAATCACAGGACTATTTGTATTTTCATCTGGAACCATTTGAACCCAGTTCCCACAGAAGAGTATGAAGCCTAATAATGTTGCAGAAATCAAAATAGTACACAAAATACAAATATCAAGTAAATATTTGTAAAAGACTTAGAACAGCGTCCGGCACAAAGTAAGCATATTTAAGTGTTGAAATAATTTCCATCCTAGCTGTTGTCAAGTCCCTATTAAGCCTTGACAGGCAACATTTAAAATTACCCATAGATCTACATTTTAGGTCTGTGATTAAGTATTTCAGAATTATTATCCCCCTCCACACTCATCCACATAAATATAAAATTAGCCTCAGGACTCATCTTCCCAGGCATTATTTTGTAGTTGTCAATGTGTGCAGCCTTAATTATTAAGATACAAACTCAGCCCCAAATTTAAAATCTTAAAAATCACATCATATGAAATGAAGATAGCTTTTAAGTGGGTTTCCAAATATTAGCAAGTTGGTTTGTAACTATATTAACATTGTGTTAAGCATCCAAAAGAAATTCACTAAAAGGCAAAACCAAAAATATATCTTTTTCAGAAGCAGAACATTGAATCTACTAGCTATCTAGTATTTTTATGTAAATACTAAAGTTTATCACTATGAGCTGCAAGATCCTCTGCCAACCATGTACATTCTTAGGCACTCTAATATTTAACATAAAAACCTAGAGAGCTATATATATATTTTGTTGTTGTTTGGTTTTGAGAGTCTTGCTGTCACCCAGGCTGGAGTGCAGAAGTGTGATCATAGGTCCTTGTAACCTTAAACTCCGGGGCTAAAGCGATCCTTGCACCTCAGCCTCCCAAGTAGTTGGAACTATGGGCACACACCACCACACCTGGCTAGTTTTTATTTTTTTGTGTGTGGAGATGGGAGTCTCCCTTTGTTGCCCAGGCTGGTCTCGAACTCTTGGCCTCAAATGATCCTCCCACCTCAGCTGCCCAAAGTGCTGGGATTACAGATATGAGCCACCAGGCCCAGCCTAAAACTCTTGTCTTTAAATGCATCATCCCTAATCCTCCTTACCAATGCACAAGCATAGAAGGGAATGTCTTCAAGAAATAATCAGGTTTGCTGGGGGTTGAGCAGACAGCAGGTGTCCCTAAAATGCTTATGAAGTGTATTAATAACCCCAGTGACATTAAGCCAGGAGGATGGGAACTCAACATCTGTACCTCTACAACTACCACAGTACCCGTGTCTAGGTAAGTTAAAATGAATCTAAAATAACAGAACACAGGTGCTACAATAATTCTGTCCTAGAGTGAAATTAAGAATGAGATTTATGAGGTTGGGCACCGTGGCTCACGACTGTAATCCCAGCACTTTGGGAGGCCGAGGCAGGTGGATCGCCTGAGGTCAGGAGTTCGAGACCAGCCTGGCCAACATGACAAAACCCTGTCTCTACTAAAAATATAAAAATTAACCAGGTGTGATGGTGGGCGCCTGTAATTCCAGCTACTTGGGAGGCCGAGGCAGAATCCCTTGAACCCAGGAGGCGGAGGTTGCAGTGAGCCAAAATCACACCACTGAACTCCAGCCTGGATGACAGAGCAAAACTCGGTCTCAAAAAAAAAAAAAGAATGGGATTTATGACATTAACCCTAATGTTAAAATATTTCACAGCCATCCAAATAGAGTTTAAAGGATTGGCAATGATTTTAAGGTAAGTAACTTACCTAAATTCTTCAGACTTACAGATACTTGAGGACAGAGGACTAATTTGACGACTTTCCAACTCTAGGTATGACTGAAACTCAAAGCGATGTTACGGGTAAGTTGAGAAAATTTGTGTGAAAGGATATTTTCATGGCTCTGAGAGCACTAGGAAAGCTCCAAGGTCAGTATATACTGTGATGGCACACACACACAAAAAACTGCTTCATTTCTAGTAGTGGTCATAAGTTTTAGAATTACTCATCAGGATAAGATTAACTACAAAATTAAGTTCAAAAAGTGTGTTCAAAGTTACTACCACCACCAGGTTTTATCACACAAAGCAACATATAATTTTGATCACAAATGGACACAGAAAACATTCTAAATTGTCATACAGATGACAACTATCACTTAGCTTAGTACAAACCATACTGAAACTGCTTCCACGTCGTGAGAAATAAGTGTTAATTCAGTGACAAAAAGGTATATAATTGAAGGTTGACACTTCCTTAAATACATGTTTATTTTACTTCAATATCGCTCAGGGTTGTATGTATTTGAATACTTCAGTACTATTTTGAACATTCTAAATATGAAATACCATAAAGCGTTCAAATTTATCAAACAGTGGTACAATATGGTTACTAAACTTGCAACTTAATTTACAATGACGTTCAATTTTTCCTCTTCAAATAAAATCACTGACTTTGGTCCATTTGATGAGAAACTAGGACATATGCCATGACAGCATACTTCTAGCACTCTATGTAATAAGCAAAAGATAATTTAGCTAATATAGACAGGTTACCTGACTGAAATTCTACTTTCTGCTTAATTGATCACGATCAAGAAAACTACAAAAAAAAAACAAAAAACAAAACAAAACAACTACCACAGACTACAGCTCTCAGCCAAGAAAGTAATGATATATAAGCCGGGCGCGGTGTCTCATGCCTGTAAGCCTAGCACTTTGGGAGGCTGAGGTGGGTGGATCGCCTGAGGTCAGGAGTTCAAGACCAGGTTGGCCAACATGGTGAAACCCCATCTCTACTAAAAATACAAAAATTAGCCAGGCATGGTGGCAGGCGCCTGTAATTCCAGTTACTAGGGAGGCTGAGACAGGAGAATCACTTGAATCCGGGAGGCAAAGGTTGCAGTGTGTCAAGATCACACCACTGCACTCCAGCCTGGGCAACAGAGTGAGACTTCATCTCAAAAAAGAAAAACAAAGAAATATGTGGTACAGATATTGCTCTTCTTCAGGTAACATACATAAAATCCAATGTTATATACTAAAATAATAATCCACAAATCCAAACATTGTTATAATTATACAACAGGTGACTGATAGTAGATAACTAGGAACAGACTGCATTTGACAAGATTTTCTTTAATAACATCATAAACATCCCTAATATGATGAAAGACCAAGAGCTATAATCAAGATGAATATGCCAAAACAGCCAAGGAGCTAGTAGCTAGTCTTCAGACAGGCTACGAGTTTGTTTTATAGGACCACTCCGCCCTTGGGTCTGGTGACACTTTAAGTTTTCTAGGCAGGAGTGAAAAGGAGTTAATAATGCCAATTCCAGGTATAAATACAAATGAGAGGCACATAGTAGTAGGCATAACCAAAATCCAGGCCAAATTTTTGGCTCAAAGGTGATCTGCAATAGTTCCATGATCAGTTATTTATAATTTCAGCTTACTATAAAGTTGACTTCCAGGTCAAAGGCAAATTTTCCTTTCACATTACCTCATAAAAGCCATTTAAGGGCTGGGTGCCGTGGCTCACGCCTGTAATCCTACCACTTTGGGAGGCCAAGGCAGGCGGATCACCTGAGGTCGTGAGTTTGAAACCAGCCTGACCAATATGGTGAAACCCTGTCTCTACTAAAAATACAAAAATTGCCGGGCACGGTGGCTCACACCTGTAATCCCAGCACTTTGGGAGACCAAGGTGGGTGGATCACGAGATCAGGAGCTCGAGACCAGCCTGACCAACATGGTGAAACCCCGTCTCTACTAAAAATACAAAAATTAGCCGGGCCTGGTGGCGTGCACCTGTAATCCCAGCTACTTGGAAGGCTGAGACAGGAGAATCGCTTGAACCCGGGAGGCGGAGGTTGCAGGAGCCGAGATCACGCCATTGCATTCCAGCCTGGGCAACAGAGTGAGACTCCGTCTCAAAAAAAAAAAAAATTAGCTGGGCGTCATGGCATGTGCCTGTAGTTCTGGCTACTCGGGAGGCTGAGACAGGAGAATCACTTGAACTCAGGAGGCAGAGGTCGCAGTGAGCTGAGATGGTGCCACTGCACTCCAGCCTGGGGGACAAAGTGAGACTTCGTCCCAAAAAAAAAAAAAAAAAAAAAAAAAAACCTATTTAAGAAGCTGCACAGCATTTGACTTTAATATTAACATAAAGGCTAAAGTGATCAAGCTTAGTTTCATTTACAAAGAAACAAAACCTACAATGAAGGTTTCAAATGTACTTTATTTCTTCAATAATGCCATATCTTAATGGGTACACAGTGCTTTAATTTGGCATCAATTATGAGCTGTTTTTTAAACAATTCATTATTACACCAGCTGGGATGATTACTGATTCCTCCATTCCTTTGGGGTAACTCTGCCAACAGGGGACAGGTTCCATTCTATTCCGACTTGTGTTGCTACCTGTAAGAATTAAAATGCTGTCAGTTACGTGTTTAAACCAGAGTACACTCTCTCGGAGACTATTTCTTGAAAATGACAGATATTCTGTTCTATAGGTTAAAAATACACAGAAACTCACCTGGGATCTAATACCCTCCATATAGGCCAAACCTGATTGCTGTCCTAATTTTCTAGAGCAGTCCTGTTGTTCAATAGAACTTCTTGAGCTGAAGGAAATGTTCTAGATCTTCACTGTTAAAAACAGTAGTCACTAGCTACATGTGGCTACTAGCCACCTGGAATATGACTAGTATCACCAAGGAAATGAATTTTTAAATTTTATTTAATTCAAATTTATACTTCACATTTCTATACTACCCACTCAATACACTGATTCCCTCAACCACAACTACCTAAGTAACTGCCAGAGTATTTTATATTCTCTGTATCACTAAGGAACATTTCACCTCCAAAAGCTCCTCTGATCAAACATTTGTTCAACATCTGTTTATCCTTCTAATTAAGCACACTTTAATTTTTTTTTTGAGACTTTTTTTTTTTTTGAGACAGTCTCGCTTTATCGCCCAGGCTAGAGTACAGTGGCACGATCTCAACTCACTGCAACCTCCACCCCCTCCAACTTCAGGCGATTCTCCTGCCTCAGCCTCCCAAGTAGCTGGGACTACAGGTGCCCACCACCACGCCCGGCTAATTTTTGTATTTTTAGTAGAGATGGGGTTTCACCATGCTAGTACCAAACTCCTGACCTCAGGTGATCCACCCGCCAGGGCCTCCCAAAGTGCTAGGACTACAGGCGTGAGCCACCATGCCCAGCCTAGGCACACATCTTAATATTTGATTTCAGGAAGATCAAAACAAAAACTAAAAAGGCCTATTTATTTAAATAAAGTTTATTACATTAAGGATTAATTTGTATCTTTTTAAACCAACTTATGCATTTATTAAGACTTCGGGCCGGGCGCAGTGGCTCACGCTTGTAATCCCAGCACTTTGGGAGGCCGAGGTGGGTGGATCACGAGGTCAGGAGATCGAGACCATCCTGGCTAACACGGTGAAACCCCATCTCTACTAAAAATACAAAAAATTAGCCGGGCATGGTGGTGGGCACCTGTAGTCCCAGCTACTCGGAAGGCTGAGGCAGGAGGATGGCGTGAACCCGGGAGGCGGAGTTTGCAGTGAGCAGAGATCGCGCCACTGCACTCCAGCCTGGGCGACAGAGCAAGATTCCATCTCAAAAAAAAAAAAAACAAAAAACAAAACAAAAAAAAAAAACACAGACTTCAGGACTCCTACTTTTAGCCAGTAAGTAACAGTGACTGAAAGATAGATTGTTAAATGTAAGATGTAAAGAAACTAAAATATAAAAAGATACATTACATCTCATCTGTCACGAATACTGTGCTAAGTTCTGAGTGTAAAATTTTAAAAGAAAAATTGTTAAGTGAAGTTATGTCCAGGAAGGCGATCCAAGACAGTAAAAATCCTGGAAACCATGAACAAAAAAATTACTGATAGAACTAAGGATGTTTAATTTGAAAAAGAAAATTGAGGAGATATGATAGCAATTTTCTATTATCTGATGGCTGTTATATGGAAGTGGGTCAGAATTTCTGTGCTTCAATGAACAATGGGTAGCATAGGAAAAAGGCAGATTTTAACTCACCATATGATCCTTTTAACAGCTACACAAGGCTGGGCACAGTGGCTCACACCTGTAATCCTAGCACTTTGGGAAACCAAGGCGGGCGGATCACCTGAGGTCAGGAGTTCAAGACCAGCCTAACTAACATGGTGAAACCCCGTCTCTACTAAAAATACAAAAATCTGCCAGGCGTACTGGAGGGCGCCTGTAATCCCGCTACCTGGGAGGCTGAGACAGGAGAATCACTTGAACCCAGGAGGCAGAGGTTGCAGTGAGCCGAGATCGCGCCACTGCACTCCAGCCTGGGCAACAGAGCAAGACTCCGTCTCAAAAAAAAAAAAAAAAAAAAATAGCCAGGCCTGGTGGCACACACCTGTGGTCCCAGCTACTTGGGAGCCTGAGGCAGAAGAAGTGCTTGAACCCAGGAGGCAGAGGTTGCAGTGAGCCAAGATCGCACCACTGCACTCCAGCCTGGGGGACACAGCAAGACTTCTTCTTAAAAAAAAAAAAAAACAAAAACAAAAAAAACAGCTACACAAGATGGAAAGGGCTGCCTTGTGATCCAGTAAGCAATTTATTACTGGGAATGTTAAGAACAGAAGATGGATGAATGCTGGGGGGAAAAAATCCCCTGCACTGTGTGGGTAATTAGATTACACAATCTCTCAAGTCCCTCCTAACTAGATATGTACACTACTATGTTAAGACACTTTGAATGCATAGACTGAGAATGAAAAACATCTGAAACAGAAATTATTAATCAATAGTACTTACATATGTCCATGTAACAATACAGAAAGTGGCTCCACTAGCTAATACAGCATTACCGTATTTGTCATGAAAATCAGGTGTACGTTTCTGGTGGCTCTGCCTTGCCATTGTTTGCTGAATGCTTCGAACTTACAGGAAAACGAAAAAAGAATACAGAAGCATATTATCAATTGTCAGGTAAAGAAAACATATGTGATTGATACTGCCAATCAGGAAAGCCAAGGAAGTTAATTTTACAGTATTATGTAGTTCAATAAAATGTTAAAACATATTGTAGCTATTAAAGCAGTGTACTTTGAAATGCAACAAAAATAAGATGAATTGACAGATGGACAAATACATGATAAAACAAATAGCAAAATGTTAACTGTAGAATCTTTGTGGTGGGTATATGGGTGTTCATACGATTCTTCCAACTCTTCAGTATGTCTGAGAGTTTTCATAATAGTGTTGGGGGAAAAAAGCAAAGAATGAATGATGTCAGTAACATTCTCTACAAAGTGGTATTTGCATAACCCCTGAAATTTTGGCTCCCATTGATTAATTTGAATACTTATGACTTAAATTTTCATTAAAGTTTACTCAATAGAGCCCAACAACTTACAACATACAAGGGCAAATGAACTCAAATGAACTTCAAATTAAAGCACACTAAATGCTTATGACTGTAAAATTACTACAGTAACAAAAAAACTCGCCACAACTAGAGTAATCTTGATTTTTAAAAAATTAATGGGCCAGGCACAGTGGCTCACATCTGTAATCCCAATACTTTCGGAGGCCAAGGTAGGAGGATCGCTTGAGGCCAGGAGTTTCAGACCAGTCTGTGAAACATAGTGAGACCCTGTCTCTACAAAAAAATTGAAAATTAAAAATTAGCCGGGCATGGTGGTGCATGCACACCTGTAGTCCCAGCTACTCAGGAGGCTGTGGCCGGACGATCACTTGAGTCCAGGAGTTAGAGGATGCAGTGAGCTATGATCACACCACTACACTCCAGCCTGGGTAACAGAGCAATTCTCTGTCCCTAAAAATAAAAAATGAGAAATGGGGTATATAAAAAAGTATAAGACAGAGATCCTGTCCTCAAGTAACTTCCAGTCTAGAGGATTACACATGTAGATAAAAATCAGTATCGTACAAGGAAGCAGAATTAGCTAAGGACTTAGTTTTTGAGCAGAATGATAAAGTTTGCTGTTAGTATTATACCAGTAGAAAGAGAAGAACAAAAGTTTTCAAACGGCCCCTGGAAGAACTAAAAAGGAGGGCTTGGGAAACAGCCGAGACTGGAAAAAGCTTGTTTCTAGCTGTTTTTTTTTTTCTTCCTGTCCAATTTAAGGGGCAGGTTCTTATCGTTTTAAAGAGCCTCCAAAGGTACTTACATATATAATGAAAAGCTAGGGAGCCTGAGGCAGGAGAATCACTTGAACCTAGGAGACGGAGATTGCAGTGAACCAAGATTGAGCCACTGCACTCCAGCCTGGGCAACAAGAGCGAAACTTTGTCTCAAAAAAAAAAAAAAGAAACTGCAATGTTGCCCATTCACTAGCAATGAATATTTCTACATGGTACAATGGGTTACTTCATGATAGTTATTAGACCATTATCAGATCTTCTAACTGTCTTACATAGCTTTCCCTTTTCATCTTTTAGTCACACCGGGATAGGCAAATTTACAAATATTTCATAATATATTCTGCTCCAGAAAAGATAAAAAGTGGGCATGTGAATTCCACGCTGAAAAAAAAACAAAAAACCTTTCCTGAGGTACAAGGTGGCCCTATTTGCTCAAAGAGCAAAGAAATTAAGACTACCAAAAAATTCTGCAACATCTCATAACTTCAACACACTCATGTAACTCTGGTGGATTTCATCAGACCTCTCCTCTGTGACAACTGTTTAATTACCACACATTGGTGATCTCATATAATCCTCAACAACCCCATGAAGTAGGCATTATTTACAAATTACTTATTTTACAAAGAAGGAAACTGAGGTTGAGAGAGGCTAAATCATATGCCCAAAGTAAAAGAGATAATAAATGCTACTTTGGGAATATGAAAATAGTCCAGCTAATATTTTGTGGTTATTTTCAAAGTTGCTTAAGAGTTTAGGACACAATCTAATAATATCCTCCAATGATTCTATTAAGTGAAAATCAAAAGATGGCTAAACAAACTAAATAGTAATTACGGGTCACCTTCATTGTGTAACAACTGCCCACGTTACTCAAGGTCACCTTCGGTGCAAATCAAGTATGAAAATTAATTTGTTCTCCTCAATCTATTGCATTTTCTCTACATAATGCTGGTCTCAAAACTCCCTGTACCTGCCCAACCTTTGGATAAGAAAAAAATGACCACGATTGCCTTCAGGACAGCTAACATTGTTTTGTTTTTGTTTTCGAGACGGAGTCCCGCTCTTGTTGCCCAGGCTGGAGTGCAGTAGCAGTCTTGGCTCACTGCAACCTCCGCCTCCCGGGTACAAGCGATTCTCTTGCCTCAGCCTCCCAAGTAGCTGGGATTACAGGCGCCCACCACCACGCCCGGCTAATTTTTGTATTTTTAGTAGGGACGGCGTTTCACTATGTTGGCCAGGCTGGTCTCGAACTCCTGACCTCAGGGGATCCGCCCGCCTTGGCCTCCCAAAGTGCTGGGATTACAAGTGTGAGCCACCGCGCCTGGCCAGCTAACATTGTTAATCCACAAATAACTTCAAAGCTGCATCGATACCATTTGGGTTGTTTCCCTGCAATTAAACCAGGTGAAGAGCTAGATTTACAGTTTCCGTCTATTACAGTAATAGGAATTGGAGAAGATATTTTTCTATACAGGGTTAGGAGTAAACATATCCCCAAAGCTAAAATGTAGGACATCACTTAAGGAACGAGGTGTCTACCAAGAATGTCCTTCCCTGAAATCAAAGGTTACTGAAGAATTAAAAAGCAGGGCTAGACTATCACTCCGATAACAGAAAGAGAGCTGGAAACCGAAACAGAAATACTGGGTGATAAAGCCAATGCTAAGGACATCATCCCAATGACTTGGGACGAGATGGGAGACAGACAGCATTCAAGATTAGAAGGCCGAGATGTTCGTAAAAGGAAAGCACACGAGAGGCCGCGAGGACACATTGATATAAGGTTGTTGTAAATGATTTGTCATAATTTTTGCTCACCTTGGAGACGATTTAGTGCGCTTTTGACCAAGGGAAACATCGTGAAGGTGAAGCTAGAACTGCGGCAATACAGCTGCTGCTTTGGTGCCAATTCGCTTCAGGTACCCTTGAAGTGAGCTGAAAAACAAAATGGCTTTCAGCCGGGATCCGTAATGAGATTTGACGAAATCTCGCGATACCTGTAAAACCTATAGTAATTGCAATCCCTTTTCCCGCGAGGAAAAATAAAGGCCTTTTGGGAAATGTAGTTTCCGGCTTTATAAAATGACGTATGGTGGGTGGTATCTAATGAAGAATGAAAGAACTCCTTGAAGCCAGGTTTAGAGCTCTATAGAGGGCAGCCGAGAGACAGATCTTCGACCGAATCGTCTAAGGAACTAGCTTCAAAATGGCGTTCAAGTTCCACAAGCTTCGGTTTAGTATCTCCACACTAGCTCTTTCTTCTTTCTGTTCCCCCAAAACTTCCTTTACTTCTCTCATTTTTTTTGTCTGCTATTACTACTATACTAATTGGCTTAGCTTTTAGTTTTCAAATAACGTCAAGTTTAGAGAAAAGTTGCAAGAACAGTAAAAACTTCTGTAATATGTAGATAAATACGTGATAAAATAACTTTGGAAAGCTATTGGCCGGGCGCGGTGGCTCACGCCTGTAATCCCAGCACTTTGAGAGGCCAAGGTGGGCGGATCACGAGGTCGGAGTTCGAGACCAGCCTGGCCAAGATGGTGAAACCCCGTCTCTACTAAAAATACAAAAATTAGCCGGCGTGGTGGCGCGCGCCTGTCATCCCAGCTACTCAGGAGGCTGAGGCAGAATAATCACTTGAACCCGGGAGGCGGAGGTTGCAGTGAGCCGAGAACGTGCCACTGGACTCCAGCCTGGGCGACAGAGCGAGACTACGTCTCAAAAAGAAAGAAAGAAAAGAAAGCTGTTAGGCCTGGCGCGGTGGCTCACGCCTGTAATCCCAGCACTTTGGGAGGCCGAGGTGGGCGGATCACGAGGTCAGGAGATCGAGACCATCCTGGCCAACATGGTGAAACCCCATCTCTACTAAAAATACCAACAATTAGCTGGGCGTGGTGGCATGTGCCTGTAATCCCAGCTACTCTGTAGACTGAGGCGGCAGAATCGCTTGAACCAGGGAGTCGGAGGTTGCAGTGAGCCAAGATACCACCACTGCACTCCAGCCTGGTGACAGAGCAAGACTCCGTCTCAAAAAAAAAAAAGAAAAGAAAAGAAAAGAAAAAAAAGAAAGAAAAGAAATGGCAACACGGCAAAACCCCGTCTCTACTAATATACAAAAAATTAGCTGGGCATGGTGGCACATGCTTCTAATCCCAGCTACTCGGGAGGCTGAGGCATGAGACTTGCTTGAACCGGGGAGGCGGAGGTTACAGTGAGCCAAGATCGCACCACTGCACTCTAGCCTGAGACCTGTCCCAAAACAAAAAAAATAAAATACATACAGTTCAGTGGCATTAATGGCATTCACATTGTTGTGCAACTATCACCATTATTCATCTCTAAGACTTTTTCATCGTGTAAAACTAAATGCTTTGATTATACATTTTGACTATTGAAAATATTAACATTATTCCAAAAGTCAAAACTAAACAGACTAGTGTACTTAGAGAAGTGTCATTCCCTCCCCTAACTGTTGCATTCCATTTCCACCAATTCCTATAGGTAACCGATTTCATTACTTTCTGGTTTATCTTGTGTGTTTCCTTTTGCAAAAATAGGCAAATACCTGTATGTTTTCTTATTTCTCTATTTTATACAAATGTAGCATAAAAATCCATTATCATTTTACATAAGTCTTCCTCATTCCTTTTTTACAGCTGCAAAATCTGTGGTGTATATGTGCTATAGTATATTCAGTCAATCTCCTATGTTGGAATATTTAGGTAGTTTCAAGAATATTTCAATTTCAATAATGCTGAAATGAATAACTTTGTGCACACATATTTTCATATTGCTGGATGTCTCTCTCCAAGGTAGGTTACTAGAAGTGGGATTGCTGGATTAAAGGATAAATATATGTGTAGTTTTTTTAGATATTGCCAAATTATAGATGTTGTAACGTTTTGCCTTCCCACCAGCAACGTATTAATATAAAGGGTGCCTGACTCCCCACAGCCTTGCTAATAGCATGTAGTGTCAAGCTTTTGGATTTTTGCCAATATGATAGGTAAGATATCCCTTTTAAACTTTAAAATTTTTATTTTTAAAACATACACATAGTAAAATTCACTTTTTGGTGTACAGTTCTATGCGTTTTGACAAATGCATACAATTGTGTCACCACCACCACAATTAAGGACAGAATAGCTCTAGCATCATAAAAACACCCTTGTTTGACCTCTTTGTGATCAACCCTTTTCCCTACCCCTAGCCCCTGGCAGCCACTAATCTGTTCTCTGTACCAATGAGTTTGCCTTTTCCAGAATGTCATATATAGATTGAATCATACAGTATGTCTCAGTGTACTTTTATTTTGCATTTTTTCTTTTTTCTTTCCTTTTTTTTTTTTTTTGAGATTGAGTTTCGCTCTTGTTGCCCAGGCTGGAGTGTGATAACACGATTTCAGCTCACTGCAAACTCCGCCTCCAGGGTTGAAGCGATTCTTCTGCCTCAGACTCCCATGTAGCTGGGATTACAGGCCTGCGCCACCACACCGGGCTAATTTTTAAATTTTTAGTAGAGACGGGGGTTTTGCCATGTTGGTCAGGCTGGTCTTGAACTCCTGACCTCAGGTGATCCACCCACTTCGACTTCCCAAAGTGCTGAGATTACAGGCATGAGCCATCGCACCCGGCCTGCATTTTCTTAATATAAGTTTCCATAAATGATTTAACTTTTTTTCACATCTGTATTTCACATCTCTTCACTTCGGAACCAGCTATTTTTCTTTCCATCCCATCTCCTTGTCTCTCCAACATACTGAAATTAATTTCCTGGTTTTTTTATCCAGTAGCGCCTAAAATAATAGTCATATAATATTTTCCACACCATCAAAATAAATCCAAATTGTAGGCAGATTGATTTTATCTTGTTGGTGTTTTCCTTCTTTACAACCTTACTTTTGTACCCATCCCCCAAACAAAATAATGAATAAAAAGAAGGAATTTGCTGTCTATAACCTGCAATTAAAGTCCTTGTTGGTGCTTTAAATATTAAGTCAAGGAGTTTAACTGAAAAAACAAACAAAAAAAGCCGGCCGGGCTTGGTGGCTCACGCCTGTAATCCCAGAACTTTGGGAGGCCGAGGCGGGCGGATCACCTGAGGTCAGGAGTTCGAGACCAGCCTGCCCAACATGGCGAAACCCCGTCTCTACTAAAATACAAAAAATTAGCCAGGCGTGATGGCGGGCGCCTGTAATCCCAGCTACTCGGGAGGCTGAGGCAGGAGAATCGCTTGAACCCGGGAGGCGTAGGTTGCAGTGAGCCGAGATGGCGCCACTGCACGCCAGCCTGGGCTACAAGAGCGAAATTCCATCTCAAAAAAAGCCATAAATAAACAAAAACTTTAAAAAATAATCTTTGATGTCCTCTTTTTTCAGCGCTCCTGGCAGTTTCTAGGACACAATAGGTATTCAACAAGCTCTTGTTCATATTTACCTTTAAAAATTTCCCTCAGTGGTATTAGGTATATTTTTGCTTTCCTACTTTTATTTTTTCACTTTGAAGTACTTTGGAGGCAGGATAACGGACTAAATAGCTCTTATCCCTCACGCGGCTAGGTCCCATTTTTCTAGAATATTACATGAAGGCGGCGAATTTCAAGGACTTCTAAATGAGTCTTTGAAAGATTCTGTTCTAGCAACTTCAAGCCATTTTGGACTCCGAAAACTCCGCAATATTTCACAACTGCGCATGCGTGCTTGGAAAGCGTCAGCGCGCTAGATGTTTACGTATCGAGAAAGGGGCGGGTCATTATCTTTAGCGGACCAATGAAAACGCTCCAGATTATCTTTTTTCTATTGGCCGACCGGGGCCAATTAGAAATCAACCTTCTTTTAGCGGGCGTGTAGCGCCAGCGCGCTGTGACGTAATGTGAGGGGTCTCCCGGCAGGGCTGAGCTGGACCAATGAGGAAAGGCAAGGGGCCGATTTGCCTGTTCTCACGCCCCACCCTCAGACCTAGCCGGAGCAAAGTTTCACTTATAGAAGGGAGAGGAGCGAACATGGCAGCGCGTTGGCGGTTTTGGTGTGTCTCTGTGACCATGGTGGTGGCGCTGCTCATCGTTTGCGACGTTCCCTCAGCCTCTGCCCAAAGAAAGAAGGAGGTGAGAACGCGGTTTCCAGCAGCATGGGCTTTTCCCAATGACTGGGGCTTAAGAGGGTCTGTTCGCCTCTTCCCAGCCCCCTTTCCCTGCCGCTTCTATGCCTTTGGTGGCTTCAATTACGCGGTTTTCGGAGTTGTGGAATTCGTGAGAGAAGGAACTGTAACTCTTTGTCTTCTGGGGATGTAGAATCTGAGAGTGGAGTAGCGTAGGTGACAGCCCGACTTCTACAGTCTTGTGAATGTGCATAGCTATGAGTTTTGACACTTTTGAGTGTGGGCCCCGTCAGGTGTTGGGGGTGGGGAGTTCGACTTTAGATCCCAGGAGTAGGATATCTGAGACTCTATACTGCTGGCCGATGTAACTCCCTGAATGATGTGTAAGAGTTCTCTATTTTCTAGCATTTTCATTTCAGGAGTGTGAGAGTTAGACCAAAGAGTGAAATTATGCCAGATTTATTACTTTGTCCAAATAATTGTTTCAAGGCAATTTACCAGATTGAAAGCTCCTAACCATTTTCAATCATTCCACAAATGTAAGCATGCTAGGCAATGTTCTAGGCACTTGATATACATAAATGAACAAAACTAAGATCTTGTGGAACTCATAGGCTTTAGGAAGTGGAGGAGATACAGTATTCTCACCATTAAGCAATCCAGGTAGAGGAATTTTAACAATGCGTTTTCAAACGTTTGTGATTTGGAGTCCTATACTCTTAGGACTTTAAGACTACTAGCAATTACTTATACCCTCTAATTTTATAGATGAGAAAAAGAGTCTTAAATTTAGAAAATGAACGAGGACTCAAACCCTACGTCAGTCATTCTAACTCTATTTCCTGTACATTCTGTGCTTCCTCTAATAGAGAAAAACTGTGCACATACTCTAAAAATACCAGTTAAGCACTTCAGATACTTGTCTACTTGAGCTGAATTAAGAAAGAAAGCTATCTTCTCTATGTTTCTAAGTATTTGAACTATTCCATAAGAAGAAAAACTAAGCTAGGAAGTTAAACTTAATGAGTTGCTTATTAGATTGGCAAAGAGTACAATAAAAATATACAATTGTCAAAAGTATCGTGAAGTGAGCAGGCTCAGACACTGAAACTAGAAATTGATGTCCTTCTTTGGGAGGATCCTAAGCTATGGTTATGTGGAAAAGAAGATGCAGAGCAATGCATAATTTTATGTCTTAGAAATTTTTTATGTTAAAAACAACAGCATCCCCTATATATAAGTATATGTGTATGTATAGAGAAATCTCTGTAAGGATACATGACAATACCTTAACAGTGGCTATCTCTAGGCAGTTGGGATTATCGATGAGGGGAACGTTTTCACGTTTTACTTTACATGCTGGTATTGCTGGTATTACCTGAATTTCCACGATGACCACTTTTTTTTTTTTTTGAGACCGGGTCTCGCTCTGTTGCCCAGGCTGGAGTTCAGTGGTGGGATCATGGCTCACTGCAGCCTCGACTTCCTGGGCTCTAGTGATCCTCTCACCTCCACCTCCACCTCCCGAATATCTAGGACTACCGGCATGTGCCACAATATCCCTGGCTACTTTTTTATCTTTTTGTAGAAACGGAGTCTCTCTGTGTTGACAGGCTAGTCTCAAACTCCTGGGCTCAAGTGTTGCTTCCGCCTTGGCCTCCCAAAGTGTTGGGATTACAGGTGTGAGCCACTGTGCCTAGTCCACTTATTCTTTTTAATTAAAAAGTGAAGGCTTTTTAAAACTTAGCATTTCTACCAGTGAAATTATATTTATTCATTGACTCTCTCACTGAACTGGAAGCACAACAGCCTAGCTGAAAATAGGTTTTGTTTTTTTTTTAAAGGAATCAGCACTGAATTGTATACTTTAAAATGGTCAATATGGTGAATTTTATGTTAAGGCAATAAATTACATGCCTTCCTTGATCTTTCTGTACTCTCTTGGAAGTACATTCACCCTTTTCATGCATGTACAAGACTTATGCGAGAATATCTTCCTTTTCTCTTACCCCACCCTTTCATTCACCTGAAGATTCCTACTCTTCAAGTCTTAGCTCAAACAGTATCTTCTTTCTTCCTCGGCTAAAGTTTTCTTGGTGCCTCCAGGTGAACTGAGATGAATTCAGCACAGCATATAGTCATTGTAGGTATGTATGTATTTATTTGGAGACAGGGCCTCTTACACAGGCTGCATGCTGTGCAATGGCACTATCATGACTCACTGCAGCCTCTACTTCCTGGGGTCAAGTGATCCTCCCACCTTGGCCTCCCAAAGTGCTGAGATTACAGGAGCGAGCCTCCATGCCTGACCTGTATTGTCCTTGTTTATATGCCAGTCTTTGCCCTAACACTGTAAGCATCTTGAATGCAAAAACTTCTTAATTTTTCTTTACCTCACATCCAGCATTTTCTGTCAAAATGTCCTCAACAAACATCAGATTAACTGTGTACTTATATAAAATCAGGAATCTGTTCTTTCTTTTTATAAATGTATATATATATTTAAAAAAATTTTTTTTCAGACAGGGTCTCACTCTGTTGCCAAGGCTGGAGTGTAGTGGCATGATCATAGCTCAGTACAGCCTTATGACCTCACTGGGCTCAGGTGATCCTCCCACCTAAGACTTCCCAGCTGGGACTACAGGCATGTGCCACCATGCCTAGTTAATTTTTATATTTTTTGTAGAAATGGGGTTTTGCTGTGTTGTCCAGGCTGGCCTTGAACTCCTGGACTCAAGTGATCTACCCACCTTGGCCTCCCAAAGTGCTGGGATTACAGGCATGAGCCACTGTGTTCAGCCGGGAATCTGTTCTTTCAGTTGTAGGTTTTCTTAGATTTCACAACATAAAATTGGATTTTCTCATCAGTAAGCATGGAATTTATATAGGCTGCTAAAGATGATTTAGTTTTTCCTCCTTCCCTCTCTGAGAATGGTTTAGGCTGTCTTTAAAAAGACTACTATGATACTCCTTAGACACAGTTTCAAAATATGGGTGTTCTGTTGCAGAACATTTTTTTGTCAATTTTTGAAAACATTATTTAAAAAAATTCCAGGTCTATCTACTATAATAAATTTGACTTTAAATAATAGGGTAATGTCTGATCTTAAAATCTATTTTTTGCTGGGTGCAGTGGCTCACGCCTGTAATCCCAGCACTTTGGGAGGCCGAGGCGGGTGGATCACTTGAGGTCAGGAGTTCAAGACCAGGCTGGCCAACTTGGGGAAACCCCGTCTCTACTAAAAATACAAAAAAAATTAGCCAGCCAGGGTGGCACATGCCTGTAGTCCCAGCTACTCAGGAGTCTGAGGCATGAGAATCGCTTGAACAAGAGAGCGAGACTCTGTCTCAAAAAAAAAAAAAGTGTGCATATATGTATATTCTTTTTAAAAGATACCTCCCCTAAATAAATATGATTAAAAATCACTCAAGTTCCTCATAGTTGTCTATTGCTAAATGGAATGCTACCCTGCTTATTATTTATACCTTTAACAATGTTTTCATTGGAACGTGGACTTATTTTTCTTTTTAAATTTTTAAAAATGTTTTGTGGAGACCGGGTCTCACTATGTTGACCAGGCTGGTTTCAAACTCCTGGCCTCCAGCAATCCTCCTGCTTTGACCTCCTAAAGTGACAGAATTACAGGCGTGAGCCACTGAGCCCAGCCATTTATTCTCTGATATTTATCGAATGCATTCTACATGCCAGGCACTATAGTTTACACTCATTATCTATAATACACACATTAACATTGCAGAGTAAGTATTAACCCCTTCGAAAGATAAGGGGACTTTAAAGATGAGGGGACTGGCCAGGCATGGTGGCTCATGCCTATAATCCCAGAACTTTGGGAGGCTGAGGTGGGAGGATCCCTTGAGGTGATGGGAGGATCCCTTGAGGCCAAGAGTTTGAGCCCAGCCTGAACAACATAGCCAGACTCATCTCTACCCACCCCAGATAGATAGATAGATAGATAGATAGATAGATAGATAGATAGATGAGGGAACTGACAGTAAGCAAGAGGGTGGTTGGGGGCTTGCTCATAGAAGCACAGCTCTAAGAAACTGAGCTGGGATCCCACACTGGTCTGTCTAGTTCCAAAGCCTATGTTTTGTGCTAGGCAACAAAGGCTTGTTTTTGCAGCGACTGGTTTTATTTTATGGTGAATCCTTTCCCCCTGTTGTGGAAGGGAAGTTGTTCATCCTCGCATCTGGTGTTATCTTAGAGAGGCAGCATGATAAAAATGAAGAAGCATGGTCTTTGATAAAATTATTCATATTTCTTTACTTCTGGGAATCTATAATAATAATAATAATATGAAATGTGGAAAGTGATGAACACGCAATGCATACTGAAGCATAATAAAAATGGTCATCATAATGCTAGGATGGCAGATAGATCTCCCTCCCCAGTTTTCCAAAAAAGTCTGTAGTTTTAAAGAGGATATGCTTTAATCCACCCCCAATGATGTTTAACAAGTTACTCTGAGTCTCATTTTCCTCATCAGTAGAATGGAAAAAATGCTGATTTCTTTGGCTATTGTGAAAATTAAATGAGATGAGGGATGTGAAGTACCTAATGCAGTACCTGGCATATAGAAGATGTTAAGTAAATGTTAGAAAATAAAGTGAGATTATATTCCTCTGGGTGGTAAATGTTTTGCAGTTGATCTTTTTGGGATGTTTAACAAGGCAGGCTATCATTGGAAAAACTTTGCTTTGAGAAATGACTCATGAAAGTATCACATGTGCAAAAAACCCTGCAGTTCTCTAGAAAATATCTGATTAGAGAAACAGGCTTAGTAGCAGTTGCAGAACAATTAAATGGAGACACCACCAAAAAATTAAAAACTAAGGAAAGGGGACAAGGATAGATTTTAGCTCTATCCAGGAAGTACGTGAACTGATAATGGAGCAGATGGCATTTAAGGATTAAAAATGCTCACTTCTCTGTTCACTGTCTTCTTCAGTAATTATCTGCCCGTTATATTTCCAGATCTGTTCCAGATCTCTTAATTTAAGGAGGGAGTTGGAAATGTATACCTTAACTAAGAATTTGTTTTGTTCTACTTCATACTAACATCTGAAGACTGGTAGATGATTAGGAAAGGTGAAAATATGAAGAATTTTTATGAATAAACCCTGATGGTTAGAACAAAGACACGAATAAGTTTTGGGAGTACTATTCAGCCATAAAAAAGAATGAGATCCTATCATTTGCAACAACATGGATGGAACTGGAAGTCGTTATGTTAAGTGAAATAAGCCGAGCACAGAAAGACAAACATTGCATATCCTCACTTACGTGTGGGAGCTAAAAATCAAAACACTTGAACTCATGGAGATAGTAGAATGATAGCTACCAGAAGCTGGGGGTGGTGGTGGGAGGTGGGGATTCTTTATGAGTACAAACAAAAAACAAAAAACATAATGAATAAGACCTACTGTTTGATAGCACAACGGAGTGACTATAGTCAATAATAATTTAATTGTAGATTTAAAAAATTAAGAGTATAATAGGATTGTTTGTAACACAAAGGATAAATGCTTGAGGAGATGGATATCTCGTTTTACATGATGTGATGAGTGCACATTGCATGCCTGTATCAAAACATCTCATGTACTTCATAAATATATACACCTAAGGCCGGGCACAGTGGCTCACACCTATAATCCTGGCACTTTGGGAGGCCGAGGCAGGCGGATCACGAGTTCAGGAGATCGAGACCATCCTGGCTAACACGGTGAAACCCCGTCTCTACTAAAAATACAAAAAATTAGCCGGGCGTGGTGGCGGGCGCCTGTAGTCCCAGCTACTCAGGAGGCTAAGGCAGGAGAATGGCGTGAACCCGGGAGGCAGAGCTTGCAGTGAGCCGAGATCGCCCCACTGCACTCCAGCCAGCCTGGGCGACAGAGTCATTCCATGTCAAAAAAAAAAATATATATATATATATGTACATATATATGTACACATACATACACACACACCTACTATGTACCCACAAAAATTTAAATTTAAATTTAAAAAAGAATGAGGCCAGGCGTGGTGGCTCACACCTGTAAGCCCAGCACTTTGGGAGGCCAAAGTGGGCAGATTGCTTGAGCCTAGGAGTTTGAGATCAGCCTGGGCAACATGGCAAAACCGTGTTCCTAGCAAAAAAAAAAAAAAAAAAAATAGCAGAGCATGGTGGTGTGTGCCTGTAGTCCCAGCTACTAGGGAGGCTGAGATGGGAGGATCACCTGAGCCTGGGAGGTACAGGCTGCAGTGAGCCAAGATGTACCATTGCACTCCAGCCTGGGTGACAGAGCCAGACCCTGTCCCAAAATAATAATAATAATAATAATATAATGTAGTTGTGTATTTTAAAATAATTAAAAGTATAATTGGATGGTTTGTAACACAAAGGATAAATTCTTGAGGGCATGGACACCTCATTCACCATGATGTGATTATTATGCAATGCATGCCTATATCAAAGTATCTCATGTACCCCATAAATATATATACCTACTGTGTACCCACAGAATTTTTTTTAAGAAACATGCTTTTGGGGAAAGTTGCATTTTAGAGGAATTCAGACTGGTAATACTTAGCTTTCTTGCTTCTGAAATTCAAAAGAAATTTGAATGGCAGGATCAGATTTTAGCTTTAAATCGTAATTAATAGATCCTATATTCCATTTTTGATGAGTGATAGTGACAATAGGACAATTTCTGGTTATTAAAGCTTAAGCTACTTTGGTAGAGCTAATCAAGTTAAATATTATGCAAGCAGGTAAGATGAAATTAAACTGATGTCTCACTGCCCTTTCTTGGTCCTCTTAATCTCTTATAGTTATAGATTTCTATAACACTTGATTATTACAAATAGGATTAGAGACATTGCCTTCTAGTAGTGAGGTGATTTTTTTTGGACATACTAGTTAAAATGTTTCAAGAGAAGAGAAAGACTTTAAACTTACTTTACTTTGTTGGTAAGTATTTCAATTGGGAGTATTATTGCTATTTTTGTTTTATTTGAATGGTAGAAAATAGACTAATGTACGCCAAGGAGAAGGAGGGAAATAAATTGATTGTGAATATCTTGTAAATTCAATGTGTTTTTTCATAGTAAGCCTGTAATTTGTTTTATAAAAAATATATCCAATACAAATTGAAAGCTTTAGATCAGTATATTTTCTTGAATGTTTAACAACTATTAGTGGAGGCCGGGCACAGTCGATCATGCCTGTAATCACAGCACTTTGGGAGGCCGAGTTGGATGGATCACCTGAGGTCAAGAGTTTGAGACCAGCCTGGCCAACATGGTGAAACCCTGTCTCTACTAAAAGTACAAAATTAGCTGGGCGTGGTGGTGCACGCCTGTAGTAGTCCCAGCTACCCAGGAGGCTGAGGCACGAGAATCACTTGAACCCGGGAAGCAGAAGTTGCAGTGAGCCAAGATCGTGCCACTGCACTCCAGCCTGGGTGGCAGAGCAAGACTCTGTCTCAAAAAAACTATTAGCGGGAAAAGTATTTGCATTAGGAGTTGTTTGCGAATTAATTGCTTTTTTGGAGTTGCTGAGCAGTTCACTTGATAAACCTCTTATCTTTACATGTTATAGTCTTTGGAAGATATGTTTCTTCCTAATAATTTTCAAGTATTATTAGAATGATCTGAAGTGCACAGGTGAAATTTTTAACTTTTCCATTTGAAGGTTGTGACTTTGGAAGATAAAGAAGAATCTGGAAAATGAATAGTGGGATTTAGTGTAGTGGCAATAGAGGAACAAAATTTTTATTTCTCAACCATGCCTTTCCATACCCAAATAATGGGCTCTTGACAAAGAACCAGAGGCACCCTTAGGAAAAAGCTTCTTTAGGAATAGAGATTTACCCTGATCAAGAAAGCTTTCAATTCAAATTTGAAGAAATTCCTGGCCACACATAGTGGCTCCCACTTGTAATCCCAACACTTTGGGAAGGCCAAAGTGGAAGGATTGCTTGAGCCTAGGAGTTTAAGACCAGCCTGCGCAACATAGCAAGACCCCATCTCTGCAAACAAATAAAAGAAAATAACCAAGCATGGTAGCATGCACCTGTGGTCCTAGCTACTCAGGAGGCTGAGGCAGGAGGATCATTTGAGCCCAGGAGTTCGAGGCTGCAGTGAGCTAACAATCATGCCACTGAACTCTAACCTGGGTAACAGAATGAGACCCTGTCTCTAAATTGAAACAAAAGAGAGAGAGAGAAAACAAGAAATTCCCTTATAAATCTATTAACTAAAGAAGACAAAAAAGAGGACCAGTGAAGGAAGTGTCTAGGAAGTATTAAGGCATTATATTTGAGTTAAGTAGAATATCACATTCTTCAACCGTTCCAGGAGGATCACGGGTTGGTTTATTATTAGAAATGGCATGCTTTTTCCTGTTATTCATCATTTGGTTCACTTAATGTTTATTTAATTTCCCTTTGCTGTCCATAGAAATTTATATAACATGTAGTCCTAACCCATAAGAATCAGAATGTAGAGCTGTGATTCTCAAACTTCAGTGTATATAAAGAATCACATGTGTAACATGTTAAAATTCAATATTCTTGGAATCTGCCCTGGACTTACTGAATCAAATGTACTGGGGGATGAAATCTAGAAATATGGATTTTGATTTTTGTTTTTTTTTTAGAGATGGAATCTAACTATGTTGCTCAGGCTGAAGTGTAGTGGCTATCACCAGGTGCAATCATAGTGCACTACAGCCTCAAATTTCTGGGCTCAAATGATCCTTCTACCTCAGCCTCCTGAGTAGCCGCAACTACAGGCCCATACCACTATGCCTGGCCAGAAGTCTGCATTTTTTTTTTAATTTTATAAAATACAGACAGAGTCTCACTATGTTGCCCAGGCCGGTCTTGAACTCCTGGGCTCAAGCGGCCTCCCAAAGTGCTGGGGTTACAGGCATGAGCCACTGTGCCCGGCCAAAGTCTGCATTTTTAACAAGCTCCTTTATACCAACCACACTTTGAGAAACACAGGTTTAAAAAGTTTATTATCCATTATGATAAAGGCTTGCTCTAGGAAGTTTTGGGTTACTTTATCACTAAATCTTTCTTTTATGTTGTATTTTGATCAGTAATGATTTTTAAAGATTTTTGAATACATAAAAATAAGATTGTAAAATTGTACATTCTTTTCAGTTCAAAACAGTTGTTCTTGAGCTAGGCATAGTGGTTTGAGCCTGTAATCCCAGCCACTCAGGAGGATGAGGGAGGAGTGTCTATTGGGGCCAGGAGTTTGAGACCAGCCTGAGCAACATAGCAAAACCCTATCTCTAAAAGAGATTTTTTTATTTTATTTTAGAGACGGAGTCTCGCTCTGTCACCCAAGTTTCAGTGCAGGGGCTCAATCTCGGCTCACTGCAACCTCTGCCTCCCGGGTTCAAGCGATTCTCCTGCCTCAGCCTCCCAAGAAGCTGGGATTACAGGCACGTGCTACCACACCTAGCTAATTTTTGTAATGTTAGTAGAGACAGGGTTTCACCATGTTGGTCAGGCTGGTCTTGAACTCCTGACCTCATGATCCGCCCACCTCGGCATCCCAAAGTGCTGGGATTACAGGCATGAGCTACTGCGCCCAACAAGAGTTTTTAAAAATTAGCTAGGCATGGTGGCGCATACTTGTAGTCCCAGTTATTTGGGAGGCTGAGATGGGAGGATCACTTAAGCCCAGGATTTTGAGGCTGCAGTGAGCTATGATCACGTCACTGCACTCCAATCTGGGTGACAAAGTGACACCCTGTCTCTCTTTTTTTTTTTTGAGACAGAGTCTCGCTCTGTCGCCCAGGCTGGAGTGCAGTGGCGTGATCTCAGCTCACTGCAAGCTCTGACTCCCGGGTTCACGCCATTATCCTGCCTCAGCCTCCCAAGAAGCTGGGATTACAGGCGCGCGCCACCACGCCTAGCTAATTTTTGTGTTGTTAGTAGAGACAGGGTTTCACCATGTTGGTCAGGCTGGTCTTGAACTCCTGACCTCATGATCCGCCCACCTCGGCATCCCAAAGTGCTGGGATTACAGGCATGAGCCACTGTGCCCAACAACTTTTAAAAATTAGCTAGGCATGGTGGCGCATACTTGTAGTCCCAGTTATTTGGGAGGCTGAGATGGGAGGATCACTTAAGCCCAGGATTTTGAGGCTGCAGTGAGCTATGATCACACCACTGCACTCCAGTCTGGGTGACAAAGTGACACCCTGTCTCTCTCTTTTTTTTTTTTTTTTTGAGATGGAGTCTCGCTGTGTCACCCAGGCTGAAGTGCAGTGGCATGATCTCGGCTCTCTGCAAGCTCCGACTCCCGGGTTCACGCCATTCTCCTGCCTCAGCCTCCCGAGTAGCTGGGACTACAGGCACCCGCCACCGCGCCCGGCTAATTTTAGTAGAGACGGGGTTTCACCATGGTCTCGATCTCCTCACCTCGTGATCCACCCGCCTCGGCCTCCTAGAGTGCTGGGATTACAGGCCTGAGCCACTGCGCCCGGCCTTTTTTTTTTTTTTAAGAACAATATTGTGGGATTGGGGGTGATTTTGCTCCCCAGGAGATATTTGGCAGTGTGTGGAGATATTTTTGGTTGTTGCAGCTGGGAGAGGAGGGTGCTACTGGCATGTAGTGAGTAGAAGCCAGGGTTGCTATTCAACATCCTACAGTGCACTGACAGGATCACTCCTCACAACAATGATCTGGCCTAAGACGTCGGTAGTGTTGCTTTTGAGAAACCCTGGTTTAGAATGATCATGGCCTGTTTGAGTTTCTACCTCAGTATCTTACTAACTGTGGCATTTTGGGCAAGTTGTTTAACCTCTCCAATCCTGTTTTCTCAACAGATAAGCAAATGTAAAAAGAGTACTTACCTTATAGTGTCGTTTTGAGGATTGAACTTAATTATATATTCTATAAAGCAAGAAGTAACTGCCTGACACCCGCTAGACATTCCAAATAGTAGCTATTATTTTCTCCATAAATCCAAGAGAGGCTTGCTTTAGAATATCTTAAAATATTACGTCATTGTGAATAAGGATTATAGCATCTAATTATAATGTTCCAGGCTATGTTCATGTAATTTTATTGTAAAAGTTTTTGTTTGTTTGTTTTTTAGACAGAGTCTCACTCAGTCACCCAGGCTGGAGTGCAGTGGTGCAGTCTCAGCTCACTGCAACCTCCACCTCCCAGGTTCAAGTGATTCTCGTGCCTCAGCCTCCTGAGTAGCTGGGACTACAGGCGTGTGCCACCACACCCAACTAATTTTTGTATTTTTAGTAGAGACGGGGTTTCACGATGTTGGCCAGGCTGTTCTCAAACTCCTGACATCAAGTGATCCATCCGACTTGACCTCCCAAAGCACTGAGATGACAGGTATGAGCCACCACTCCCAGCCTGTAAAAGTTTAAAACTAGTTCATTTGTTGTGATCTGTTTTCAATTCATTTTAAAGAAAATGAACCCAGTCGGGGCAAGGTGGTTCATGCCTGTAATCCCAGCACTTTGGGAGGGCAAGGATCATTTGAGCTCAGGAGTTTGAGACCAGCCTGGGCAACATGGCAAAACCCCGTCTCTACAAAAATTAGTGGGGCACGGTGGTGCACATCTGTAGTCCCAGCTATTCAGGAAGCCGAGGTGGGAGAATCACTAGAGCCTGGGAGGTTGAGGCTGCAGTTAGCCAAGTTCACACCACTGCACTCCAGCCTAGGCAACAGAGTGAGACCCTGTCACCAAAAAAAAAAAAAAAAAAAAAAGAAAATGAATTCAGGAAGTAATCTAATTGCCTCTGCATTAAGCAGCCTTTTGAAGTGATTTTGTTTTATAAGAGCCTGAAAAAAGATAATTCCTTTGAACTAGTTTCTTCTACTTGATAAATTATTTCGAGAAAGAATAGCCAGAAGTCTGGTCTTTCTAGTCTGTTAATAAACAGGAAGAGGAATAACATATATTATAATATATATTACAATAATTATTATACATGGTCTCGATCTCCTGACCTCGTGATCTGCCGGCAGATGGGATGACCCAGCCATCCCATTACTGGATATACACCCAAAGGAATATAAATCATGCTGCTATAAAGACACATGCACACGTATGTTTACTGCGGCACTACTCACAATAGCAAAGACTTGGAACCAACCCAAATGTCTAACAATGATAGCCTGGATTAATAATAATATATATTATAATATAATTATGTTATTATATTAATATAATACATATTATAATTATATTATATTATTATATTAATATAATATAAATTATATATAAATAACAAATATATAATTTATATATATAAATATATATAAATTATATATATAAATATATATTTATTAGAGACAGGGTATTGCTCTGTTGTCCCCGCTAGAGTTCAGTGATGTGTGATCGTAGCTCACTGCAGCCTCTAACTCCTGGGCTCAAGTGATCCTCCTGCCTCAGCCTCCTGAGTATCTGGGACTACAGGCACATGCCACCACATCCGACCAATTTTATAATATTTTGTAGTAACTGGGTCCCACTATGTTGACCAGGCTGGTCTCGAACTCCAGGGCTCAAGCAGTCCTCACTCCTCAGCCTCCCAAAGTGCAGGGATTACAGGCTTGAACCACCATGCCTGGCCATAAATTTTTTATGTAGACCTGCTTGAAAACGTTTATTCAAGAATTTTTGTGTAGGAAAACTCCACATATTGATAACTAATTCAAAGCACTTATATTTCTTTTGTTGGCATGATTATATATCTATATGGTTGAATAGAGATAGGAGGATGTAAAACTGTGTAAATACCTGTTACTGCTTCACACTTGTTTTTCTCAGCCCCATACAGAATATGTAGTCACCCTGAATAAAATAGTCAAATCATATTTGTATTTGCTGGTAACTGTCAAATTTAACTTGAAAATATGGCAAAATTAGATATACAATCATGTCATCTGCAAACAGGGACAATTTGACTTCCTCTTTTCCTAATTGAATACCCTTTCTTTCTTTCTCCTGCCTGATTGCCCTGGCCAGAACTTCCAACACTATGTTGAATAGGAGTGGTGAGTGAGGGCATCCCTGTCTTGTGCCAGTTTTCAAAGGGAATGCTTCCAGTTTTTGTACATTCAATATGATATTGGCTGTGGGTTTGTCATAAATAGCTCTTATTATTTTTAGATACGTCCCATCTATACCTAATTTATTGAGAGTTTTTAGCATGAAGTGCTGTTGAATTTTGTCAAAGGCCTTTTCTGCATCTATTGAGATAATCATGTGGTTTTTGTCTTTGGTTCTGTTTATATGCTGGATTACATTTATTGATTTGCGTATGTTGAAGCAGCCTTGAATCCCAGGGAAGAAGCCCACTTGATCATGGTGGATAAGCTTTTTGATGTGCTGCTGGATTTGGTTTGCCAGTATTTTATTGAGGATTTTTGCATTGATGTTCATCAGAGATATTGGTCTAAAATTGTGGAAGACAGTGTGGCAATTCCTCAGGGATCTAGAACTAGAAATACCATTTGACCCAGCCATCCCATTACTGGGTATATACCCAAAGGAATATAAATCATGCTGCTATAAAGACACATGCACACGTATGTTTATTTTGGCACTACTCACAATAGCAAAGACTTGGAACCAACCCAAATGTCTAACAATGATAGCCTGGATTAAGAAAATGTGGCACATATACACCATGGAATACTATGCAGCCATAAAAAATGATGAGTTCATGTCCTTTGTAGGGACATGGATGAAGCTGGAAACCATCATTCTCAGCAAACTATCGCAAGGACAAAAAACCTAACACCGCATGTTCTCACTCATAGGTGGGAATTGAACAGTGAGAACACCTGGACCCAGGAAGGGGAACATCACACACCGGGGCCTGTTGTGGGGTGGGGGGAGGGGGAGGGATAGCATTAGGTGATATACCTAATGTAAAAGACTAGTTAATGGGTGCAGCACACCACATGGCACATGTATACATATGTAACAAACCTGCACATTGTGCACAAGTACCCTAGAACTTAAAGTATAATAAATATCTATATATAAAAAAAACAAAATATGGCAAAAATTAATGATTGCTTCAAAATATAGATTGCATATTTTAAAATGTGAACCCATATTTTCTGTGCTCTGAGAATCATTAAAACGGTATCAAATAATAGCAATTCATTTTGTTGGAAAAACAATAAATTTGATCTGTGCAGTCTCAATTTAAATCAAATATTCTCTATCTTCCTCCTGGTTCATTCTCTCCCACAGCCTTTACCAACTACTTGTTTCATTGTTCCGCAGTCTTGTTAATTATTTGTTATAACCAATCTTTCCTTCTTTTTTTTTTTTTTTTTTTTTTTTGAGACAGATTCTCACTTTGTTGCCCAGGCTGGAGTACAGTGGTGCCATCTTGGCTCACTGCAACCTCGGCCTCCTGGGTTCAAGCGATTCTAGTGCCTCAGCCTCCCCGGTAGCTGGGACTACAGACATGTGCCACCACGCCCAGCTAACTTTTATATTTTTAGTAGAGATGAGGTTTTGCCATGTTAGCCAGGCTGGTCTCGAAGTCCTGACCTCAAGTGATCCACCCACTTCAGCCTCCCAAAGTGTTGGGATTACAGGCGTGAGCCACTGCACCTGGCCTGTTAACAACCAATCTTTCAAGAGTGTATATCTTTTTCTGTGGGTTTAGAGTGTGTTCGGTTTTTCGTGTGTGGCATATTCTTTTTGTGGCCCTTACCAGAATTTTTTCGTATTTGCTACAAAACTAATGTTTTTTTTGTTTTGTTTTGAGACTGAGTGTCGCTCTGTCACCCAGGCTGGAGTGCAGTGGTGCGGTCTCGGCTCACTGCAACTCCACCTCCCGGGTTCAAGCAATTCTCCTGCCTCAGCCTCCCGAGTAGCTGGGATTACAGGCACCCGCCATCACGCCCAGCTTATTTTTTGTATTTTTAGTAGAGACGGGGTTTCACCCTGTTGGCCAGGCTGGTCTTGAACTCCTGACCTCGTGATCTGCCCGCCTTGGCCTCCCAAAGTGCTGAGATTACAGGCGTGAGCCACCGCGCCTGGCCTACAAAACTAATTTTTATGCAGCTTTTTTCCATCATTCATAGAGATGTACTTGTGACATAAAATTGTGGTCAGTATTAGATGAATTCAGGTATGCTTAAAGGCAGACCAGGCTGGGCATGGTGGCTCATGCCTGTAATCCCAGCACTTTGGGAGGCTGAGGCGGGTGGATCATTTGAGGCCAGGAGTTCAAGACCAGCCTGGCCAACATGGTCAAACCCCGTCCCTACTAAAAACACAAAAATTAGCCGGGGGTGGTAGTGCGTTCCTGTAATCCCAGCTACTTTGGAGGCTGAGGCACGAGAATCACTTGAACCTGGGAGTCAGAGGTTGCAGTGAGCCCAGATCATGCCATCGCACTTCAGCCTGGGCATGACAGAGTGAGACTCTGTCTAAAAAAAAAAAAAAAAAAAAGGCAAATCATGCATTTTTAGAATCCATGTTACTTTCTAAAGTGAAAAAAAAAGTTTTGTTTCTATGTAAGTGTTTACGTGTGCAGTTAATCATTTCTTTCTTACATGTTAATGTAAGCAAGTCAGTCAATTCCCAGTTAAATTTCACTGATTATAAATTTAGTACACATTTACTGAGTGCCTACTGTATGGTAAAGAATTGTGGGTCTCTGTTCTCTTGTAGCTAATAGTCTAGAAAAGGAATCAAACGTCAAAGTGTCTTAAAATGGTAAGTGCTAGAATATAGGTAACGGGAAATATAACTGGTCAAATGGTTCTGAATGATGAACCACTGCATGATTTCCCAGCTTTTTCTATACATATCTCTATAAAGATGAGCAAAATCATAAATTAGCATTAACTCTACATTGAGATTTTTGTTTTCTTTGTTATCCCTTCCTGCCTTCTTACTACTCATGGCAAGGATTAAACATTGAGGGTGGGGCTGGACACAGTGATTCACGCCTGTAATCCCAGCACTTTGGGAGGCCGAGGCGAGCAGATCATGAGGTCAAGAGTTCCAGACCAGCCTGGCCAACATGGTGAAACCCCGTCTCTACTAAGAATTCAAAAATTAGCCAGGCGTGGTGGCGTGTGCCTGTAATCCCAGCTACTTGGGAGGCTGAGGCAGGAGAATTGCATGAACCCAGCAGGGGGAGGTTGCAGTGAGGTGAGATCGCACCACTGCACTCTAGTCTGGGTGACAGAGCAAGACTCCATCTCGAGAGAAAAAAGAAAAAGAAAACATTGAGAGTGAAGATGAGGGGAATGATAAATATGATGGCATTTAATTTCAAACTTAAATCCTGTCGACTAACCATGCTTCTCTTCCACTGCCTCATGATGATTAGCCAAAAAGGAACAAACTCTAGCTCTTTTTTGTGTGTAGACATAAATTTTCATTTCTATAGGACAAATGCCAAATAATGTGGTTGATGGGTTGTATGGTAAATGTATCTTTAGTTGCCAGATTTTTTTTTCTTTTTTTTTTTCTTTTTTTTTTTTTTGAGATAGAGTTTCACTCTTGTTGCCCAGGCTGGAGTGCAGTGGCACGATCTCGGCTCACTGCAGCCACCGCCTTCCCAGATTCAAGAGATTCTCCTGCCTCAGCCTCCTGAGTAGCTGGGATTACAGGCACCCGCCAACACACCCAGCTAATTTTTTTGTATTTTTAGTAGAGACGGGATTTTATCATGTTGGCCAGGCTGATCTCAAACTCCTGACCTCAGGTGATCTACCCATCTCGGCCTCCTAAAGTGCTGGGATTACAGCATGAGCCACTGCGCCTGGCTTTTTTTTTTTTCTTTTTTTCTTTTTTTTTTTTGGAGACAGAGTCTTACTCTGTCACCCAGGCTGGAATGCAGTGGCGTGATCTCAGCTCACTGCAACCTCTACCTCCTGAGTTCAAGTATTTCTCCTGCCTCAGCCTCCCAAGTACCTGGGATTACAGGCGTGCACCACCATGCCCGGCTAAATTTTTTTTTCTTTTTTTTTTTTTTTTTTTTTTTGCATCAGAGTTTTGCTCTTGTCGCCCAGACTGGAGTGCAATGATGTGATCTTGGCTCACTGCAACCTCCGTCTCCCGGGTTCAAGCGATTGTCATGCCTCAGCCTCCTGAGTACCTGGGATTACAGGCATGTGCCACCATGCCCAGCTAATTTTTGTATTTTTTTTTTTTAGTAGAGATGTGGTTTCAACATGCTAGCCAGGCTGGTCTTGAACTCCTGACCTCAAGCGATCCACCCGCCTCGGCCTCCCAAATTGCTGGGATTACAGGTGTGAGCCACTGCACCCACCCAGTTGCTTGATCTTTTAAGACTGCCAAACTGTTTTCCAAAGTGGCTGCACCATACTACATTCCCACCAGTGATGTATGAGAGATCTAGTTTCTCCACATCCTCACCAGCATTTGATATTGTCAGTATATTTTATTTTATTTTATTTTATTTTATTTTATTTTATTTTATTTTATTTTATTTTATTTTGAGACAGAGTCTCACTCTGTCGCCCACGTTGGAGCGCAGTGGCGTGATCTCGGCTCACCGCAACCTCCGCCTCCCAGGTTCAAGCGATTCTCCTGCCTCAGCCTCCCGAGTAGCTGGGATTACAGGCACCCACCACCATGCCTGGCTAATTTTTGTATTTTTATTAGAGACAGGGTTTCACCATGTTGGCCAGGCTGTTCTCGAACTCCTTACCTCAAGTGATCCACCCACCTTGGCCTCCCAAAGTGCTG
Organism: Homo sapiens; assembly: GCF_000001405.40. Classification (NCBI taxonomy): domain Eukaryota; kingdom Metazoa; phylum Chordata; class Mammalia; order Primates; family Hominidae; genus Homo; species Homo sapiens. The sequence continues at coordinate 77,877,561 of NC_000023.11, read as the reverse complement.
GGATTACAGGTGTGAGCCACCGCACCCGGCCCAGAGAGTAAAATTTTTTATTTTATTTTATTTTTTTTTTTGAGACAGTGTCTCGCTGTGTCACCCAAGCTGGAGTGCAGTGGTATGATCTTGGCTCACTGCAATGTCTGCCTCCCAGTCTCAAGCAATTCTCATGCCTCAGCCTTCTGAGCAGCTGGGATTTTAGGCATGTGCCACCATACTCAGCTAATTTTGTATTTTTAGTAGAGACTGGGTTTCGCCATTTTGGCCAGGCTGGTCTCAAACTCCTAGCCTCAAGTGATCTGCCCACCTTGGCCTCCCAAAGTGCTGGGAGTAGAGGCATGAGCCACCACATCCGGCTGAATTTTGATGAGGTCCAGTATATCAATTTTTTTTTTTTATGGATCCTGCTTTTGTTGTCAGGCCTAAGAAACCTTTGCCTACCCTTAGCTTCTGAATATTTTCTCCTATTTATTTTCATAAAAGTTTTATAGTTTTACAGTTAAGTATATGATCTATTTTGTATTAGTTTCTTTTTTTTTTTTTTTTTTTTTTTTGAGATGGAGTTCCACTCCTGTTGCCCAGGCTGGAGTGCAATGGCACGATCTCGGCTCACTGCAACTTCTGCCTCCCAGGTTCAAGCGATTCTCCTGCCTCAGTCTCCCAAGTAGCTGGGATTACAGGCATGTGCCACCACCCCTGGCTAATTTTGTATTTTTGGTACAGACGGGGTTTCTCCATCTTGGTTAGGCTGGTTTCGAACTCCCAACCTCAGGTTATCCACCCGCCTCAGCCTCCAAAGTGCTGGGATTACAGGCGTGAGTCACCATGCCCGGCTGAGTTAGTTTTTATATAAGGTGTGAAGTTCATATTTTTGGCTATGGATGACCAATTGCTTCTGCACCATTTGTTGAAAAGGCTATTCTTCCTCCACTGAGTTGTTTTTGCACCTTTGTGCAAAATCATTTGACTACACTTGTATGGGTCTACTTCTGGGTTGTTTTTTTGTTCTGTTGTTCTGTGATACTATCCCTTCATCTGTACCACACTGTCTTAATTATTGTGGCTACATAGTAAACCTTAAAATTGAATAGAGTGATTCCTCCCACTTTACTCTTTATTTTCAAGATTTTCACTGTATGTTTTTTGAGAGAAGTAAAATTGTATATAAAACTGGCCATTGGTTTAACTCAACATTCTTTGGAATTTTTGGCAAATGAAAGGTTTTGTTATTTTTATCTTATTAGTAAATAATAAATAATTCTGTCTGGGTGCAATGGCTCATGACTGTAATGCCAACACTTGGGAGGCTGAGTTGGGAGGATCATGTGAGCCCAGGAGTTCAAGACTAGCCTGGGCAACATAGTAAAACCCCCGTCTCTACAAAAAAAAAAAAAAAAAAAAAATATATATATATATATATATATATATATATATAAAGGCCAGGTGTGGTGGCTCATGCCTGTAATCCCAGCACTGTCGGTAGCTGAGGCGGGCAGATTGCTTAAGCCCAGGAGTTCAAGACCTGCCTGGGCAACATGGAGAAGCCCCATCTCTACAAAAAATACAAAAATCAGCTGAGCATGGTGGAACACGTGTGTATTCCAAGCACTTGGGAGGCTGAGGTGGGAGGATCCCTTGAGGCCAGGAGGTCAAGGCTACAGTGAGCCCTCATTGTGCCACTGCACTGCAGTCTGGATGACAGAGCGAGACAGTGTCATTCATTCGTTTATTCATTCATTCATTCATTCATAATTAATTACATCAAAAGTGTAATGTCTGACAAAATATTATGAAATAATGTATTTTAAGAATAATTATCATCCAGCCCAACTACCAAATTTTGGCTTTAGGTCTCACATTTTCTGTATACCTCTGCTTGTTAGTATTGGTTTTAAGTAAGCTGCCTCATTAAAAGAACTTTAAATGCCAAGTTGAGTATATTAATAGCATGCTCACTTTGTCTTTTTTAGATGGTGTTATCTGAAAAGGTTAGTCAGCTGATGGAATGGACTAACAAAAGACCTGTAATAAGAATGAATGGAGACAAGTTCCGTCGCCTTGTGAAAGCCCCACCGAGAAATTACTCCGTTATCGTCATGTTCACTGCTCTCCAACTGCATAGACAGTGTGTCGTTTGCAAGTATGAACTCCAACTACGCTTTAAAATTAAATAACTCATATAACGTTAACCATTTCTCAATCCCAGAAGGGCCAAGTTAGTGCAGTAGGTACTTAAATAATGTGTATACCTTACTCAGGATGTCTATGGTAGCAATACTACTGCTCTTTTATAGTCAATTCTTGATTATCCGTATCAGTGGGGGAAGCATGGATAAATAATTGTGGTAGCCATCATAAAAGTAACTTAAAGATCAAACAGTCATCTTATAAATTAGTATCAACTTGGCGGGGCATGGGGGCTCATGCCTGTAATCCCAGCACTTTGGGAGGTCGAGGCAGGTGGATCATCTGAGGTCAGGAGTTCAAGACCAGCCCAGCCAACATGGTGAAACCCCATCTCTACTAAAAAAAAAAAAATACAAAAATTAGCTAGGCATTGTGGTGCATGCCTGCAGTCCCAGATATTTGGGAGGCTGAGGCAGAATAATCATTTGAACCCGGGAGGCAGAGGTTGCAGTGAGCCAAGCTTGCGCCACTGCACTCCAGCCTGGGCGACAGAGCGAGACTGTCTCAAAAAAAAAAAAAAATCAGTATCAACTTATGTAACTGTATGCCAGTAGCATTGATGTAGTATTTTTTTATTATTTGTAAGTGCTTTCAGCTTCATACTCTTGTATTGTCAAAATCCCAAAAGGTAGGTAAAGCAAATATCCTACTATTTTTGGAAGAAACAGGCTCCACAATTTTAACTGGTCTACCCAATGCTTAAGATGTTTACTAATGCAATAATGGTGGCTTCATCCAAGTTTGGAATTCAAGAAAACTGGTAATTTTCTTTTTTTTTTTTTTTTGAAACAAAGTCTCGCTCTGTCACCCAGGCTGGAGTGCAGTGGCGTGATCTTGACTCACTGCAGCCTCCACCTCCTGGGTTCAAGTGATTCTTCTGCCTCAGCCTCCCGAGTAGCTGATACTACAAGTGCACACCACCACGCCCAGCTAATTTTTGTATTTTTAGTAGAGACGGAGTTTCACCATGTTGGCCAGGATGGACTCGATCTTTTGACATCGTGATCAACCCACTTAAGCCTCCCAAAGTGCTGGGATTACAGGCGTGAGCCACCACACCCAGCTGGTAATGTTTTTTTTTTTTTAAAAAAAAGATGCAGCTGGGTGTGGTAGCTCATGTCTGTGATCTCAGCACTTTGGGAGGCTGAGATGGGAGGATCACTTGGGCCCAGGCATTGGAGACCAGCCTGGGCAACATAGTGAAACTTTGTATCTATAAAAATAAACAAAATTAGCTGGGTGTGGTGATGTGCCTGTAGTCCCAGCTACTCCAGAGGCTGAGGTGGGAGGATCACTTGATCCTGGGAGGTCGAAACTGCAGAAGGCTATAATCATCCCACTGCACTCCAGCCTGAGCAACAGACCAAGACCCTGTCTCAAAAACAAACAAAAAAAAAAGATGCATGGGATCTCATGTGAAATCTAAAAAAGTTGAACTCCTAGAAGCAGAGTAGAATGGTGGTTTTCAGAGTCTTAGGAGAGGATGTGGTGAAAGTGTACAAAGTTTTAGTTAGATGAGGGGGGTAAGTTCTGGTGATCTATTGCACAGCATGGTGACCATAGTTAATGTATTGTAGATTTTGAAATTGCTAAAAACATTTTAAATATTCTCACCACCAAAAAATAATAAATAGGTAAGGTGATGGGTATATTAATTATTATTTTTTTAATCCCAAAGATCCATGATTTAGCGATGTTTCTAATTTCCCAGTTGTTTTATAGTGATTGTAAACCTTGGAGATGGAGACTAATCTTGCTTAAGTTTTCATCAAACAATGGTTTCTTGATTTTATTTTATTGTTTCTTAATGATCTTAGGAGCAAAGATTGCTATTCTGTTAAATAAAAACACCATGAACAATTCAAAATGGTGGATACTAAAAAATAAAATAGCTTTTGCTTTTTAGTGTCTTTTTATTTATATTTTTAGATCAGTGTATCTGATCTGGTAATTAACTTTAAATAAAATGACAAAGCTACTGTATGAAGAATTAGTTTAGTAAAAACTTGGAGGTTCTCCAGATTCTGACAGCCTGATAGCCATGCAAAGGAATAGACAGCTTGTTTCAGAATGGTGTGTTCTGCCACCCCAAGCCTTGATAACTTTTCTTTAACGATTTTCTCCCTGGAGCTAGGGTATAGTCAAGGTATTTGGTTCCATAGTGCTTATTTTGTGGAGTATGTGCTGAATATAAATTAAAAATAAATAAAAGAAGAAAAAGGAATCGTAAGTAATAACTATGAATAAACTTGAAATCTAGAATTACTTCTAATTCCGTCAGTTCACTCAGTAGCAATCAAGAGTATACAAAAATAGCAGGGAACAAACACAAACTCCTTCATAATTCTCTATTAAATGCAAATTAATGGAATTCTTACTAACCTAAGTTTTTACTGGCATCTTATTTTCTATGAGACCAAATTTAATATTAACTCAAATTTTTCTACACTCATTCAACAAATAAAAATTAAACAACAGCAACATGAATTATACTGTAGTTGTGGTGCTGTTGGGATGAGAATTGTAAAATAGATAACCTACCCTTATCATCTGGTTAAGGAAATGAGTTACACATATGAAAATTTAGATGGCAATATAAGGCAATTTGTGATTAAGTACCAGATCAACTGTACATATAATAAATACTGTAAAATTTCAGGAAAGAAGGTTAATAGGAGTGATTTGGATTGGCCTGATGGAGGAAATAAGACTTGTGCTAGGGCTAGACAAATGGATAAGATGTTGATACAGGCAGGATATTCTGGTTAGAAGCATGATGTACACAAGGGTACAGGGATAGGAGTAAATAAAATATTGGGACTAAAGGTTACTGTTTGAGATTGATTAGTAGTAAGACTAGATAAAAACTAGATGTATTATTTGAAGCTATGTGATAAAGAACCTTCAATAACTAGTGAAAGAGATTAGAGAATGTATTCTGAAGGTAATAAGAAAGCAACAGTGATTTCTGAGAAGTGTTTCAGGAAAGTAGTAATTTAGGAAGATGGATGTATATTGCAGTGTAAGGATTGGAGGAGGGCCGGGCACGGTGGCTCACACCTGTAATCCCAGCACTTTGGGAGGCTGAGGCAGGCGGATCACCTGAGGACAGGATTTCAAGACCAGCCTGGCCAACATGGTGAAACCCTGTCTCTACTAAAAATACAAAAATTAGCTGGGCATGATGGTGGGCACCTGTAATCCCAGCTACTTAGGAGGCTGAGGCAGGAGAATTGCTTGAGACTGGGAGGCAGAGGTTGCAGTGAGCCAAGATGGAGCCACTGCACTCCAGCCTGGGCCACAGAGCGAGACTGTCTCAAAAAAAAAGAAGGATTGAAGGAGGAGAAACCAGAGTCAGTATTTTTAAATATCCTACTATTAGATAACAAAAATCTGACCTTAGATGATAGCAATAAAAATAGGAGGATATGGAGTGAAACTTTTATCGCAAATGAGAATTGACAGATCATGAGAACTGAAAGCATATGGGAGATATGGAAAAATTCAAAGATGACTTGAGGTTTCAATAATTTTTTTTTGAGATGGAGTCTTGCTGTGTCGCCCAGGCTGGAGTGCAGTGGTGTGATCTCGGCTCACTGCAATCTCCGCCTCCCGGATTCAAGCCATTCTCTTGCCTCAGCCTCCCGAGTAGCTGAGACTACAGGTGCCTGCCACCATGCCCGGTTAATTTTTGTATTTTTGGTAGAGATAGGGTTTCACCATATTGGCCAGGCTGGTCTCGAACTCCTGACCTTGTGATCCGCCTGCCTCAGCCTCCCAACGTGCTGGGATTACAGGCATGAGCCACTGCACCTGGCCTAATTTTTGTATTTTTAATAGAGACAGGGTTTTGCCATGTTGGCCAGGCTTGTCTTGAGCTCCTGACCTCAGGTGATCCACCCACCTCAGCCTCCCAAAGTGCTGGGATTACAGGTATGAGCTGGCCTCAATTAATTTCAATTCCTAGACTCTTCTTATCTTTCATCCTAATAATTTATCTGATTGTGTTATTTACCAAGTAGCTTTTGCACTTTAGATTTTTAAAAATGAATTAATATTGTATTTCTGCTTTCTTTAGGGAATACACTTCTGTCTTGTCTTTGAACTCTTAGAAGTAATTTAGGGTATGGAAAGTTATTGTAGAGGCGATTAGCTATATATTTCCAATGATTGTTGAAAGAGTTTTGGGATAAGAAACAGGCACAAAGTATGAAGCGGAGTCAGGTAATTACTACTTCTCATGAAATCCCTAACTTGGGATAAGGCTTCTCTTATGCCAAAACAAGATTTGTCTTAACCCTGTCAGCAGAGTCTGACCTACTTGTCAGTGTTTTTTATTATTTCTCCCATTGGAAAACCTGCTATTGCTTGCTTGGACCTGTTTTACTGATGATAAACGAGATTGCTTTCAAAAATTGTTTTATATGTTATCTTTACGAATCTCATTGCATCCAGGCAAGCTGATGAAGAATTCCAGATCCTGGCAAACTCCTGGCGATACTCCAGTGCATTCACCAACAGGATATTTTTTGCCATGGTGGATTTTGATGAAGGCTCTGATGTATTTCAGATGGTAAGATCTTTGGTTTATTCTGCTATATAAAAATAGGTAAAATATAGTGAAAGTGGAATATATTTTTTTCAGTGGCTATAAGACATTAAATGGGATTGCTCTTATGTAAGATCTAGAGTAGCAAACTAAAAGTTAAACTTGAGCTAACCATAAAATGTAGTTATCAATGCTAACCTACTAGAATATGGAAATTGAGTAGTATTTAAATAACATACATTTTTATTGTAGTAAAATATATAAAACAAACTTTATCATTTTAACCATTTTAAGTATATAATTTATTAAGGAATTTTTTAAATCACAGCACGAGTCCCACCATTATGTAATATTGAAGTCTTTAGTATAGCTATCTATACTATAGATATCTTTATCCCCTTACCTCTTTTTTAAAATTTTTATTTTTATTTCAATAGTTTTGGGGCAACAGGTGGTTTTTGGTTACATGGATAAGTTCTTTAGTGGTGATTTCTGGATTTTGGTACACCCATCCCCTGAGCAGCGTACACTGTACCCAAATACGTAGTCTTTAATCCTTCATCCCCCTCTGACCCTTTTTCCCCCAAAGTTCCCAACGTCCATTATATCAATCTTATGCCTTTGCATCCTCATAGTTTAACTCCTACTCATAAGTGAGAACATAACGATATTTGGTTTTCCGTTCCTAAGTTACTTCACTTAGAATAATGACCTCCCGCTCCATCCAAATTGCTGCAAAATACATTATTTCATTCCTTCTTATGACTGAGTAGTATTCCATGATTTATATGTACCACATTTTCTTTATCCACTCATTGGCTGATGGACACTTAGGTTGGTTCCATATCTTTGCAATTGTGAATTGTGCTGCTATAAATATGCATGTGTATGTGTCTTTTTCATATAATGACTTCTTTTCCTTTGGGTAGATACCCAGTAGTGGGATTGCTGGGTCAAATAGTAGTTCTACTTTGAGTTCTTTAAGGAATTTCCATACTGTTTTCCATAGTGGTTGTACTAGTTTACATTCCCACCAGCAGTGTTAAAAGTGTTCCCTTTTCACTACATCCACACCACATCTTTGTTTTTTTTTGTTTTGTTTTTTGTGTTTTTTTTTTTGCTTTAATTATGACCATTCTTGCGGGTGTAAAGTAGTATTTCATTGTGGTTTTGATTTCCCTGATAATTAGTGATGTTGGCCATTTGTATATCTTCTTTTGAGAAATGTCTATTCTTGTCCTTTACCCATTTTTTGATGGGATTGTTTGTTTTCCTCTTGCTGATTTGTTTGAGTACTTTGTAGATTCTGGATATTAGTCCTTTGTCAGATGCACAGTTTGCAAATATTTTCTCCCACTCTGTGGGTTGTTGGTTTACTCTGCAGATTATTCCTTTTGCTGTGCAGAAGCTTTTTAGTTAAATTAGGTCCCATTTATTTATTTTTGTTCTTGTTGCATTTGCTTTTGGGGTCTTAGCCATGAATTCTTTGCCTAAGCCAATGTCTGGAAGAGTTTTTCAGCTGGGCATGGTGGATCATGCCTGTAATCCCAGCACTTTGGGAGGCCAAGGTGGTCAGATCACTCGAGGTCAAGAGTTTAATACCAGCCTGGCCAACATGGTGAAACTCCATCTCTACTAAAATACAAAAATTATCCGGGTGTGGTGGCGGGCGCCCGTAATCCCAACTACTCGGGATGCTGAGGCATGAGAATCACTTGAACCCAGGAAGCGGAGGTTCCAGTGAGCCGAGATTGCCAGCCTGGGTGATAGAGTGAGACTCAGTCTCAAAAAAAGAGTTTTTACAATGTTATCTTCTAGAATTTTTATGGTTTCAGGTCTTAGATTTAAGTTTCTGGTCCATCTTGAGTTGATTTCTTTTGTCCCCTTACCTCTAGTCTTAGTAGAAAAGTAGATCTTTTGTTGTTTGAAACTGAACCTTTTTCCTGGGCCCTGGATCACATACCCACCTGCTCTGTCAATCATGACCTCTCACAACTATTTTTTGTTTTTGAGACAAGAGTCCCGCTCTGTTGCCCAGGCTGGAGTGCAATGGCACAATCTTGGCTCACTGGCAGCCTCTGCCTTTTGGGTTCAAGCAATTTTCCTGCCTCAGCCTCCCAAGTAGCTGGGATTACAGGCACTTGCCACCACGCCTGGTTAATTTTTTAATTTTTCTTTTTAGTTTCAGGTTTTTTGAGATGGAGTCTCGCTCTGTTGCCCAGACTAGAGTGCAGTGGCTTGATCTCGGCTCACTGCAACCTCTGCCTCCTGGATTCAAGTGATTCTTCTGCCTCAGCCTCCTGAATAGCTGGAATTACAGGTGCCCACCACCACGCCTGGCTACTTTTTGTATTTTGAGTACAGATGGGGTTTCACCGTATTGGCCAGGCTGGTCTCAAACTCCTGACCTCAGATGATCCACCCACCTCAGCCTCCCAAAGTGCTGGGATTACAGGCGTGAGCCACCACACCTGGTCCATTTTTAGCTTCAGCATCTCTACTAGTTCTTTCCCCTTGCATATAAATACTTAAGGACATAGATTCAATTTTGTCTTTGTTTATAAATGTGTCTAATTCATATATTTGAACATATTTTACTCAATTGTATCAAACATAAAAGGAAAAAGCTGGATATAATGCCTTGCTATACATCTTCATATGAATGACTTCCCAATCTAAAAATTTATTATATCCCAAATTAAACTGTTTTCTCTTCCACTTTCACCCAAGCCTCATCTTATGTTCTGTATCATTAATGACACTTCTTTGTCATCTTCATCTTCTTGTACAACGTGTGTCATAGCCATACCCCCTTTACATTCCAAGGCTCACATTCATCTCTCATTCAAGCTAATGCAGTAACCTTTTAACTGGTCCACTTACCTTCCATTTAGCGCTCTGTCCATATTGCCTGCTATAACATTTCCCAGAGTTTTTTCTACATGGTATTAATAAGTATTCTTGGAAAAAAATAAACTTGGGAAACCCTGGTTTAAACAAAATTAAGTTTTCTTTTTACTTCAGGGTTCAAAAGCTGGGAAGGATCTAAGTTCTTACCCTACTTGCAAGCTAACAAGTTAACCTGCCACAGTTTCATGGATGCTGGCAGAAAATATGACACTCCTGAGTCAGAGTCCAGCAAAGGACTTTTTGCTGTTTGTTTTTGAGATTGGGTCTTGCTATGTTGCCCTGGCTAGTCTTGAACTCCTGGGCTCAAGTAATCCTTGCACCTTAACCTTCTGAGTAGCTGGGATTACAGGCTTGTGCCACCATGCCTGGCTCAAGTTAAAGGACTTTACTACTCACAACAAGTAGCCAAAATGTCATAGGTTCCCCAAACCCCATTTCCCATAGGGCAATCCAAAGAGGGCCAGTGGTCAGCTACTCGGAAGGCTGGATCAGGAGGATTGCTTGAGATCAGTTTGAGGCTGCAGTGAGCTGTGATCGTGCCTCTGCACTCTAGCCTGAGCAGCAGAGCCAGACCCCAACTCTTAAGAAAACAACAATAACAAAGAGGGCCAATGGGCTGCATTATGGGAGAGGAACACCAAGCTCTGGGAACCCACATTTTCTGTAATGGATAGTAAGTGTGCCTCCCCTTTGCTGTGGAGGGAGACTGTGTAACCGCCCAAGGGGTTCACTTTGCTGCTGCCTAAACAGATCCAATTCATCAAGACAGAGGAATTGCAATAGAGAAAGTATTTCATGCACAGCCAGCTTTGTGGGAGACTGGAGTTTTATTATTACTCAAGTCAGTCTCCCCGAGCATTCGGGGTGCAGAGTTTTTAAGGATAGCTTCGTGGGTGGGGGGAAGCCAGTGAGCCAGGAGTGCTGATTGCTCAGAGATTAAATCATAGGGAGTTAAAGGTGTCTTCATGTGCTGAGTCAGTTCCTGGGAGGGGGCCACAAGATCAGATGAGCCAGTTTATTGATCTGGGTGGTGTCAGCTGATCCATCAAGTGCAGAGTCTGCAAAATATCTCAAGCGATGATATTAGGAGCAGTTTAGGGAGGGTCAGAATCTTGTAGCCTCTAGCTACATGACTCCTAAACCATAATTTTTCATCTTGTGGCTAATATTAGTCCTACAAAGGCAATCTAGTTCTCAGGCAAGAAGGAGGTCTGCTTTGGGAAAGGGCTGTTACAGTCTTTGTTTAAACTATAAACTAAGTTTCTCCTAAAGTTAGTTCAGCCTATGGCCAGGAATGAACAAGGACAGCTTGGAGGTTAGAACCAAGTCGGAGTCAGTTAAGTTAGATCTCTTTCACTGTCTCAGTCATAATTTTGCGAAGGCCATTTCAACTATCTTCCAAAGATATACAAATATCCTTGAGAAGATTGTCCAGAACAAAGGCAGTTAGGGCCCTTGTCCACAAGATGTGCAGAAACATGAGAAACTCATGAAGAATTGTCTCCCAACACAGCTTTTGAGAGATCAGAGATGTTAACATGCTGATGCTGATATGTGTTATACTTTCCAATGGGGGCTCTAATACACAGAATTTCTCATATTATTGGACCACTTAATGGAGCATTTGGCTAGATTCCATAGAACACACTTTTGAAAGGAGTAGTGTATAGACTGAAGCCAGAATTCCTTAGTCCTAATTTCATGTGCTCTTTACTCCAGTCACACCTTTCCCATAATCATATTCTTTGATGCACTCTTTTTTTTTTTTTAATTGAGGTGGAGTCTTGCTGTCACCCAGGCTGGAGTGCGGTGGCGTGATCTCGGCTCACTGCCAACCTCTGCTCAAGCGATTCTCGTGCCTCAGCCTCCAGAGTATCTGGGATTACAGGCACGCGCCACCACACCTGGCTAATTTTTTTTAATTTTTAGTAGAGACAGGGGTTTCGCCATGTTGGCCAGGCTGGTCTCAAACCCCTGACCTCGGGTGATCTGCCCGCCTTGGCCTCCCAAAGTGCTGGGATTACAGGCGTGAGACACCACGCCTGGCCTGATGCACTCTCGTATGTCAGCACTGTTGATTGTTGGGTTACAACAATTTTCTTCCCTGTCTGCTTTCTCTCCACTCTCAAAATTCTGCTTACATTTTAAGCCTTGTTTCAGATACTCCCTGTAAGCTTTCTCAACTTTTCCAGATAAAAAGTGAGTCACTCCTTTTCTTGTATTGTTATATCACTTGCCTTAAATTTCTGTTATACATTTATCCACATTTTGTCTTACAGTAGAGTTAGCTCTGTAGTTGTTTGACAGTCTCCCTTAGAATATAGTTACAGCCAGGTGCGGTTGGCTCACGCCTGTAATCCCAGCACTTTGGGAGGCCGAGGCAGGCAGATCACGAGGTCAGGATATCGAGACCATCCTGGCTAACACGGTGAAACCCTGTCTCTACAAAAAAAAAACAACAAAAATTAGACGGGCATGGTGGTGTGCGCCTGTAGTCCCAGCTACTCGGGAGGCTGAGGCAGGAGAATGGCTTGAACCCGGGAGGCGGAGCTTGTAGTGATCTGAGATCGCGCCACTGCACTCCAGCCTGGGCGACAGAGCGAGACTCCATCTCAAAAATAAATAAATAAATAAATAAAAGAATATAGTTACTACTTAGTTAATGGCAGAGCCATATCCTGTAGCTATCAGTGCTAAGCACATAACGGGTATTCGGTAAATGTTGAAAAAAATGGCTTAATGTTTCCATTTTACAGTATATCATTCATTGTGCTATTCATATTCCAGTCTCACTTAGCCATCTCCACAAATCAAAATCAGTGCATTTATAAAAATGTTGTAACCTAAAAGGTTAGTGCATTTAGGATTTATTAGACTAAAGGAAACAATTTCTGGAGTTTAAGAAATTGAGGCCAGGCATGGTGGCTCACACCTGTAATCCCAGCACTTTGGGAGGCCAAGGCGTGGGGATCACTTCAGGTCAGGAGTTCGACACCAGCCTGGCCAACATGGTGAAATCCCATCTCTACTAAAAATACAAAAATTAGCCAGGTGTGGTGTCGGGCACCTGTAATCCCAGCTACTTGGGAGGCTGAGACAGGAGAATCGCTTGAACCCAGGAGGTGGAGGTTGTAGTGAGCCAGGAGGTTGTAGTGAGCCGCTGCACTCCAGCCTGGGTGACAGAGCTAGACTTTGTCTCAAAAAAAAAAATTGCTTTTTAATTCTCTACTATTTAGGCTGCAGTTATTTTTGGAAATTACAATTTTTAATTCCATTTATTTTAACAAGGTAACACATAACTTCTGTTAGTGATTTGTAAAAATAGAAAACCCATTTTTTTCTACCTTAGTTTTTTTACTGATAACATAATATTTGTACATATTTATGGGGTACATGTGATATTTTGTTAGATTCATAGAATGATCAAGTCAGGATAGTTGGAGTATCCATCACCTTGAGTATTTATCATTTCTATATGTTGGGAACATTTCAAGTCCTCTCTTCTAGCTGTTTTGAAATATGTAATACATTTTTGTTAATTATAGTCACGCTACTCTGCTATGGAACATTAGATCTTACTCCTTCTAACTGTATGAGTGTACCCATTAACTGACCTCTCTTCATTGCCCGCTCCCGCACCCCTCCCCCCCACCCCGCCCACCACAACACACACACATACACTCTTCCCAGCCTCTGGTATCTGCCATTCTACTCTGTACCTCCCTGAGTTCAATTTTTTTAGCTCCCACATATGAGAACATGCCATATTTGTCTTTCTGTGCCTGGCTTATTTCACATAATAACTTCCAGTTCCATCCATATTGCTGCAAGTAACATGATTTCATTCTTTTTTATGGTGGAGTAGTATTCCATTGTGTATACACACCACATTTTTTTTTTCTTTGAGATGGAGTCTTTCTCTGTCGCCCAGGCTAGAGTGCAGTGGCACAATCTTGGCTTACTGCAACCTCCCAGGTTCAAGCCATTCTCCTGCCTCAGCGTCTCGAGTAGCTGGGATTACAGGTGTGCGCCACCACGCCTGGCTAATTTTTTTGTATTTTTAGTAGAGATGGGGTTTCACCATGTTGGCCAGGCTGGTCTCCCTCCAACTCCTGAGCTCAACTGATCCACCTGCCGCAGCCTCCCAAAGTGGTAGGATTACAGGCGCAAGCCACTGCGCCTGGCCTAATACCACATTTTCTTGATCTGTTCGTCTGTTGATGGATGCTTAGGTTGATTCCATAACTTTGCTATTGTGCTGCAGTAAACATGGGGGTGCAGGTATCCCTTTGATATACTGATTTCCTTTCCTATGGATACATACCCAGTAGTGGCATTGCTGGATCAAATGCTAGTTCTATTTTTAGTTTCTTGGGAAATCTTTATACTGTTTTTCTTTTTTTTTTTTTTTGAGACGGAGTCTCCCTCTGGAGTGCTGGAGTGCAGTGGTGTGATCTCGGCTCACTACAAGCTCCGCCTCCCGGGTTCACGCCATTCTCCTGCCTCAGCCTCCCGAGTAGCTGGGACTACAGGTGCACACCACCACGCCCGGCTAATTTTTGTTGTATTTTTTAGTAGAGATGGGGCTTCACCGTGTTAGCCATGATGGTCTCGATCTCCTGACCTCGTGATCCGCCCACCTCGGCCTCCCAAAGTACTGGGATTACAGGCGTGAGCCACCACACCTGGCCTTATACTGTTTTTCATAGTGGCTATACTAATTTAATTTCCCACCAACAGTGTATGAGTTCCCTTTTTTTTTGAGATGGAGTCTCACTCTGTTGCCCAGGCTGGAGTGCAGATTTCGGCTCACTGCAACCTCCGCTTCCTGGGTTCAAGCGATTCTCCTGCCTCAGTATCCTGAGCAGCTGGGATTACAGGCGCACATCACCACACCCAGCTAATTTTTGTATTTTTAGTAGAGACAGGGTTTCACCATGTTGGCCAGGCTGATCTCGAACTCCTGACCTCAGGTGATCCACCCGCCTCGGCCTCCCAAAGTGTTGGGATTATAGGAATGAGCCACCGTGCCTGGCCGTGAGTTCCCTTTTCTCCATATCCTTGCATCTGTTTTTGTTTGTTTGTTCGTTTAAGGTAAAGAAAGGCAGATTTATTAGAGAAAGTAGGAAAATGTATTGCAAGGAGGCAACAGACAGATGAGCAGAAAAGGAGCTTTTCTAATAATAATAATAATGGCCATTCTAACTGGGAGAAGATGATATCTCACTGTAGATTTGATTTGCGTTTCCCTGATGATGAGTGATGTTGAGTATTTTTTCATACACCTGTTGGCCATGTGTGTCTTCTTTTGAGAAATGTCTATTCATGTCCTTTGTCCACTTTTTAATGGGATTATTTGCTTTTTTACTGTTGAGTGATTTGAATTTTTTTTGTTTTTGTTTTTGTTTTATTTTCTTTTTAGAGTTGTTTGAATTTTTTGTATATTCTGGACATTAGTTCCTTGTTGAATGAATAGTTTGTAAATATTTTCTCCCATTCAACAGATTGTCTCTTCACTTTGTTGTTTCCTTTGCTTTGCAGAAGCTTTTTAGCTTAATATAGTCCCATTTGTCTATTTTTGTTTTTGTTACGTACACTTTCGTACCTTGAATAGTTTTTAATATTAATTTCCATTACTCTATTTTAGAGCTAGATTTTAGAGCCAAAGGTATAAGGATGGTAGTGTGTCCATCTGTGGAAGAGATTCAAATCTTTCTCTAAGTAACAGTGTCATATGCCACAGTATGCAAAAGCTAAGCGTATGTGAAAACTGATACCTACCAAAAAATAGTGTATCTTATTTTGGTTCATTAACCTCCAAGGAATTTCAGAGTCTACAAGGGGTTTTGGTGGGGTTGTTTTGTAAATATATATAATATAAAATTTATTATGTTTACCATTTTTTAAATGTACAGGTCAGTAGTGCTAGATACATTCACATTGTTGTACAACCAATCTCCAGAATTCTTTCATCTTCCAAAACTGAAACTTTATAGCCATTAAACAACTTCAGTTCCCCACTCCCCCAGTTCCTGACAACCACCATTCTACTTTCTGTCTCTATGAATTTGACTACTCTAGGTACCTAATATAAGTGGAATTATATAGTATTTGTGTTCTTGTGACTGGCTTATTTCACTTAGCATCATGTCCTCAATGTTCATCCATGTTATAGCATGTGTCAGAACTTCCTTCCTTTTCAAAGCTGAATAATATTGCATTGTATGTATACACCTTATTTTGTTTACCCATACATCTGTCAGTGGATACTTAGGTTGCTTCCAGCTTTTGGCTATTGTGAATAATACTGCTATGAACACGAGTGTTCAAATAATCTCTTCAAGACCCTGCTTTCAGTTCTTTTGGTTATATACTTAGAAGTAGAATTGCTAGATCATATGGTAATTCTATTTTTAATCTTTTGGGGGAACCTCCATGCTGTTTTCCATAGCAGATTCACCATTTTACTTCCCACCAATGGTGCACAGGGTTTCCAGTTTCTCCACATGCTCGCAACCACTTCTTGTTTTCTGGGGTTTTTTGTTTGTTTGTTTGTTTGTTTTGGATAATAGCCATCTTTATGAGTGTGAGGTGGTATCTCATTGTGGTTTTGTTTTTTATTTCCATAATGATAGTAATATTGAACATTTTTTCATGTGTTTTGTTGGCCATTTGTATATCTTCTTTGGAGAAATGTCAAGTTCTTTGCCCATTGTGTGTGTGTGTTGCCTTTTTTTTTTTTGAGATAGAGTTTCACTCTTGTTGCCCAGACTGGAGTACAATGGCACGATCTCGGCTCACCACAACCTCCGTTTCCCGGGTTCAAGCGATTCTCCTGCCTCAGCCTCCCGAGTAGCTGGGATTACAGGCATGCGTCACCAGGCCCAGCTAATTTTTTTCATATTTTTAGTAGGGGCGGGGTTTCTCCATGTTGGTCAGGCTGGTTGCGGACTCCCGACCTCAGGTGATCCACCTGCCTTGGCCTCCCAACGTGCTAGGATTACAGGCATGAGCCACTGCACCCACCTGTGTTGCCCATTTTTTAAATCAAGTTTTTTGTTGTTGTTGAGTTGTAGGAGGTCTTTATATATTCCAAATTTTTGTTGTTGTTTTTATTTTGTTTTTGTTTGTTTGTTTCTTGAGACAGAGTCTCACTCTGTCGCCCAGGCTGGAGCGCAGTGGCGCAGTCCTGGATCACTGCAACCTCTGCCTCCCAGGTTCAAGCAATTCTCGTGTCTCAGCCACCCAAATAGCTGGGATTATAGGCATGCGCCACCACACCTGGCTAATTTTTGTATTTTTAGTAGAGACAGGGTTTCGCCATGTTGGCCAGAGTGGTCTCAAACTCCTGGCCTCAAGTGATACACCTGTCTTGGCCTCCCAAAGTGCTGGGATTACAGGCATAAGCCACCATGCCCAGACTATTCTGAATATTAACTCCTTATTAGATAAATGATTTACAGATAATTCCTCCCATTTCACAGGTTTTCTTTCTACTCTGTTGATTGTATCGTTGGGCTACAAGATGTTTTCAGGCCGGGCATGGTGACTCACGCCTGTAATGCCAGCACTTTGGGAGGCTGAGGCAGGCGGATCACTTGAGGTCATGAGTTCGAGACCACCTTGGCCAACATGGCGAAACCTTGTCTCTACTGAAAATACAAAAACAAAGTAGCTGGATGTCATGGCGCATCCCTGTTATCCCAGCTACTTGAGAGGGTAAGACAGGAGGATCGCTTGAACCCAGGAAGCGGAGATTGTGTGGGCCAAGATTGCGCCAACGCACTCCAGCCTGGACAACAGAGTGAGACTCCTTCTCAAGAAAAAAAAACAAAGATGTTTTCAGATAACTAATTTGTTTTAAAGATGTTTTATTAGTAAACAGGGAAACACAAATTAATAGTATGATAATGATAAAGTACAGTCTTCACCCATCACATCAACTTTTGGCAAGGATGTAGGGAAATGGATACATTACTGCATTGTTAAGTAGAAGTATATTTTGGCACAGCCACTTTGGAAGACAATTTGGCTATATCCATTTTTTTTTTTTTAAAGACAGAGTCTCACTGTGTCACCCAGGCTGAAATGCAGTGGTGCAATCTCAGCTCACTGCAACCTCCGCCTCCCAGGTTCAAGTAATTCTTGTGCCTCAGCCTCCTGAGTAACTGGGATTACAGGCACCCACCACCACACCCAGCTAATTTTTGTATTTTTAGTAGAGATGGGGTTTTACCATGTTGGCCAAGCTGGTCTCGAGCTCCTGACCTCAAGTGATCCACCTGCCTCGGCTTTCCAAAGTGCTGGGATTACAGGCGTGAGCCACCGTGCCTGGGCACTATATCCATTTTAATTAAAAAATATTTCTATCCCATGACCTAACAATCCCATTTCTAGAGAATCACTTTCACATGGGTACAGGGAGATATGTGCAAGGATGTTCACTGCAACATTATTTTTAGTTGCTAAAAAGGAAGACAACCAGGAAAATACCATTAATATGATACCATTTATGTTAAAACAGCAATATTATATGTTTTCTGGTGGTATAAACATATATATGAATAAATTCAAAAATATCTGTAAATGGTAACTGTGGCTGCCAGAATGTACTAGAATTGGTCCTTATAACCATGTAATGTTTTTAAAAATATTTTTTACAAGAGAAGTGTATTTATATGTTACTTATTTTTTATTTTTTATTTATTTATTTAGAGACGGAGTCTAGCTCTGTCACCCAGGCTGGAGTACAGTGGCACAATCTCGGCTCACTGCAACCTCCGCCTCCCGGGTTCAAGCGATTCTCCTGCCTCAGCCTCCTGAGTAGCTGGGATTACAGGTGCCCACCGTCACGCCCAGCTAATTTTTGTATTTTTAGTAGAGACAGGGTTTCACTGTGTTGGCCAGGCTGGTCTTGAACTCCTGACCTCATTATCTGCCCACCTCGGCCTCCCAAAGTGCTGGGATTACAAGTGTGAGCCACCGCACCCGGCCAGTTTTTATTTTTTATACACATTTTCAAAAATGTAGAGGTGGTGTAACTAAACAAATATTGAATAAAGAGTTTGGCCTAAAATTTGGGCAGCATTTGGTAGACTGAACATTGTATAAGATTTGGTTCCTAGCTTTGCAATCACAGAAATTGAATTTTAACAGGATAGCCAGAATTTATCTACCTCTAGGGATTTTGTGCCTACTGACCAAGGCATATAAATCTATGGACATTGGTAACCAAAGGAGTAATCTATTAATTCATTAATTTACCACATTATACAGCCAAAGAGACCAAAATAATGATAAGCAACAGTCAGTACATGCTCTCACCTTATGGGAAAGCTTGAAAACTTACTGTTAGAAGGATTTTAACTAAAGAATCAAAGCATGGGAGTTGGATTATTTTATTGGCTGAGGTTTTAAAATTATAATTGTAAGGCCAGGCACGGTGGCTCACGCCTGTAAACCCAGCACTTTGGGAGGCTGAGGCGGGGGGATCATTTGCAGTCAGGAGTTCAAGACCAGCCTGGCCAACATGGTGAACCCCTGTCTCTACTAAAAATACAAAAATTAGCTGGGTGTGGTGGCACATACCTGTAATCCCAGCTCCTTGGGAGGCTGAGGCAGGAGAATCACTTGAACCTGGGAGGCGGAGGTTGCAGTGAACCGAGATCCTGCCACTGTGCTTCAGCCTAGGCAACAGAGTGAGACTCCATCTCAAAAATAAACAAATAAATAAATAAAAATTGATTTGTGCAAGCCAATCTCTATAAGATTGTCACCAGTCTGGGTGACAGAGCGAGACTCCATCTCAAAAAAATAAAAAAAGATATAATGCAGATGAGATGGTTATGGTTTCTTTACCTTAGTATTTCCGGTGTTGTCTTCTCAAATATATCATGATGTCATGATGGAGAATAGAGAAATGTGGTGCTCATCAGTAAACATTTATGGACCTTCTTAGAATAGACTATTTCTGCATATAGCCACCATTTTGTATTGCTTTTCACTGCTGTTTTAGAGCATTATTTTATTATCTTGGTTCCTCCAAATTGAGAATATACTCTATTTGGAGCTTACTCAGCTACATAAGATTATTTTAGTGCTCATAAATGTATTCATTTTGCATAATCTCTGAACAGATTAAAATATCTGTGGTATGGCAAAGTTTCCATTCTAGTGGAGTAAAATACAGGTTTCTTAGCGAGGAATGTGTATTTGGTGAGTAGTATGTAATACTTAAGGTCACAGGCAGCTTTGCTTTTAAAGCCTGCTCCACCACTTACCACTTTCCTTGGGCAAACCAAATCACTTAACCTACCTAAACCCAGGCCTCCTCATCTTTGTAAAATGCCTAAATTTCAAGATGTTAACTGCAATTAAGATTATTTTCCTGATAATGTATATTTTCATGGCTCGTTTTTATTCAGCTAAACATGAATTCAGCTCCAACTTTCATCAACTTTCCTGCAAAAGGGAAACCCAAACGGGGTGATACATATGAGTTACAGGTGCGGGGTTTTTCAGCTGAGCAGATTGCCCGGTGGATCGCCGACAGAACTGATGTCAATGTAAGTTTCCCAACTATGTAGACTGTTTCTTGGCCATTATCCCCTTTGAATCTTACTGGGAGGCCCTAATTAGTCTTGTCCCCATATCACTGAGGTGGTACTAGTTTGGCAGTCACTTCATAAGTAGCATTAAACAGAATCATCTTGATGAATGAGTGAAATTACAGAACACTCTCTATTACCCTATTGAATTCAGCATGGAAACCACTCTTTCGACCTTAAGTCCATGGATTATCTAGTTGTACTTGGCAAATCCTTCTTAATCTAAAAGATGTTATGTTGTGGTTAAATAGAATATTGTACCTATTCTATCCTATTTTAGGTTATATTATAGACTAGTTTGATTGGGATAACATAAAAAGGATCATTTTTCCGAAAGTAACCACAATAATTTTGATTGCTTTCATTTCAGATTTTATTTTGACCCATATAATTAGTAAAAAAATTTTATACTTTAACATGTTTTTCTCTCCTTTCCATTAGATTAGAGTGATTAGACCCCCAAATTATGCTGGTCCCCTTATGTTGGGATTGCTTTTGGCTGTTATTGGTGGACTTGTGTATCTTCGAAGAAGTAATATGGAATTTCTCTTTAATAAAACTGGATGGGCTTTTGCAGCTTTGGTGAGTGAATTTCAGAAGACAAAAAATTATTTGAATAAAATTCCTAATAGTGTATTTTTAGGTAAGCTTTTATTTATGTGAGAAGTAGCATTTTATTTCTTACCTGAGGAAAATAGTTTTATATATTTTAATTTTCTGTCTTAAAATCAGTTTGTTTCATTCATTATCTCATAAGGATGGCCAGAACTTCAAGGAACTGATTGTACCTGCCTTTTATTCAACCTAAATGACAGACTGTCATCTCTATGAAAATCTCTAGTTGTTCTGAAAATATTATTCTTTTTTTTTTTTCTTTGAGGCGGAGTCTTGGTCTGTCACCCAGACTGGAGTGCAGTGGCACCATCTTGGCTCACTGCAACCTCTGCTTCCTGGGCTCAAATGATTCTCCTGCCTCAGCCTCTCGAGTAGCTGGGATTACAGGCGTGTGCCACCACGCCCAGCTAATTTTTTTGTATTTTTAGGAGAGACGGGGTTTCACCATGTTGGCCAGGCTGGTCTTGAACTCCTGACCTCAGGTGACCCGCCCACCTCAGCCTCCCAAAGTGCTGGGGTTACAGGTATGAGCCACCATGCCCAGCCTGAAAATTTTATTCTAAAAAGCCTTTTCAGTATTCAATTTTGAAACTTGTGTCTGCATAGTTATAATTTTTAAATAGTGTTTTCCTGGCCAGGCGCAGTGGCTCACACCTATAATCCCATATCTTTGGGAGGCCGAGGTGGGCAGATGACGAGGTCAAGAGACCAAGATCAACCTGGCCAATATGGTGAAACCCTGTCTCTACTAAAAATACAAAATTAGCTGGGCGTGGTTCCATGCTTCTATAGTCCCAGCTACTCAGGAAGCTGAGGCAGGAGAATTGCTTAAACCTGGGAGGCGGAGGTTGCAGTGAGCCGAGATCGCGCCACTACACTCTAGTCTGGGCAAAAGAGCGAGACTCCATGTCAAAAAAAAAAAATAGTGTTTTCCTTTTGAAGTATTATCGAATTGTGATCCTTGGGATGAAATATAAGCCTTAATAAATCATTTATCTGCAAAAAATTCTATGTCTTAACTAAACAGATGCACATTTTCATATTCCTGTTATCTAATCAAGACAAGAACAGTTTGACCATGAATATTTTATTATTTTTTTGTTTCCTAGTGTTTTGTGCTTGCTATGACATCTGGTCAAATGTGGAACCATATAAGAGGACCACCATATGCCCATAAGAATCCCCACACGGGACATGTGGTAAGGGAAGTCTGGGATTTCTTTCCTTTGTAGACCAAAGTTAACTCAATGATTATTACCCTGTGAGAACAGTGCCAGCATATGAAGGAGCTGGATTTAGTCTTCACTTTTCAATCTCTCTTGTGTTAACAAGCTTCCATCACTGATAAGACCATGCAGTGCTCTTTTTTTTTTTCTTCTTTTTTTCGAAACGGAGATTTGCTCTTGTTGCCCAGGCTGGAGTGCAATGGCGTGATCTCGGCTCACTGCAACCTCCACCTCCCTGGTTCAAGTGATTCTCCTGCCTCAGCCTCCTGAGTAGCTGGGATTACAGGCATGCGCCACCACGCCCAGCTAATTTTGTATTTTTAGTAGAGACAGGGTTTCTCCATGTTGGTCAGGCTGGTCTCAAACTCCCTACCTCAGGTGATGCGCCTGCCTCAGCCTCCCAAAGTGCTGGGAATACAGGCCTGCAGGCATGAGCCACCGCACCCGGCCGCAGTGCTCTTAAAAGTGGGAAGTTCCTTTTCCCATTTGGTGAATCCTTCTAACCAAGCTAGCTAAGAATGAAAGACAGCCTTCAACTAAATAGAAAAATTGATCAAGTACCTGAGCATCCACTGTTTCTAAGCACTGTGCTAATTATTATTAAATATAGTGATAAGAAAAACATGATCCCTGTCTTCATGGAGCCTACATTATTGTACCTCATGGTCTTGTACACTTAAATACTAGTTTTCTCACCCAGGTGCAGTGTTTTGCATTTGTAGTCCCAGCTACTTGGGAGGCTGAGGCAGGAGGATGACTTGAATCCAGGAGTTCTAGCCCAGCCTGGACAACATAGCAAGATCCATCTCCTTAAAAAAAAAATGGGGCCAGGTGTGGTGACTAATACCTGTAATCCTGGCACTTTGGGAGGCTGAGGCAGGAGGACCACTTGAGGCCAGGAGTTCAAGACCAACTTGGGCAGCATAGTGAGACGTCATCTCTATGAAAAACAAAAAAGAAAAGAAAAAACAACAACAACAACTAGTTTTCTGACATATTCTGTTGTTGAAAATATAAGTACAGTATTCAAGCATTTGGGAGGCTGAGGTGGGAGGATTGCTTGAGCCCAGGAGTTTGAGACCAGCCTGGCCAACATAGCAATATGTCATTTCTAATGAAAATTTAAAAATTAGCTGAGCAGGCATGGTGGTGCATACTTGTAGTCCCATCTACTTGGGATGCTGAGGCAGGAAGATCACCGGAGCCAGGACTTTGGGATTGCAATGAGCTATGATCATGCCGCTGCACTCCAGCCTGGGCAACAGAGCAAGACCCTGTCTCAAAAATAAACATAGTATTAGTACAATGAAAAGACAAATCGAGAATAGATAATACAAAAATAGCCTTATAGTAACCAGACTTACTGATGAATGCCACAGACCCGGAGTATGTCACATGGTTTATCAGGTGAATTAATAATTTCATAGTTTAAAATACCCCGTTTTAGGGTTAGCATACCAACATTTAATGTATACTTAAAGATTCCATTTTGTCTTTTTTCCCTCCTAGAATTATATCCATGGAAGCAGTCAAGCCCAGTTTGTAGCTGAAACACACATTGTTCTTCTGTTTAGTATCCTTTTACAATAAGTCTTTCTTGCTGTATTTTGTCTGTTTTCTCACAGTCTAGTATTCTCTCTACAGCATTTGGCTGGGGCTGTTCTCTTAATGCAAGTCACAATATCCTTTGAAAATCATTACTGTATCATCCTCTCCAGCCCAATAAACCAAAGACTACTAGGGACAAATCTGTAGTCTGATAGGGCCAGGTTTATTGGCTCATTAATATGAGGAATACTGTACATTAGAAGAACCATGGAACATCTTAACAAAGAAAAGATAGAGTTGTAATAGGATTTGGGAGAATAGTGGAGTTTATGTGAAATTTAAACAAAGCATTGTTTTGATAGGCTAAAAGCAGTGTAAGGCTGTGTAAAGGGGTCAACATCAGGTCTGAACTGTCAATCAGACCCAGGGTTCTGTTTGCTTGGAAACTACAAAGTTAACATAAATGTGGGATTTTTGTCTTCAAAAACTTCTTCTTTGAAGCTCTATACCTTGGTTGTAAATTGAGGCTACTTAGAAATTATACGTGTAAATTGAGTGACTTAGATCTGCCAAGCAAGAATATTTCATTTTTACTCATATAATTGCAAGAAGTCTATTTAAAGACCAATATTCCTCAGTAAGAAAACAGTAATTACTCAAAGATGGGGATATTTTGACATTTTACAGCTGAAGTGTGTGCTAGGGAAAAATACTTCCTGTGGACTTTGCAGCTGCTTTATGTTTGTGTTGTTCCATTCTCTTGAATGACAAGGAATATTTTTACTTTCTTGGCCCAAGCTAATTTTTATTTTCTTATATCTAAAAGTGGATGCCTCTGTAAGCTGCAAAGACAGGTAAAAGCGATGTCAGATAAGTAAGAATCTAAATTTCATAATATGACTAAACATAGTTTACCCACCTGAGTACATAAGCACTGACTCTGGAACAAATCAACAAGGTGAACAAATGTAATGTTCCTGGAATTGTGCTTCTCAGCCAGGGTGTCCTGACATTGATATACAAGAATCAGCTGGGCATGGTGGCTCACACCTGTAATCCTAGCACTTTTGGAGGCTGTGATGGGTAGATTGCTTGAGCCCAGGAGTTTGAGACCAGCCTGGGCAACATGGCAAAACCCCATCTCTACAAAAAAATACACACAAAAAATTAGCCAAGTATGGTGATGCATGCCTGTGGTCCCAGCTACCAGGGAGGCTGAGGTGGGAGGATCAATTGAGCCCAGGAGGTCAAGGCAACAGTGAGCTGATATCACACCACTGCACTCCAGCCTGGACGACACAGTGAGACCCTGTCTCTAATAAAAAAGGGAAAAAAAACGAAACTTAAATATATTTTTTTCTGATTGCAAAAGGAATATAAATTAAAGAAAATTTAGAATACAAATAAGTATAAAGAAAAAAATTCAAAACCACTGAAAATTCTATCTTTAGTAAATGTTTGTGTATGTCTTTCCCAGTTTTATTATACTATGTTGATGATTAGAGAGATTTTAAGGAAAGCATTCTAAAAAAATATTAAGCTTTTGATTTTAACTGATTTTAATTGAAGGATATTTGGGAAAATGTTCTTATGCACTATGGAAAATATACTTACTGCTTCACATCCAGCCCAAACCTGGGAGAATTAATCTATTCAACCATGAAATGGTGGGCTGAAAGATTAACAATATACACCTAGTCCATATGAGAAGAAAGAAGACTGAGGCCAGGCGTGGTGGCTCATGCCTGTAATCCCAGCACTTTGGGAGGCCAAGGCGGGTAGATCACCTGAGATCAGGAGTTCGAGACCAGCCTGGCCAACATGGTGAAACCCCATCTCTACTAAAAATACAAAAAAAAATTAGCTGAGCGTGGTGGCGGGTGCCTGTAATCCCTGCTACTCAGGAGGCTGAGGCAGGAGAATCTCTTGAACCCAGGAGGCAGGGGTTGCAGTGAGCAGAGATCGTGTGATTACTCTCCAGCGTGGGCAATTAGAGCAAAACTCCATCTCAGGGGGCGGGCGGCGGGGCGGGGGAAGACTGAAAGAAAAATATTACTCAAACTTTATTTTTTTTAATCCTAAAATTTTAGTTGAAAATGTTCGTTTATGGGCTGGGTGTGGTGGCTCACACCTGTAATCCCAGCACTCTGGGAGGCAGAGGCAGGTGGATCATTTGAGGTCAGGAGTTCGCGGCCAGCCTGGCCAACATGGGGAAAGTCTGTCTCTACCAAAAATACAAAACTTAGCCAGACGGCCAGGCGTGCTGCCTCACACCTGTAATCCCAGCACTTTGGGAGGCTGAGGCAGGCGGATCACCTGAGATCAGGAGTTCGAGACCAGCCCGGCCAATATGGTGAAACCCTGTCTCTACTAAAAATACAAAAATTAGCCAGGCATGGTGGTGCACGCCTGTAATCCCAGCTACTGGGGAGGCTGAGGCCGGAGAATTGCTTGAACCTGGGAGGCAGAGGTTGCAGTGAGCCGAGATGGTACCACTGGACTCCATCCTGGGCAACAGAGTGAGACTCTGTCTCAAAAAAAAAACAGCCAGGCATGGTGACGGGCGCCTGTAATCCCAGCTACTCTGGAGGCTGAGGCAGGAGAATCGCTTGAACCCAGGAGGTAGAGGTTGCAGTGAGCCAAGATGGTGCCACTGCACTCCAGCCTGGATGACAGGGTGAGACTCTTGTCTCAAAAGAAAAAAAAAGAAAGACAATGTTCATTTATGGTTTGATGGATTCAGCCTGGCCAACATAGCGAAACCTCATCTCAACAAGAAATACAAAAATTAGCCAGAAACGGTAGTGTGCACCTATAATTCCAACTACTCAGGAGGCTGAGGCATGAGAATTGCTTGAACCCAGGAGGTGGAGGTTGCAGTAAGCCGAGACTGCCACTGCACTCCAGCCTGGGCAACAGAGCGAGACTCTGTCTCAAAGAAAAAAAAAAAAAAAGAACAGAAAAGAAAAGTATGGTTTGATGGATTAACAAATTATTATACCTTAGAAAATTTTCAGTATCTTGAATCAGTTCTTCTCACTAGTACTTTGAAATTGAATAATGGAGCAAAAGAGCAATTAAAATTGTAAAGTATTAATTAGTTGATTTGGGGTTTGTTGGTCTTTTAGCTTTGTCTTAAACTTTTAAATATATAAGAAGTTTAAGAAATTAGAAAATTGTCATTTTACCTCTGCTTTAAGACTGAGCATCAGCCTAAGGTTTAGTATACATTTGGAACGGATTACAATCCTGTTGGGATATAGAATGTCTTGTGTTTGGTTATTAGGATGCAAAAAGTGAACTTTTTTCAGAGTCAGACATGTATACAGATTATAAGACAGTGACTTAAGTGCTGTGTACCAGAAATAGTGAGAAAATGAATAATTTTGTCAGAGGTAAGGAATATTAGAAAAGGCCTAACCACTCCCCACCCCCCCCCCCTTTTTTTTTTGAGTGGAGTCTCGCTCTGTCACCCAGACTGGAGTGCAGTGGCACCATCTTGGTTCACTGCAACCTCCACCTCCTGGGTTCAAGCGATCCTCCTGCCTCAGCCTCCTGAGTAGCTGGAATTACAAGTGTGCACCACCTCACCTGGCTAATTTCTTTATTTTTAGTAGAGACAGGGTTTCACCAGGTTGGCCAGGCTGGTCTTGAACTCCTGACCTCAGGTGATCCACCCATCTCAGCCTCCCAAAGTGCTAGGATTTCAGGCGTGAGCCACCTCACCCGGCCCCCACTTTCTTTTAAAGTAAATATGAAACCTCAAGACCGGTAACATTGTTTACAGCTTCCAGGTTGATAATAATTAATAGACTGAGGCCACCTCTAAGTAGTAGTTATGATTTTGGAAAATATTCACATATTTATTATTAGTTTAATGTACAGTTTATTGCATGATTAATAAAGCAGACTATATAATCAGTTGCCTGATCTAAGCAACCTTTAAAATTACATTTTAAGTGTTGCAGTTATGCAGAAAAGTTTACAAAAGTTTACAGTTTGATGAATTTCCTTTTTTTTTTTTTTTTTTGGTTTTTTGTTTTTTGTTTTTGAGATGGAGTCTTGCTCTGTTGCCCAGGCTAGAGTTCAATGGTGTGATCCCAGCTCATTACAACCTCCACCTCCCAGGTTCAGGCGATTCTCTTGCTTCAGCCTCTGGAGTAGCTGGAATTACAGGCACCTGCCACCATGCCTGGCTAAGTTTTTTTGATATTTTTAGTAGAGATGGGGTTTCATCATGTTGGCGAGGCTGGTTTCGAACTCCTGAGCTCAACTGATCCGCCTGCCTCGGCCTCCCAAAGTGTAAGGATTACAGGCGTGATCCACGGTGCCCAGTCCAGTTTGATGAATTTTCACAGAATTAACACACTTATGTAACCAGAACTCACATCAATAAATAAAATTTTACCCACATCTCAGAGCATTTTCCATCATCATTCCTCCTGATTGCCACCTTCCCACCCAGAAATAACTGCTATCCTGACTGCTAACACTATGGGTTTATTTTACCTATTTTTTTTTAACTTACATAAATGGAATCCTACAGGGCTGGGTGCGGTGGCTCATGCCTATAATACCAGCACTTTGGGAGGCTGAGGCAGGCAGATCACCTGAGGCCAGGAGTTCGAGACCAGCCTGGCCAACATGACAAAACCCTTTCTCTACTAAAAAAAGTACATAAATTAACTGGGTGTGGTGCTGCGTGCCTGTGGTCCCAGCTACTTGGGAGGCTGAGGCAGGAGGGTGGCTTGAGCCCAGGAGGTAGAGGTTGCAGTGAGCTGAGATCACACCACTGTGCTCCAGCCTGGCTGATAGAGCCAGACTTTGTCTCAAAATAAAAAAAAAAAAAAAGAAAACACAATAAATGGAATCCCAGAATAAATATATATGGATTTTTTTTATGTTTATTTTTTTAGAGATGAAATCTTGTGTTGCCCAGGCTTGAGTACAGTGGGGTCACCATAGCTCACTGTAACCTCGACCTCCCAGAATCAAGCAGTCCTCCCACGTCAGCCTCCTGAGTAGCTGGGACTATAGGTGAGCACTACCACACCCAGCTAATTTTTGTATTTTTTTCTAGAGATGGAGTCTCGCCCTGTCGTCCAGGCTGGTCTCAATCTCCTGGGCTCAAACAATCCTCGTACCTTGGCCTCCTGAATTTTTAAAATAAAGTAGCAGTCTGGAAAATGTTCAC
Source organism: Homo sapiens (assembly GCF_000001405.40). Classification (NCBI taxonomy): domain Eukaryota; kingdom Metazoa; phylum Chordata; class Mammalia; order Primates; family Hominidae; genus Homo; species Homo sapiens. The sequence goes on along the minus strand of NC_000023.11, from coordinate 77,848,731 downwards.
CTATAACCTGAAACCCTAATAGTATAAACTACATTTACTTTTGCATATTATCTTGCATTCATTTCTATATGAATGTTTCATGGTAAGGGTGTTCATTTTTTATACTTGTAGACATGTTGTGTATGGAGTTTGCTATCTTAATATATTATAAGCATTTTCTATGTTGTATGGCCTTTATATTTATAAAAATACATAAAAATTACAAAGAAATCTGAAAATACGAAGAAAAAGAAAAGTAGTCAATATTTTTAATGTTTATATAATGGATATATCATATCCATGTTGCCCAGGCTGGTCTCGAACTCCTGACCTTAGGTGATCCACCCGTCTTGGCCACAAGCGTGAGCCACCACGCCTGGCCTTCTACTAGCTTTTAATAGCCTAGTTGTTGTATGTTATGGAATAATGTCTCCTCTATTTCTGCTCAGTTCTCCTGGAGTAACATTTAATCAGGACTGTGTAATTTATGTATTTCATTGTTTGTATTCCTCACTAGAGTGTAATCTTCTTCATGGTAGGATCTTTATTTTGTTCAACTTTTTATTTCCAACAGTTTATAGTGCCTGCCATATAGTAGGCAGTGTTAGTAAAAATTTAAAGATCAGTAAATGAAATAAAACAGTATACATAGAACTGCATCATAGCTCTTGACAGCTAAGAAGAGTACACAAAAGACCTTGAGGTATTTAGCAAGAAGGAAAGCTCATTCAAAGCAAAAGCACATAAACCATGATAAAAAGACAAGCTTTCCCCAGAGCAAGTCTCAATCATTAATCAGAGAGTACCCAGAAATCAAAGCCTGTAGAAATGATCAATCTTTGGCCGGGCATGGTGGCTCATGCCTGTAACCCCAGCACTTTGAGAGGCTGAGGTGAGTGAATCACCTGAGATCAGGAGTTCGAGACCAGCCTAGCCAACATGGGTAAACCCCGTCTCTACTCAAAATACAAAAATTAGCCAGGCGTGGTGGCATGTGCCTGTAATCCCAGCTTACTCAGGAGACGGAGGCAGGAGAATTTCTTGAACCCGGGAGGCAGAGGTTGCAGTGAGTCAAGATGGCTCCACTGCACTCCAGCCTGAGTGGCAGAGCAAAACTCCATCTCAAAAAAAAAAAAAAAAAAAGAAAGAAATGATCACATTAACAAAAGACCTTTGTGCAGCCAAGATGGCCTAATAGGAACAGCTCCAGTCTACAGCTCCCAGCGTGAGCAACACAGAAGACGGGTGATTTCTGCATTTCCAACTGAGGTACTGGGTTCATCTCACTGGGGATTGTCAGACAGTGGGTGCAGGACAGTGGATGCAGCGCACTGAGCGTGAACCGAAGCAGGGCGAGGCATCGCCCCACCCGGGAAGCGCAAGGGGTCAGGGAATTCCCTTTCCTAGCCAAGGAAAGGGGTGACAGATGGCACCTGGAAAATCGGGTCACTCCCACCCTAATACTGTGCTTTTCTGATGGTCTTAGCAAACAGCACACCAGGAGATTATATCCCACACCTGGCTTGGAGGGTCCTACGCCCACGGAGCCTCGCTCATTGCTAGCACAGCAGTCTGAGATCAAACTGCAGGGCGGCAGCGAGGCTGGGGGAGGGGCACCCACCATTGCCGAGGCTTGAGTAGGTAAGCAAAGTGGCCGGGAAGCTCGAACTGGGTGGAGCCCACCGCAGCTCAAGGAGGCCTGCTTGCCTCTGTAGACTCCAGGTCTGGGAGCAGGGCATAGCCAAACAAAAGGCAGCAGAAACCTCTGCAGACTTAAATGTCCCTGTCTGACAGCTTTGAAGAGAGTAGTGGTTCTCCCAGCATGCAGCTTGAGATCTGAGAACGGACAGACTGCCTCCTTAAGTGGGTCCCTGACCCCCAAGTAGCCTAACTGGGAGGCATCCCCCAGTAGGGACAGACTGACACCTCACACAGCCGGGTACTCCTCTGAAACAAAACTTCCAGAGGAACAATCAGGCAGCAACATTTGCTGTTCACCAATATCTGCTGTTCTGCAACCTCCACTGTTGATACCCAGGCCAACAGGGTCTGGAGGGAACCTCCAGCAAACTCCAACAGACCTGCAGCTGAGGGTGCTGACTGTTAGAAGGAAAACTAACAAACAGAAAGGACATCCATACCAAAACCTCATCTGTATGTCACCATCATCAAAGACCAAAGGTAGATAAAACCACAAAGATGGGGAAAAAACAGAAGAGAAAAACTGAAAATTCTAAAAATCAGAGTGCCTCTCCTCCTCCAAAGGAATGCAGCTCCTCACCAGCAAAGAAACAAACCTGGACAGAGAATGACTTTGATGAATTGAGAGAAGAAGGCTTCAGATGATCAAACTTCTCCGAGCTAAAGGAGGAAGTTCGAACCCATGGCAAAGAAGTTAAAAACCTTGAAAAAAGGTTAGACGAATGGCTAACTAGAATAACCAATGCAAAGAAGTCCTTAAAGGACCTGATGGAGCTGAAAACCACGGCACGAGAGCTACGTGATGAATGCAGAAGCCTCAGTAGCCGATTCGATCAGCTGGAAGAAAGGGTATCAGTGATGGAAGATCAAATGAATGAAATGAAGCAAGAAGAGAAGTTTAGAGAAAAAAGAATAAAAAGAAACGAACAAAGCCTCCAAGAAATATGGGACTATGTGAAAAGACCAAATCTACGTCTGATTGGTGTACCTGAAAGTGACAAAGAGAATGGAACCAAGTTGGAAAACACTGCAGGATATTATCCAGGAGAACTTCCCCAATCTAGCAAGGCAGGCGAACATTCAAATTCAGGAGATACAGAGAACGCCACAAAGATATTCCTCGAGAAGAGCAACTCCAAGACATAATTGTCAGATTCACCAAAGTTGAAATGAAGGAAAAAATGTTAAGGGCAGCCAGAGAGAAAGGCCGGGTTACCCACAAAGGGAAGCCCATCAGACTAACAGCTGATCTCTCAGCAGAAACTCTACAAGCCAGAAGAGAGTGGGGGCCAAATTCAACATTCTTAAAGAAAAGAATTTTCAACCCAGAATTTCATATCCAGCCAAACTAAGCTTCATAAGTTAAGGAGAAATAAAATCCTTTACAGACAAGCAAATGCTGAGAGATTTTGTCACCACCAGGCCTGCCCGACAAGAGCTCCTGAAGGAAGCGCTAAACATGGAAAGGAACAACCGGCACCAGCCACTGCAAAAACATGCCAAATTGTAAAGACCATTGATGCTAGGAAGAAACTGCATCAACTAACGAGCAAAATAACCAGCTAACATAATGACAGGATCAAATTCACACATAACAATATTAACCTTAAATGTAAGTGGGCTAAATGCTCCAATTAAAAGACACAGACTGGCAAATTGGATAAAGAATCAAGACCCATCAGTGTGCTGTATTCAGGAGACCCATCTCACGTGCAGAGACACACATAGGCTCAAAATAAAGGGATGGAGGAAGATCTACCAAGCAAATGGAAAACAAAGGCAGGGGTTGCAATCCTAGTCTCTGATAAAACAGACTTTAAACCAAAAAAGATCAAAAGAGACAAAGAAGGCCATTATATAATGGTAAAGGGATCAATTCAACAAGAAGAGCTAACTATCCTAAATATATATGCACCCAATACAGGAGCACCCAGATTCATAAAGCGAGTCCTTAGAGACATACAAAGAGACTTAGACTCCCACACAATAATAATGGGAGACTTTAACACCCCACTGTCAACATTAGACAGATCCACGAGACAGAAGGTTAACAAGGATATCCAGGAATTGAACTCAGCTCTGCACCAAGCGGACCTAATAGACATCTACAGAACTCTCCACCCCAAATCAACAGAATATACATTCTTTGCAGCACCACACAACACCTATTCCAAAATTGACCACATAGTTGGAAGTAAAGCACTCCTCAGCAAAAGTAAAAGAACAGAAATTATAACAAACTGTCTCTCAGACCACGGTGCAATCAAACTAGAACTCAGGATTAAGAAACTCACTCAGAACCACTCAACTACATGGAAACTGAACAGCCTGCTCCTGAATGACTACTGGGTACATAACAAAATGAAGGCAGAAATAAAGATGTTCTTTGAAACCGAGAACAAAGACACAACATACCAGAATCTCTGGGACACATTTAAACCAGTGTGTAGAGGGAAATTTATAGCACTAAATGCCCACAAGAGAAAGCAGGAAAGATCTAAAATTGACACCCTAACATCACAATTAAAAGAAATAGAGAAGCAAGAGCAAACACATTCAAAAGCTAGCAGAAGGCAAGAAATAACTAAGATCAGATCAGAACTGAAGGAAATAGACACAAAAAACCCTTCAAAAAAATCAGTGAATCCTGGAGCTGGTTTTTGAAAAGATCAACAAAATTGATAGACCGCTAGCAAGACTAATAAAGAAGAAAAGAGAGAAGAATCAAATAGATGCAATAAAAAATGATAAAGGGGATATCATCACCGATCCCACAGAAATACAAACTACCATCAGAGAACACTATAAACACCTCTACACAAATAAACTAGAAAATCTAGAAGAAATTGATAAATTCCTGGACACATACACCCTCTCATGTCTAAACCAGGAAGAAGTTGAATCTCTGAATAGACCAATAACAGGCTCTGAAATTGAGGCAATAATTAATAGCTTACCAACCAAAAAAAAGTCCAGGACCAGATGGATTCACAGCCAAATTCTACCAGAGGTACAAGGAGGAGCTGGTACCATTCCTTCTGAAACTATTCCAATCAATAGAAAAAGAGGGAATCCTCCTTGACTCATTTTATGAGGCCAGCATCATCCTGATACCAAAGCCTGGCAGACACACAACAAAAAAAGAGAATTTTAGACCAAATATTCCTGATGAACATTGATGCAAAAATCCTCAATAAAATACTGGCAAAAAAATACTGGGGGAGGGATAGCATTAGGAGATATACCTAATGTTAAATGACGAGTTAATGGGTGCAGCACAGCAACATGGGACATGTATACATGTGTAACAAACCTGCATGATGTGCACATGTACCCTAAAACTTAAAGTATAATAAATAAAAATTTTAAAAAACGAAATGATCAATCTTTGCACAAACCTGCAGATAAAGAACTCAGAAAAAATTGCTGGAGAAGAGACTTGGCTGAACAACTGAAAACATGATGAATGGGCATCATCCCTAACAAGAGGCTATTGAAGAAAGAATGCAAGATGGGGCACAGGCACATTGGTTCACGCCTGTAATTCCAGCACTTTGGGAGGCCCAGGCTGGAGAATTGCTTGAGTCCAGGAGTTTGAGACCAGCCTGGGCAACATAGTGAGACCCCGTTTCTACAAAAAAATCAACAAAACGAACGTGGCGTGGTATGCACCTGTAGTCCTAGATACTCAGGAGGCTGAGGCAGGAGGATCTCTTGAGCCTGGGAGGTGGAGGTTGCAGTGAGTTGTGATTATGCCATTGCACTCCACCCTGGGTGACAGAGTGAGACCCTGTCTCAAATAAATAAATTAAATTAAAAAATTTAAAAAAGAATGCAAGATGGTAATGAAGGGATGACAAGTCAAATTTTAGAGCCAATTATAAATTCAGGCCTCATCTAAAGGGCACATATTTTTCCCTTTCCGCTTAATGATACCCACATGCGGTAGCATACAACATGTATGTACATATGTATAATTGATTTGGGAGTGTTTTACTGCTGTTAGTATTCACTAAACTGCAGGGTGAATCTGTCTCTCTTTTCTACTAGAACACATTCTATTTGCTTTAAAATTTGAACTTGCTTATTTTAATATTCAACCATGCCATCTGTTACCTATTTGTATGGGTTGTTGTATTTTGTATTTATGCAGCTCCTATTAAGCTGAATAAAAGTGTGGTCATGGCACATGTGGGATTTTTCTTTTTCTTTTTCTTTTTTTTTTGAGATGGAGTCTTGTTCTGTCACCCAGGCTGGAGTGCAGTAGTGCCATCTCGGCTCACTGCAACCTCTGCCTCCCGGGTTCAAGTGATTATCCTGCCTCAGCCTCCCAAGTAGCTGCGATTACAGGCGCCTGCCACCACGCCCGGCTAATTTTTGTATTTTTAGTAGAAACGGGTTTTTGCCATGTTGGCCAGGCTGGTCTTGAACTCCTGACTTAAGGTGATCCGCCTACCTCTGCCTCTCAAAGTGCTGGGAGTACAGGCGTGAGCCACCACGCACGGCCAGGATTTTTCTTTTTTATTAGAATAGGATAAAATTAGATAGGTTAGTAGTAATTTGTGCTTTAAAGGCTAATTATTGATGTACTTTTGGCATCTTGGCATGGGAAAAATTTAAAAAATAAAGTATTATTGAAAATATGGAGAATTTTTTTTTTGACACAGTCTAGTTCTATCATGCAGGCTAGAGTGCAGTGGTATGATCACGGCTAACTGCAGCCTCAACCTTCCAGGCTCAAGTGATCCTCCTACTTCAGCCTCCCAAGTAGCTAGGACTACAGGTATGTGCCACCAGCCTGGCCAATTTTTTGTATTTTTTGGTAGAAACAGGGTCTCACCATGTTGCCCAGGCTGGTTTTGAACTCCCAGACTTAAGCAATCGGCCCGCCTCGGCCTCCCAAACTGTTAGGATTACAGGTGTGAACCGCTAAACTAGGCCAGGAGAGATTTTTCAGAAATTAATTTTCAAATAAAAAGTAGTTACTGTTCTCCCTAAATGATATATATTTCAAATGTGTTCTTTAGGGAGGTGGGGTGAAATATTCAAAATGGCTATTTAGGGCTGGGCGTGGTCATTCACACCTATAATCCCAGCACTTTGGGAGGCCGAGGCAGGTGGATTGCTTGAGGTCAAGAGTTCAAGACCAGCGTGTGCAACGTGGCAAAACCCCATCTCTACAAAAAAAAAAAAAAAAAAATTACAGAATTTAACTGGGCGTGGTGGTGAGCACCTGTAGTTGCAGCTACTCAGGAGGCTGAGGTGGGAGGGTGGCTTGAGCCTGGGAGGTGGAGGTTGTAGTGAGCTGAGATTGCGTCACTGCACTCCAGCCTGGGTGACAGAGCCAGACCCTGTCTCAAAAAAAAAAAAAAGCCATTTAATATTTTTAAATGTGTTTGAGGTCAGGGCAATAACTGAATGTCCAGACAGGTTATTTCAAAGTACAATTTCGGGAAAACTCATATTTCATCTGTAAGTTATGGTGGGACATTTGTTTAAAATATCAATTTTTCTTTGCACAAATGAAGTAATCTTCCAATTTTAATTTTTTGTATCTTCATAGTAAATAATTGTCATGCCGTATAGATACAAGATTCCTTATTTTGGTTTTTTATAATGAAGAGTTGAAGGTTTATATATTCATTTTAATTTTCTTCATGAGAAACTGGAAATAGTAAAATGGTATGTCTTTTTTGTCTGTGCGAATTTCTCCTTAAACAATTTTTCTTAGATGGTGGAGTTACCTTAGGAATGGTGCTTTTATGTGAAGCTGCTACCTCTGACATGGATATTGGAAAGCGAAAGAGTAAGTCACCTTACTCAAAATGTAACAGTGCTGCCTGTACTATGGAAAAAGAGTGATCTCTTAATCACTTTTCCTCTTACTTATAGGATAAGTAGGTTATTTTACCCCTTTACTATTTTTTTCTTTAAATGTCATATCTGTTATTAAACTCCTTTACTATTTTAAAATTAATATATGCTCATTATAGAAAATGTAAAAAAACAGGAGCATGAAACATTCCACCACTGAAAAACTAATTATTTTTAAATTGTAATATATTTCTTTCCACTTATAAAAACCTTAAAAACTGTATATATAAAATTTTGACACTTCACACCCCCTTTTTAAACTGGAGTTAAATAACTAATAACTTTTTCTATATACATAATTTTAAACTTATACTCTGTTATTGTTTGTTTTCTTTAAGATAGGGTCTCACTCTGTCACTCAGGCTGGAGTGCAGTAGCATAATCATAGCTCACTGCAACCTCCGCCCCTAGGCTCAAGCTGTCCTCACACCTCAACTTCCCTAGTAGCTGGGACTACAGGCATGTGCCACCATGCCCAGCTTATATTTTGTACTTTTTGTAGAGATGGGGTTTTGTCACTTTGCCCAGGCTGGCCTCAAACCCCTGGACTCAAGTGATCTTCCCACCTCAGCCTCCCAAAGTGTTGGGATTACAGGCGTGAGCTGCCGTGCCTGGCTGACTTATACTCTATATTATAATTTAACTATTCCGATTTTTTTCAATGTTTAGTTTTTTCCTAATTTTAACTATAATTATTCTTCAGTAACTATCATGATACATTAAGCATCATTTTTTTTTTTTGAGACAGAGTTTTGCTCTTACTACCCAGGCTGGAGTGCAGTGGTGCAATCTCGGCTCACTGCATCCTCTGCCTCCCAGGTTCAAGTGATTCTCCTGCCTCAGCCTCCTGAGTAGCTGGGATTACAGGCGCCCACCACCACGCCCGGCTAGTTTTTTTGTTTTTTGGGGTTTTTTTTTTCTTTTTTTTTTTTGTATTTTTAGTAGAGACGGGGTTTCACCATGTTGGCCAGGCTGGTCTTGAACTCCTGACCTCAGGTGATCCACTTGCCTCAGCCTCCTGAAGTGCTAGGATTACAGGCATGAGCCACCACGCCCAGCCATCATTCTTATTTAATATTGTTTCCTTAAGGTAGATTCCTAGAAGAAGAATAACTGTGTGGTCCTCTGTCTGAGTATTTTCAATTCTCTTGATGTTTTAATCATTACAGATTATTTTGGCAAGTTAAAATAATTTAGATTTCTACTACTGGTATTTAAGAATGTTTGTTTTGGCCGGGCGCAGTGGCTTATGCCAGTAATCCTGGCACTTTGGGAGACCGAGGCGGGTGGATCACTTGAGGTCAGGAGTTCGAGGCCATCAAGCCTGATGAACATGATGAAACCCTGTCTCTACTAAAAGTACAAAAATTTGGCCAGACGCGGTGGCTCACGCCTGTAATCCCAGCACTTTGGGAGGCCAAGGCAGGTGGATCACAAGGTCAGGAGTTTGAGACCAGCCTGGCCAACGTGGTGAAACCCCCGTCTCTACTAAAAATACAAAAATTAGCTGGGCATGGTGGCGTGCGTGTGTAATCTCAGCTACTTAGGCAGCTGAGGCAGGAGAATTGCTTGAACCCAGGAGGTAGAGGTTGCAGCGAGCCGAGATCACGCCACTGCACTCCAGCCTGGGTGACAAAGCGAGACTCCATCTCAAAAAAAAAAAAAAATTAGCCAGGCGTTGTGGCGCATGCCTGTTATCCCAGCTAGTTGAGAGGCTGAGGCAGGAGAATCGCTTGAACCTGGGAGGCAGAGGTTGCAGTGAGCCGAGATCGTGCCATTGCATTCCAGCCTGGGCAACAAGAGTGAAACTTCATCTTAAAGAAAAAAAAAAAAAGAATGTTTGTTTCATTGGTTTTGTTGTTGTTGTTGTTGTTAAGACAGAGTCTTGCTCTGTCGCCCAGGCTGGAGTGCGGTGGCGCGATCTCAGCTCACTGCAAGCTCTGCCTCCCAGGTTCACCCCATTCTCCTGCCTCAGTCTCCCGAGTAGCTAGGACTACAGGCACCCGCCACCATGCCTGGCTAATTTTTTTGTATTTTTAGTAGAGATGAGGTTTCACTGTGTTAGCCAGGATGGTCTTGATCTCCTGACGTCGTGATCCGCCCGCCTCGGCCTCCCAAAGTGCTGGGGTTACAGACATGAACCACTGTGCCCAGCCATTTCATTGTAATTTTATCAGCATTAATCTCATTAATATGTATCTGTTTTATAGATACATATATATTTGCCAATCAGATAAGGTGGAAATGTATTATTTTGTACTCCTTTTATTTTTATAAGGTCAAATATTTTCCTAAATGTTTACTAGTCATTTGTGTTTATGTTTTTCCTTCTATAAATTGTCCTTTTGTCTTTTGCCATTTATCTGTTAGAGTCTTAGCCCTTTTATTTGGTTTGCAAGGAATTTTTTTTTTTTTTTTTCGAGACGGAGTCTTGCTCTGTCTCCCAGACTGGAGTGCAGTGGTGTGATCTTGGCTTACTGCAACCTCCGCCTCCTGGGTTTAAGCAATTCTCCTGCCTCAGCCTCCCATGTAGCTGGGATTACAGGTGCACGTCACCACGCCCAGCTAATTTTTGTATTTTTAGTAGAGACGGGATTTCACCATGTTGGCCAGGCTGGTCTCGAACTCCTGACCTCATGATGTGCCTGCCTCAGCCTCCTAAAGTTCTGGGATTATAGGCGTGAGCCACCGTGCTCAGCTGGACATTTTTTTTTTTTTTTTAAGGCCAGGCCTTACTCTGTTGCCCAGGCTGGAGTGCAGTGCCACAATAATGACTCACTGTAGCCTCGAACTCCTGGGCTCCAGCAGTCCTACTGCCTCAGCTTCCCAGGTAGCTATGACCACAGGCTCATGCCACCACTCCCAGTTAATTTAATTTTATTTTTTGTAGAGATGGGGTCTCACTTTATTGCCGAGGTTGGTCTGTATCTCCTGTGCTCAAGCAACCTTTCCCACTGTGGCCTCCCAAAGTGCTAAGATTACAGGCGTGAGCCACCATGCCCAGCCTGCATGAACTTTTTATATATTAGAATATTCACACATTGTTATCTGTTGCAGAGAGAATCTAACAATGTAATTTGGTTTTACTTTCATGAAATAAGTCAAGATTTTCCTTTTATGATTAAAAAGTTAAATGTCAACCAGGCGTGGTGACTCACACCTGTAAATCCCAACACTTGGGAAGCCAAGGCAGGTGGATCACCTGAGGTCAGGAGTTCGAGACTAGCCTGGCCAACATGGCGAAACCCCGTCTCTAAAAAAGCAAAAATTAGCCAGGCATGGTGTCACGTGCCTGTAATCCCAGCTACTTGGGAGTTTGAGGCATGAGAATCACTTGAACCCAGGAGGCGGAAGTTGCAGTGAGCCGAGATCGCGCTACTGCACTCCAGCCTGGGCGACGGAGTGAGACTTCATCTCAAAATAAATAAATAAATAAAAAAGTTAAATGTCATAAAAATTACCCTACCTAAATAAAGTCTAATATTTACTTTAACTTCTAGAAAAAAGATGAAGATACTGAACTTAAAATTTGAGAAATACTTGTTTTGCTCAATTAAAATAGATTTTTTTTAGCTGGATGTGGTACAACGCACTTGTAGTCCCAGCTACTTGTGAGGCTGGGACAGGAGGATGGCTTGAGGCCAGGAGTTAGAGGCTGCAGTGAGCTATGATCACACCACTGCACTTCAGTCTGGGCAGCAGAGCGAGACTCAATCTCTAAAAAAATGAATTTTTACGTGTTAGAAAAATAATTAATGTATCAGTTTTTAAAATTTTTTTAAAAAAATATGGAACACTTCACGAATTTGCATGTCATCCTTGCACAGGGGCCATGCTAATCTTCTCTGTATGATTCCAGTTTTAGTATATATGCTGCCAAAGTAAGCATTTTATAGTTTTTAATCCAGTCAGTATATGTCCTTTCACTGCCTGACTTTTTACGAGATCAGGCGCGTTCAGGGTGCTATGGCTGTAGACTTTGCCTGACTGTTTAAAAATTGCCTATTTCAGTGTTTATTCTTGGGAAAAGGCCATCAAAGTACATTACTGACATGAACTTAAATTGTTAAACATTTTGGCAACATATACTGAAATAGTCACAATTTGATCTCCTAAGTTTCTTACCTAACAAAATGATCACAAATTAATAGACGTTTCTTTAGCATGTTCTGGGAACTGCTCTAAGCACTTTTAGATGTATGAAAAGAGGAGGATACAAATATATACAGAGTGATGCTGTATATACGTATGTGCACATTTTCTTTTTCTTTTTTTTAAATCTGAGACAGGGTCTCACTCTGTCGCCCAGGCTGGAGTGCTGTGGAGAGATCATAACTCACTGCAGCCTTGACCTCCCTGGCTCAGGTGATCCTCCCACCTCAGCCTTCCTAGTAGGTGGGACTACAGGCATGCACTGCCACACCTGGGTAATTTTTTGTAGAGATGGGGCCTCGCTACATTGTCCAGGCTGGTCTTGAACTCCTGGGCTCAAGCAATCCTTCTGCCTTGGCCTCCCCAAATGCTGTGATTTACAGGCGTGAGCCATCACACGCAGTCTATGAGTACATTTTCTTAGAGAATAAAAGGCTAACTTGTCTACACTCAGCATGTGTTAATACTCAGGAAAAGTATTTTATTTTTAATTTTTGTGGGTACATAGTAGGTGTATATATTTATGGGATACATGAGATGTTTTGATATATAGGCATGCAATGTGTAATAGTCACATCACGGAGACTGCAGTATCCATCCTTCAAGTATTTACCCTTTGTGTCATAAACAATCCAATTATACTTTTTTAGTTATTTTAAAATGTACAATTAAATTATTATTGACTATAGTTATCCTGTTGTGCTATCAAATAGTAGGTCTTATTTATTCTATTTTTTTTGGTACCCATTAGCCATCCGTACTTCCCCCGGCATTCCCCAACTACCGTTCCCAGCCTCTGGTAACCATCCTTCTACTCTCTGTGTCCATGAGTTCAATTGTTTTCATTTTTTGATCCCACAAATAAGTGAGAACATATGATTTTTTTTTCTGTACCTGAATTGTTTCACTTAATGACTTCCAAGGCTGGGCATGGTGGCTCACTCCTGTAATCCCAGCACTTTGGGAGACCAAGTGGGGCAGATTATTTGAGGTCAGAAAGTTCTAGACTACCCTGGCCAACGTGGTAAAACCCCGTATCTACTAAAATACAAAAATTAGCTGGGCGTAGTGGTGCACACCTGTAATCCCAGCTACTCAGGAGGCTGAGGCAGGAGAATTGTTTGAACCTGGAAGGCAGAGGTTGAAGTGAGCCAAGCTGGCGCCACTGCACTCCAGCCTGGGTGACAGAGCGAGACTCCATCTCAACAATAATAATAATGATTTCCAGTTCCATGTTGTTGCAAGTGACAGGATCTTATTTTTTTAATGACTGAATAGTACTCCATTGTATATATGTACCACGTTTTCTTTATCCATTCATCTGTTGATGGACATTTAGGTTGCTTCCAAATGTTGGCTATTGGGAACAGTGCTACAACAAACATGGGAGTACAGATATCTCTTCGGTATACTGATTTATTTTTCTGTGGGTGTATACCCAAGCAGTGGGATTGCTGGATCATATGGTGGTTCAATTTTTAGTTTTTTGAGGAACCTCCAAACTGTTCTTCTTAGTGGTTATACTAACTTACATTCCCCCCAACAGTGTACAACAGTGTACAAGGGTTCCCTTTTTTCCACATCCTCGCCAGCATTTATTATTGCTTGTCTTTTGGATATAAGCCATTTTAGCTGGGGTGAGATGATAGATATCTCATTGCAATTTTTATTTGCATTTCTCTGATGATCATTGATGTTGAGTAGTTTTTTTATGCCTACTTGCCATTTGTATGTCTTCTTTTGAGAAACGTCTATTGAAATATTTTCTTTTTTTGCGGTGGCTCACGCCTGTAATCCCAGCACTTTGGGAGGCCGAGGCAGGTGGATCATGAGGTCAGGAGATCGAGACCATCCTGGCTAACACAGTGAAACCCCATCTCTACTGAAAAAAAATACAAAAAAATTAGCTGGGCATGGTGGCAGGCACCTGTAGTCCCAGCTACTTGGGAGGCTGAGGCAGGAGAATGGCGTGAACCCGGGAGGTGGAGCTTGCAGTGAGCTGAGATCACACCACTGCACTCCAGCCTGGGCGACAGAGCAAGACTCCGTCTCAAAAAAAAAAAAAAAAGATTTTATGTTTTTTCGATCAGATCATTAGTTTTTTTCCTGTAGAGTTGTTTGAGCTCCTTTTATATTCTGGTTATTAACCCCTTGTCACATGGGTACTGTGCAAATATTTTCTCCCATTCTGTGGATTGACTCCTCACTTTGTTGATTGTATCCTTTGCTCTGCAGAAGCTTTTAAACTTGATGTGATCTCATTTGTCTATTTTTGCTTTGGTTGCCTGTGCTTCTGGGGTATTACTCAAGAAATTTTTGCCCAGACTAATGTCCTGGAGAGTTTCCCCATTGTTTTCTTATAGTTGTTTCATATTAATAGTTTGCAGTCTTAGGCCAGGCACAGTGACTCACACCTGTAATCCCAATGCTTTGGGAGGCCAAGAAGGGCAGATCACTTGAGGCCAGGAGTTCGAGACCAGCCTGGCCAACATGGTGAAACCCTGTCTCTACTAAAAATACAAAAATTAGCCAGGTGTGGTGGTGTGTGCCTGTAGTCCCAGCTACTTGGGAGGCTGAGGCAGGAGGATTGCTTGGCCCAGGAAGTGGAGGTTGCAGTGAGCCAAGATCATGCCACTGCACTCCAGCCTGAGCAACAGAGCAAGACTCTTGTCTTTTATTTATGTGTGTGTGTGTATATATATATGCATATATATACACACATGTATATATATATATGCATATATATACATATATGCATATATACACACATGTATATATATGCATATATATACATATATGCATATATATACACACATGTATATATATGCATATATATACATATATGCATATATATATATATGGTGTACAGTCTTAGATTTAAGTCTTTAATCCACTTTGACTTGATTTTCCTATATGGCAAGAGATAGGGGTCTAGTTTTGTTCTGCCTATGGATATCCAGTTCTCCTGGCACCTTTTATTGAAGAGACTGTGTTTTCTCCAGTGGATGTTCTTGGCACCTTTGTTGAAAATGAGTTCACTGTAGGTGTATGGGTTTGTTTCTGAGTTCTGTCTTCTGTCCCACTGGTCTGTATGTCTGTTTTTACACCAGTACTATGCTGTTTTGGTTACTATAACTCTATAGTATAATTTGAAGTCAAGTAATATGATTCCTCCAGTTTTGTTCTTTTTGCTTAGGATAGCTTTGACTATCATTGGTCTTTTGTGATTTCATATAAATTTTGTTTTTTCTATTTCTGTGAAGTTGTCATTGGTATTTTAATAAGGATTGCATTGAATCTATAGATTGCTTTAGATAGTATGGACATTTTAACAACATCCATTCTTCCAATCCATGAACGTGGAACATCTTTCCATTTTTCGATGTCCTCTTCAGTTTCTTTCAGCAGTGTTTTATAGTTTTCATCATAGAGTTCTTTCACTTCTTTGGTTAAGTTAACCCTTTTCCCATTTGCCCTGAGAATACTCACTGGCAGTGCTTGTGGCTGCAGTGTTTACGCTGAGATAACTCTGCCACAAAATATCGTGCTTTAATTATTGTTTTCACATCCACTCTAGTATATCAACTTTGGAAACAAAATTGATATGTTAGATATCACTGGGTTCAAGTGATCCATTACCACTACTGAAAACAGAGTGCTGTAAATAGAATAATATACTAATATACTAGACATCAGTCCATTTTTATTTCCATTATAGTGGTATTTCCATTTACAAAATATAGTAATTCTTGATCACTGAAAATGTCAAATCCTAGAAAATGTAGCATTCCACGTGTAATGTTTACACCATTCTCGAACAGTTGTTGGCCAAAGATTCATTTGATGAATTCAATTTTTCTGAAATAGACTATTGTGATGATTCAGACGATTCTGATGTTAGTTCTGTTTAGTAATAACTCCAACAACAGTTTTTGTTTTATTTTCACATTGAAAATCAGTCAGATTTACTTCAGCCTCAAACAGCGTGATTATATAAAATTAAATGAGCATTGGCAGCAAGCTGCACTTCTTTTTTGTAAATTAGAAAAGAATTAAAGAGAAATATTGTTTAACATTTACACATTAAGCCCTAGTCATATTGTGTAACAATTAGAAAAGGCAAAAGAATTGTTCCATAAGTAAAACAAAACTGAAAGTTGATTTTCTTTTCTTTTCTTTTTTTTTTTTTTTTTTTTTTTTTTTGAGACAGAGGCTTGCTTTTTCGCCTAGGCTGGAGTGCAGTGGCGCGATCTTGGTTCACTGCAAGCTTTGCCAAGCGATTATCCTGCCTCAGCCTCCCGAGTAGCTGGGATTACAGGTGCCTGCCGCCACGCCTGGCTAATTTTTTTTGTAGTTTTTAGTAGAGATGGGGCTTCATCATCTTGGCCAGGCTGGTCTTGAACTCCTGACCTCGTGATCCACCCGCCTTGGCCTCCCAGAGTGCTGGGGTTACAGGCATGAGCCACAGCGCCCGGCCGAAAATTGATTTTCTTATCAGTCACTAAGTATGTTACCCTAGAACAAACTTGTCCAGTCTGTGGGCCACATGCGGCCCAACACAAACTTGTCAACTTCCTTAAAACATCATGAGGGTTTTTTTCTGCAATTTTTTTTTTTTTCAGCTTATCAGCTATCATTAGTGTTAGTGTATTTTATTTGTGGCCCAGGACAGCTCTTCTTCCAGTACGGCCCTGGGAAGCCAAAAGATTGGACACCCCTGCCCTAGAGCTTCCTTTGCTGTTGGACACATGCTTCCCTACATCCCTATCTCTATAGTTCTTAGCCATTTTTAGTCCGGGGATTGAAAGAGCTTCACATCATGACAATCCATACTTGCGCATTTGGGGATTAGTATTTGTAGTTCACTTTAATAACTGCTGTGCTAATGTAGGACATGACATGTGGGATTAGTGGAGAGAGCTATGAATCTAGGGCTAGGGATCAGATTTTTTTTCTCATTCAAATAAGAAATCCATGTTTATTGAGTTACATATATAAGGCTGTGTAGTTATCTGTGCATGAATAAAGTACTTTCAAGTGAGGCTATCACAATGAAGTCATCAGATGTCTAAGTTAATGTTTATCAATACTACAAGGCCACTTTTAGGGGTTTTAAAGTTCAATAAATAAGTAAGCCGGGCACCGTGGCTCATGCCTGTAATCCCAGCTCTTTGGGAGGCTGAAGCGGAAGATCACTTGAGCCCAGGAGATCAACACCAGCCTGGGCAATGTAGTGAGACACCGTCTTCTCAAAAAAATTAAAAAATTAGCCAGGCATGGTGGCACACATCTGTAGTCCCAGCTACTCAAGAGGCTGTAGTGGGAGGATTGCTTGAGCCCAGGAGGTTGAGACTGCAGTGAGCTGTGATTGTGCCACTGCACTTCAGCCTGGGCAACAGAGCAAGACCCTGACTCAAAAAAAAAAAAAAAAGAAAACCAAAAAACCAAATGGGTGATTTTCTTGTCGATTGTAACAGTGTTTCTAACAGTAAACCTTTCAGTGTGATGACTTTAAAGGAATTCATTATTTCATACATTTGAATTGCATAATTATGTAAAGGAGTTACTCTATTACATTGTAATGGAGCAAATTAAAGGGGAAGGCAGATTCCTGAAGATTAAGAAATAGGGATGAAAATTGTTGAAAAGTTGAGATTTATCAATAATGTATACCCCTTCCTTTTCACTCTCTGAAAGTATAGACTGCCAGGCCGGGCATGGTGGCTCAAGCCTGTAATCCCAGCACTTTGGGAGGCTGAGGCAGGCGGATCATGAGGTCAGGAGATCGAGACCATCCTGGCCAACAAGGTGAAACCCCGTCTCTACTAAAAATACAAAAAATTAGCTGGGCGCAGTGGCGGGCGCCTGTAGTCCCAGCTACCCTGGAGGCTGAGGTAGGAGAATGGCATGAACCCAGGAGGCGGAGCTTGCAGTGAGCCGAGATCGCGCCGCTGCACTCCGGCCTGGGCGAAAGAGCGAGACTCCGTCTCAAAAATAAAATAAAATAAAATAAAATAAAATAAAATAAAATAAAATAAAATAAAATAAAATAAAAAAAGAAAGTATAGACTGCCATGGTTATTTATTATACTCAACCTGCTCATTTTACTCTCCTTTTATTTTTCTGCAGTAATGTGTGTGGCTGGTATTGGACTTGTTGTATTATTCTTCAGTTGGATGCTCTCTATTTTTAGATCTAAATATCATGGCTACCCATACAGGTATGATTCTTATTTTTTGTTTATACAGTGATTACCAATACCTGGAATGATTAGAGTTGATATTGCTTTATAATATCCTTCTTTTTGCTTTGCTTCCAAACTATTTTAGCTTATAAAGGAAAGATATAGGCTTTATTTTTATTTATTCATCTATTTATTTATTATTTATTTATTTATTTATTTATTTTTGAGATGGAGTTTTGCTCTTGTTGCCCAGACTGGAGTGCAATGGCGCAATCTCGGCTCACTGCAACCTCTGCCTCCCGGGTTCAAGCGATTCTCCTGCCTCAGCCTCCCAAGTAGTTGCGATTACAGGCGTGTGCCAGCATGCCCGGCTAATTTTGTATTTTTAGTAGAAACGGGGTTTCACCATGTTGATCAGGTCTTGGACTCCTGACCTCAAGTGATCCACCCGCCTCATCCTCCCAAAGTGCTGGGATTATAGGCATGAGCCACTGAGCCCGGCCTATTCATTTATTTTCAGAGACAGGGTCTCACTCTGTCACTCAGGCTGAAGTGTAATGGCGTGTTCATAGCTCATTGTAACCTTGAACTCCTGAGCTCAAGCCATCATTTCACCTCAGCTTCCCAAGAGGCTAGGACTACAGCTGCACATGACCACACCCAGCTAATATTTTTATTTTTTGTAAAGACAGGGTCTTGCTATGTTACCCAGGCTGGTCTTGAACTTCTGGCATCAAGCGAGTCTCCTGCTCAGCCTCCCAGAGGGCTGGGATTATAGGCATTAGCCAGCCACCATGCCCAAACAGCTGTAATTCAGATATGTTCCCATATAAAAATTAATTATAGTATAATGGACAATATTAGTATGTGATTTCTCAGGAACATCTTTTAGATTTATTTTGCCATACCTAATTTATTCTAGAAATCTCATATGTATTCTAGAAATACATAATGATTAGAACATTTTATGCCATTATCTATTCACATAGCTCCTTGTCTGCATATTATACTTCCTTTTGAAGAAGAAATGATTTTTTTTAATGTTAAAAACTTCTTCTCGCCTCTACTTTTTTTTAAGAAATAGAGTGCCACTGCACTCCAGTCTGAGTAATAGAGTGAGACCCCATCTCAAAAATAATAATTATAATAATTTATCCTCTACAGAATACTAATTGAGATGTGAAGGTAATTTTGCTGGGACTTCTGTTAATTATTTGATCAGCAGAGTTGATTCAATAGCAGTGTCATGTGCCTGTAGTCCCAGCTACTCAGAAGGCTAAGACAGAATGATCACTTGAGCGTGGGAGTCCCAGACCAGACTGGGCAACACAGTGAGACCCCATCTCTAAAAAAATGAAAAAATAAAATTATTAATTAGTGTCTCTATTCAGGAGATATTTTAACTTGAGGTTATTCTATTTCCTTTTGTCATAAGACTAACGGGTCTCTCAGTGTTTCTCACTTTTTGTTATTGATACCCAAAGATTATCATGTACGTACCAAAATGCTCTTTTATCTGTTAAAACCAACATACTGCTTATTGATTAAAAGTAAATCCTACTTTTCTTTCAGAGACTAATAGATTGGAATATATTTTTGTTTCAGCTTTCTGATGAGTTAAAAAGGTCCCAGAGATATATAGACACTGGAGTACTGGAAATTGAAAAACGAAAATCGTGTGTGTTTGAAAAGAAGAATGCAACTTGTATATTTTGTATTACCTCTTTTTTTCAAGTGATTTAAATAGTTAATCATTTAACCAAAGAAGATGTGTAGTGCCTTAACAAGCAATCCTCTGTCAAAATCTGAGGTATTTGAAAATAATTATCCTCTTAACCTTCTCTTCCCAGTGAACTTTATGGAACATTTAATTTAGTACAATTAAGTATATTATAAAAATTGTAAAACTACTACTTTGTTTTAGTTAGAACAAAGCTCAAAACTACTTTAGTTAACTTGGTCATCTGATTTTATATTGCCTTATCCAAAGATGGGGAAAGTAAGTCCTGACCAGGTGTTCCCACATATGCCTGTTACAGATAACTACATTAGGAATTCATTCTTAGCTTCTTCATCTTTGTGTGGATGTGTATACTTTACGCATCTTTCCTTTTGAGTAGAGAAATTATGTGTGTCATGTGGTCTTCTGAAAATGGAACACCATTCTTCAGAGCACACGTCTAGCCCTCAGCAAGACAGTTGTTTCTCCTCCTCCTTGCATATTTCCTACTGAAATACAGTGCTGTCTATGATTGTTTTTGTTTTGTTGTTTTTTTGAGACGGTCTCGCTGTGTCACACAGGCTGGAGTGCAGTGGCGTGAGCTCGGCTGACTGCAAACTCTGCCTCCCAGGTTTAAGCGATTCTCCTGTCACAGCTTCCCAAGTAGCTGGGATTTACAGGTGTGCACCGCCATGCCAGGCTAATTTTTGTGTTTTTAGTAGAGACAGGGTTTCGCCAAGTTGTCCAGGCTGGTCTTGAACTCCTGGGCTCAAGTGATCCGCCCGCCTCAGTCTCCCAAAGTGCGAGGATGACATGTGTGAGCTACCACACCAGCAATGTCTATGCTTCTCGATAGCTGTGAACATGAAAAGACATCTATTGGGAGTCCGAGGCAGGTGGATTGCTTGAGGCCAGGAGTTAGAGACCAGCCTGGCCAACAAGGCAAAACCCCGTCTCTACTAAAAATATGAAAATTAGCTGGGCTTGGTGGCTCATGCCTATAATCCTAGCTACTTGGGAGGCTGAGGCACGAGACTTGCTTAATACCTGGGAGGCGGAGATTGCAGTGAGCCGAGATCACGCTACTGCGCTCCAGCCTGAGTGATAGAGTGAGACTCTGTCTCAAAAAAAAGTATCTCTAAATACAGGATTATAATTTCTGCTTGAGTATGGTGTTAACTACCTTGTATTTAGAAAGATTTCAGATTCATTCCATCTCCTTAGTTTTCTTTTAAGGTGACCCATCTGTGATAAAAATATAGCTTAGTGCTAAAATCAGTGTAACTTATACATGGCCTAAAATGTTTCTACAAATTAGAGTTTGTCACTTATTCCATTTGTACCTAAGAGAAAAATAGGCTCAGTTAGAAAAGGACTCCCTGGCCAGGCGCAGTGACTTACGCCTGTAATCTCAGCACTTTGGGAGGCCAAGGCAGGCAGATCACGAGGTCAGGAGTTCGAGACCATCCTGGCCAACATGGTGAAACCCCGTCTCTACTAAAAATATAAAAATTAGCTGGGTGTGGTGGCAGGAGCCTGTAATCCCAGCTACACAGGAGGCTGAGGCACGAGAATCACTTGAACTCAGGAGATGGAGGTTTCAGTGAGCCAAGATCACACCACTGCACTCCAGCCTGGCAACAGAGCGAGACTCCATCTCAAAAAAAAAAAAAAAAGTAAGAAAGAAAAGGACTCCCTTAGAATGGGAAAGAAAAATCATAAAATATTGAGCTGATGCCTGTATATAGAAATTAAGCGTTTCTCGAAAGCTGTTCTATGTTTTGCTGTTATTTTAGTCTTTATTCTCTTCCTTTAGGTGGAGAAACAAAGTACCAATTTGAAGGGATTTTTTTTATTTTGTCTTTTGGTTTCTGTCAGTAGAAATAACCATATGTGCTAACCAAATTTCTGTGAAGAATGTTTTCATGGTTATCATTATATCTAACTATAACCTCCCCCATAGTTATGAAGAGTAACCTGAAATGCCACTATTGTGGAAATAGGATAATTGTAATTGTGAAAAAATAATTTTAAGGAAATCTTACAAGTATTACATTAAAAAGATACTATGACTGCCACCTGCCATTTACCTTCTAATAACCCTGCCATGTGGTTTGCAGAAAGAGATGGATATAGTAGCCTCAGAAGAAATATTTTATGTGGGTTTTTTGTTTTTCGTTACTAGATTTCATGGATGAGGGGATATGGTTGACCTTTTACTTTTTAATGGAGCAGCCAGTTTTTGTTAATTACTCACTTGTAAATTGTGAGATTCTGAATTCCTTACCTGCTATTCTTGTACTTGTCTCAGGCCAAATCTATGCTGTGGTTCTTATGAGACTTGTATGAAGATGCCCTGATTTGTACAGATTGACCACGGGAATACTACTGCCATGTAATCTGTATAGTTCCAGATAATTTGTCATGAACATTGACAGAATGACAATTTTTTGTATTTGCTTTTTCTCCCTTTAAGAGCACATTCTTCTGTAAGGAGAAAGGCAGCATTCTGGCTAAAATGTGTAGAAGGTAATTTACTACACTTATAAAATAGTGTGACTTTTGTGAAAATTTTGAATTAGCTTTCATATGAAGTGCCTTAAGTAGACTCTTCATTTACTTTTCTGGTAATGGTTTAAATATCATTTGTTATGCATTTTTAAGATACAGTTCAGAATGACACATTGTAGTGGCAAAGATAACCAAATGTCTGGCTGTTTGCTTTTTGACCATATCAATAAACTTTTACAATCTAAATTCTGAGTTTTTGATTACCATCTAAAGAGGAGTGAGTTTTAAACACTAAACTAGAATTGTAAAATTAGGATTTTACATTTTGAAGTTATAATTAAATTAATTTAAATTTCATATTGTCCTAAGGACAGTTTGATGGGACAGTTTCTTTAAGTATTTCTGGATTGGGATATATTATTCTAGGAATCTATACATGGTCCCTCATTCTTAATGTTGTTACCCATTAGGTGAGTCAAAACAACCAAGATGAGTAGATAAATGACTGTTTGCAACAATTGATCTACCTTTCGTCCCAGACAGTGAACATTCCTTGACTAGGTAATTTCCTTTTGATAATAAAAACTTGATTTGAAAGTTACCCTGGCAGATTATAAGTTATATGAAACTAGACAGCAGCTCTTTTGCAAACATGGAGTAGAAACACTGCACAGGAAGTAAAGAGATCTGGCTTTTAGCCCTTGCTCTGTTTCTGTCTAACTATATGACCATAGGTGTCACCTGAACCTCTCTGAACATATTTCTTTATACTAAGTAAAGTGTATTAGGCTAAATTACCTTAGTAGTCCTTCCTGCTCTATTGTTCTATTATGCAAAATATTAAAGATGCACTTAAATTTGAATAGATAATATTTTTATATCCAGATTTGGTGCTGAATTAAAATCAATTGAAATGGAGGATATTCTGCAGTCAGATTTCTGAAGAAGCTAGGAAATGCTGGTGGAGGCCATTATAACTACAAATTGCTTAATATGCATTGAAATATTTTTTGGAAAGGATGCACTTGGAACTCTATTAGACCGTTATTGCATTGCTCTAAAGAAATACCTGAGATTGGGTACTTTATAAAGAAAAGAGGTTTAATTGGCTCACAGTTCTGCAGGGTGTACAGGAAACATGATGCTGGCATCTGCTCAGCTTTTGGGGAAGCTTCAGGAAACTTACAATCATGGTGGAAGGCAAAGGGGGAGCAAGCACATCACATGGCCAGAGCAGGAGCAAAAAGGTGAGGGGAGTTGGCAGACACTTTTCAATGACCAGATCTCGCGATAACTCACTATCACAAGGACAGTACCAAAGGGATGGTACTAAACCATTCATGAGAAACCTGCCCCCATCCAGTCATTTCCCACCAGGCCCCACCTCCATCATTGGGAATTACAATTGAACGTGAGATTTGGGTGGGGACAAAGATCCAAACCATATCGGAACCCATATGTTAATAAGATTTTTTTTTTTTTGAGACGCAGTCTCGCATTGTCACGCAGGCTGAAGTGCAGTGGGGCAATCTCGGCTCCCTGCAGCCTCCACCTCCCGAGTTCAAGCGATTCTCATGTCTCAGCCTCCCGAGTAGCTTGGACTACAGGCAAACACCACCCCACGCCTGGCTAATTCTTGTATTTTTAGTAGAGACGGTTTCACCATGTTGACAAGCCTGGTCTCAAACTCCTGACCTCGGGTGATCCACCTGTCTCGCCCTCCCAAAATGCTGGGATTACAGGAGTGAGCCACCGCGCCCAACCTCGAGGTCTTGATTTACATGGGTTCTGCCCAATTCTGAGCAAGAATGAGATCAGCAACTGTAATAGTATGCTGTTACAACAGAAAGTCAAAGCCAAAAGGATCTTAGATACCATTTAAATCAGCCCCTTCATTTTGACTGCTGAAGAAACCTGCCATAGAAAAGTGAAGCAATTTACTGAAGTTTATTCCAGGGAAGTACCTACAGGTTTCCTCTTTAGCTGCAAATTCCCTATGGATTACATTTCAAGTGTAGATGCAAATTACTCCCTTGACGCTTGGAAACCATACTGTAGTTCAAGCTTATCCAACCCTCAGCCCATGGGCCGCATGCAACCCAGGATGGCTTTGAATGCAGCCCAACACAAATTCATAAACTTAATTAAAACATTATGAGTTTTTTTCTGATTATTTTTTAGCCCATCAGCTATCATTAGTGTTAGGGTACTTAATGGGTAGCCCAAGACAATTCTTCCAATGTGGCCCAGGGAAGCCAGAAGATTGGACACCCCTGCTGTAGTTTGTGCTCACTAGGTTTGCTTCCTGACATCTAGATTGCCTGGAGAAGAGTCCTAATGAGAGAGAGATTTCCCTAGAGGAGCTGAGCAGACTTCCTAAAGAGGAAGGAGTTTAATCTACCTTTAATCTGTGAATGTAGAATTTAGGTGGGGAGACTGTATATTAGGGTTCTGTAGAGGAACAGAACTAATAGGATAGATGTGTATATGAAGGGGAGTTTAGGCTGGGCACAGTGGCTCACACCTATAATCCCAGCACTTTGGGAGGCCCAAGTGGGTGGATCACTTTGAGGCCAGGAGTTCAACACCAGCCTGGCCAACATGAAACCCTATCTCTACTAAAAATACAAAAATTAGCCGGGCATGGTGGCATGCACCTGTAATCCCAGGATTACAGGAGAGGCTGAGGCAGGAGAAATCGCTTGAACCCGGGGGGCGGAGATTGCAGTGAGCCAAGATTGAGCCATTGCACTCCAGCCTGGGCAGCAGAGCAAGACTCTGTCTCAAAAAAAAAAAAAAAAAAAAGAGTGGGGGAGTTTATTAAGGAATATTGACTCACACAATCAAAAGGCGAAGTCCCACAATAGACCATCTGCAAGCTGAGGAGGAGCAAGGAAGTCAGCCCATGTCCCAAAACCTCAAAAGTGGGGAAGCCAACAGTGCAGCCTTCGGTGTGGCCGAAGGCCCAACAGCTCCTGGCAAACCACTGGTGTAAGTCCAAGAGTCTAAAAGCTGAAGAACTTGGAGTCCAATGTTCCAGGGCAGGAAGCATCCAGCACGGGAGAAAGATGAAGGCCAGAAGACTCAGCAAGTGAAGTCTTTCCACGTTCCGCCTGCATTTATCCTAGCCATGCTGAGAGCAGATTAAATGGTGCCCACCCAGATTGAGGGTGGGTCTACCTCTCCCAGTCCACTGACTCAAATGTTAAATCTCCTTTGGCAACACCCTCACAGACACACTCAGGAACAATACTTTGCATCCTTCAATCCAATCAAGTTGACACTCAGTCATCACAGAGGGAGGTAGCTGGCAAGATGGCCAAATAGGAACAGCTCTGGTCTGCAGCTCCCAGCGAGATCAACGCAGAAGGCAGGTGATTCCTGCATTTCCAACTGAGCCTCCTCTAGTGATACCCAGGCAAGCAGGGTGTGGAGTGGACCTCCAGCAGACTCCAGCAGACCTGCAGCAGAGGGGCCTGACTGTTAGAAGGAAAACTAACAAACAGGAATAGTATCAACATCACCAACATCAAAGACCGAAGGTAGATAAATCCACGAAGATGGAGAGAAACCAGCGCAAAAAGGCTGAAAACTCCAAAAACCAGAACACCTCTTCTCTTCCAAAGGGTCACAACTCCTCACCAGCAAGGGAACAAAACTGGACGGAGAATGAGTTTGATGAATTGACAGAAGTAGGCTTCAGAAGGCAGGTAAAGACAAACTCCTCCGAGCTAAAGGAGCTTCATGTTGTATTTATGTTTAGAGAAGAACATAAATGACCTGATGGCGCTGAAAAACACAGCACAGGAACTTCATGAAGCATACACAAGTATCAATAGCCGAATCGATCAAGTGGAAGAAAGGATATCAGAGATTGAAGATCAACTCAATGAAATAAAGCAGGAAGACAAGATTAGAGAAAAAAAGAGTGAAAAGAAATGAACAAAGCCTCCAAGAAATATGGGACTATGTGAAAAGACCAAATCTACATTTGATTGGTGTACCTGAAAGCGACGGGGAGAATGGAACCAAGTTGGAAAACACTCTTCAAGATATTATCCAGGAGAACTTCCCCAACCTAGCAAGGCAGACCAACATTCAAATTCAGGAAATATAGAGAACACCACAAAGATATTCCTCGAGAAGAGCAACCCCAAGAAACATAATTGTCAGATTCACCAAGGTTGAAATGAAAAAAATGTTAAGGGCAGCCAGAGAGAAAGGTCGGGTTACCCACAAAGGGAAGCCCATCAGACTAACAGTGGATCTCTCAGCAGAAACCCTACAAGCCAGAAGAGAGTGGGGGCCAATATTCAACATTCTTAAAGAAATGGCAAAGACTTGGAACTAACCCAAATGCCCATCAATGATAGACTAGATAAGGAAAATGTGGCACATATACACCATGGAATACTATGCAGCCATAAAAAAGGATCAGTTCATGTCCTTTGCAGGGACATGGATGAAGCTGGAAACCATCATTCTCAGCAAACTAACACAGGAACAGAAAACCAAACACTGCATGTTCTCACTGCTAAGTGGGAGTTGAACAATGAGAACACATGGACACAGGGAGGGGAACATCACACACCGGGGCCTGCTGGGGGGTGAGGGGTTGGGGGAGGGATAGCATTGGGAGAAATACCTAATGTAGATGACGGGTTGATGGGTGCAGCAAACCACCATGGCACATGTATACCTATGTAACAAACCTGCGCGTTCTGCACATGTACCCCAGAACTTAAAGTATAATAATAAAAAAAATCATCACAGAGACAGACTTTTATTTAGAAGAGAGGCAGGAACAATCGCCTAGAGATTACTGTTCAGAAGTTTGTGTTTGTACATCCCTTAAACTCTGTGTTCTCAACTTGGCCTGTGCATAATAAAGGAGTTAATTATGACTGCCTGTCACTAATAATAAGGGAAATGCAAATCAAAACCAGAATGAGATACCACCTCATACCATTAGGATGGCTACTATCAAAAAACCAGTCACCTGTAGTCCTAGCTACTCAGGAGGCTGAGGCAGGAGGATCGCTTGGCCCAGGAGTTTGAGGTTACAGTGAGCTATGATCACGCCACTGCACTCCAGCCTGAGCAACAGAGCAATACCTGTCTCTAAAACAAACAAACAAAAAAAATGTTGGCAAGGATATAAAGAAATTGTAACCCTTGTGTACCGTTGGTGGAAATGTAAATTGGTGTAGCCACCATAGAAAACAGTCTAGAATTGCCTCAAAAAATTAAAAATCAAATTACCATAGAGTCCACCAATTCCACTTTAGGGTATATGTTCAAAGGAATTGAAAGCAGGGACTTGAAAAGATACTTGTACACTCATGTTCATAGTAGCATTATTCACAATAGCCAAAAAGTAGAAGCAACCCAAGTGTCCATCCACGGATGAACAGATAAACAAAATGTGGTATATACCTACAATGGGACATTATTCAGCCTTAAAGAGGAAGAAAGTTCATTCTGCAACATGGAAGAACCTTGAGGACATGATGCTAAGTGAAATAAGCCAGTCACAAAAACAAATACTGTATGATTCCACTTATATTAGGTACCTAGAGTAGTCAAATTCATAGGAACAGAAAGAAGAAAGGTGGTTGCCAGGGGCTGGGGAGAAGGGGGATTGGGGTGTTGTTTAATGGGTATAGAGTTTCAGTTTTGCAAGATGAAAAGAGTTCTAGAAATTGGTTGCACAACAATGTGAATGCACTTAACAATAATGAATATATATTTTAAAATGATTAAGCTGAGCACAGTGGTTTGCATCTTAGTCCCAGCCACTCAGGAGGCTGAGGCAGGAGGATCGTTTGAGCCCAGAAGTTCAAGGCTGCAGTGTGCTATGATCCTGTATGTGTATAGCTGCTGCACTCCAGTCTGGGCAGTGTAGTGAGATCCTCATCTCTTAAAAAATATATAAATAAATAAAAAGAATGGTAAATTTTATGTGTATTTTACTACAATTATTATTTGTTAATACCAGTGCCTGGGCCCCAAACCTGTATTGGTACATCTCCACTGACACCACCTTGTATTTGTTCTTTCATGTGGGTCCTGAAAATATGAATACAGCTGAATAGAGTATGACTCATGGTGGAAAAGTTGAGAGATGGTCTTCAGCCACTTTTGGGTGATAGTTTAAGCACATTCGGCTAAACCTTGCCTACAGCATCAGTGATGATTTGTATTAATATATTCCAATGAGTGCTTCCTAAATAATGACTTCCAGCTGGGAAAATCTCATTAAGATGTGTTGGCTCCATCCGACATCCAGGCTCAGAAATGATCCATTTGGTCTAAACCTTCCAGCTTATCGTGCCTGCTCCTGGCTTTGTGACCAGTAGATGTGTCAGAGGCGTTTCTGAACTCCTACTAAAGGGAATAATTCCTAGATTTGGGCTGCGTAAGAGCTTACAGAGCGATAATGGCCCATCTTTCACAGCGACAGTTACCCAAAACATATCTTCAGCCCTAGGAATTCAGTACCGCCTTCACTCGGCATGGAGACCATAGTCTTAGGGAAAGTAGAAAGTGTTAATCAAACCCTAAAAAGGACTCTTTCTAAACTATGCCAAGAAACATCAGAAACCTGGCTGTCTTTATTACCTACAGCTTTATTACAGGCTAGAATGGCCCCTAAGGGAAATCTGCAGCTCAGCCATTTTGAAATAATGTATGGAAGGCTTTTCGTAACTACTGACTTCCTAATAGATATAGATACTTTCAAGCTACAGAATTGTGTGATCAACTTAGGGCAAGTGCAAAAGGCACACCTTGAATATGGAAATCGAAGACTCCCTTCCCCCACTAAGGAAGAGAATCTTGTTAAAACTCAGCCGGGAGATTGGGTCCTATTATAAACTTGGAAGGAAGGATCCCCAGCAGATCAACTTTCCCCAAAATGGAAGGGACCCTATCAAATTCTCCTTAGTGCCCCAACTGCAGTTAAACTTCTGGGAATAAGCAGCTGAGTTCACCTATCTTGAATTAAACCTGTCTCTTATGAAGTCCCATAGGCCGACAGAACACAAGAGACTGATTCTGTTTATTCCTGTGAGCCAATCAGTGACCTCCGACTACTGTTCAGAAGATATGAAAGGGATGGGTAACATAAAGATATGGATTGGCATTCTACTTTTGGGTTTAAGTTGGAATCATGGAGCGAGTAACTTATTTACTGAGTGGGCACAGACTTTGTCTTCTCTATATAATCAAACTATTGGGTATGTGGACATTTTAACAGCAGCCCAAGGGGGACTTTATGCTTTGATCAAAACCAAATGTGTGTATGTTCCAGACTATTCACATAATATTACCCAGGCTGTGAAAGCTTTAGACACTCATATCTGCCATTGATGTAATGTCAGTCGACCCTATATCGGCTTGGTTCCAACAACTGCTCAGTTCTTGGACAGCCTTCCTGTTTAGTTTACTTGGAATGATTTTACTTATTTTGCTTTGCTGTTGTGGAATATATTGCGGTTGTATTCTTTATGTAGGAATGCAAGATAAGCTCATTCAATGCTTTCTTAAATTGGACACGTATTAATCTTCCAGATATCACCTTTTGTCAGAACTTGGAGTTATGAATGACCTTCACCATACCAATGCTCTCTGACTGAGCTTCGCTCTACCCTAAATGCAAGAGACCCTAACATTTAAGCAGGAATATCATTGCCCCTATTCAGCCTGAAGTTACAGAATATGGATCTTGGTCCTTCTGCAACCCTTAGGATTAAGGGTCCTCTTGTAAAGGGAGGGGGGAGATATGTCAGAGGTGTTTGAACCAGAGCGACTCCATTTTGAATGAGGGCTAGGAAAATGAGGCTGGGGCTTGCTGGGTTGCATTCCCAGAAACTCAGGCATTCCTAGCCTCTAGATGTTTAAGGTTAAGGGAACAAATTAGTAATGTTTACTAAGCACTCCCAGACTTGGGAGTTTCCAGATATCCCGATATCTGGAGAACAAAGGCATTCCTAATTTTGCTTTAAAGATAATAATATTGATTCTTGCAAAATACAGTAATTAAGTCCGGGCGCAGTGGCTCACGCCTGTAATCCCAGCACTTTGTGAGGCCTAGGTGGGCGGATCACCTGAGGTCAGGAGTTTGAGACCAGCCTGGCCAACAAGGCGAAATCCTGTCTCTACTAAAAATACAAAAATTAGCTGGATGTGGTGGTGGGTGCCTGTAATCCCAGCTACTCAGGAGGCTGAGACAATAGAATCACTTGGACCTGGGAGGCGGAAGTTGCAGTGAACTAAGATTGCGCCACTACACTCCAGCCTAGACAACAGAGCAAGACTCCAACTCACTCTCACTCTCTCTCTCTCTCTATATATATATATACACACACACACATATACATACATATATACACACACATATATATACACATATATACACACACACATATATATACACACATATATATAAAGAAAATTAATCCTTTATCACAAACCCTTGTAGCAGAACACATCTCCCCATATATACAAGCATTGTACCTAGCATGGACACGTTCCTCCTCTTACTTTCAGGAGCACCCTACTCTGTCTATGTAGTAGTTGTACTTTCACCACTTTACTTTCTTAATAAACTTGCTTTTACTTTGCACTGCGGACTCACCCAGAATTCTTTCTTGAGCAAAATCCAAGAACACTCTCTTGGGGTCTGGATTGGGACCCCTTTCCTGTAACAGATGCAGCTACAGAATTTAGGGTCTGAAGGGTTTTTTTTTTTTTAATGTTTTTCAAACAAAATTAATGAAATGCTTTCTCCCCCTTCAAACATACCTTAAACATAACTTCTGGGCAGCTTTCCTGACTTCCCAGTTTGGGTTCTATATCCTCCCTCTGTTCTTCAGTACATGTTCATCTTTGTTACTCCATCTTGTAATGGTCCCGTCTCCCACTTGAGAAGAGGGGCACTGTCTTACTCATCTTTAGATGCTCACTTTCTAACATGCCTGCATAGTACATGTTCAGTAAATTTTCTTTTCTTTTCTTTTCTTTTCTTTTTTTTTTTTTTTTTTTGAGATAGAGTCTTGCTCTATTTCCCAGGCTGGAGTGCAGTGGCACAGTCTCGACTCACTGCAACCTCCATTTCCCAGATTCAAGTGATTCTCCTGCCTCAGCCTCCCGAGTAGCTGGGATTACAGGTGCCCACCACCACGCCCGGCTAATTTTTTGTATTTTTAGTAGAGATGGGGTTTCACCATGTTGGCCAGGCTGGTCTCAAACTCCTGACCCCGTGGCCCGCCCACCTCGGCCTCTCAAGTTGCTGGGATTACAGGCATGAGCCACCGTGCCCAGCCCATGTTCAGTAAATTTTCACTGATTGAATGAAGACGAAAAAATAGATATTTACTCTCAGTTTCTTTCTGTCTGGTGGTAGAGACAAATGTAAACAAATGCAATATTCTGCACTAGTGGAAAAATATGTGTTATAATATGGATACAGAGAAGGTTGTGATCACTTTCTTGAGGTAGGAGGGGAAGGGAGAAGGCTTCAGTGACCGTAGAATGAATTTTTAAAGGATGATTAGTTCACAAGTTAGATTTTTTTAAGTGCTAAACTGCCAAGATACATTTTTTTATTGATATAGTATCATTTCAATACTTAAAAATCTTAAGTCTGAGTCATTTATATCCTGAGTCATACTCAAAGAGTTACATGGTACTTGAAAATTTATTTTTTTTTCTTTTTCTTTTTTTTTTTTTTTTTTTGAGATGGAGTCTCACTCTGTCACCCAGGCTGGAGTGCAGTGGCACAATATCCGCTCACCACAACTTCCACCTCCTGGGTTCAAGCGATTCTCGTGCCTCGGCCTCCCAAGCAGCTGGGATTACAGGCACACACCACCACGCCTGGCTAATTTTTGTATTTTTGTAGAGACGGGGTTTCACCATGTTGGCCAGGCTGGTCTCAAATGCCTGACCTCAAGTGATCCACCTCAGCTTCCCAAAGTGCTGGGATTACAGGCGTGAGCCACCGCGCCCGGCCTATATCTTCCGGAATATACATCATATCATGAAATTTATGCTCTTTTTATGAAATCCATACTCTTATAAATTCAGCATCCAACTGTTAAATGCATCCAGTCTGAGAAAGAGTTGTCTATGCTAGACATCTCATGAAATCTTCATCTTGGTATTATTGTCTCCACTGCACAAATGAAGAAACAACTCAAGTGCTGGGTAAATTTCCCAAGGTTACACAGCAAGACAACTGGATTTGAACCCAAATCTGACACCACATCATGCAGTTCCAAATTAAATGAAGTTGAGACTAGAGCTTAAATTATCTGAATTTTAGTCCAAAGGATTGGAGATGAATCCATTTCTTCACTATTTCCTTTCTCCAAAACTAAAAAACATCAGATGCAAATGGAACTCTTACTGAAGTTAAATGGCAATCTCTAAATGATGAATAATCTCTAAATAAATAATAAATAAATAAAATAACCTCTAAATCAAAAAATATTCTTTGAGCCAGGCATAGTGGCTCACAACTATAATCCCAGTGCTTTGGGAGGCCAAGGCAGAAGGATCACTTGAGGCCATGAGTTTGAGACCAGCCTGGGCAACATAGGAAGACAGTCTCTACAAAAAATAAAAATAAGAAAATTAGCTGGGCATGGTGGCATGTGCCTATAGTCTCAGCTACTTGAGAGTCTGAAGGTGGGAGGATCACTTGAGCCCAGGAGTTCGAGACTGCAGTGAGCTATGATTGTACTACTGCAGTCCATTCTGGACAACAGAGCAAGAGCCTGTCTCAAAAAGAAAAAAGAAAAAGAAAATTGAAGAGTAAGGAGCTCCAAGGGCCTGTTCTTGCATAGAAATATGAAAAAATGAGCAAAGATGGTCAGAATCAACTTTGTCAGTCTCTAGAAAATAGTCAAAGATTCAAACAAATGCTGAATCAAGAAAATGATGACTTAAGTGCAGTAGGAAAGCTTTGTGGTATTTTCCCTTAGCCTCACCCCCACCAACTTTAGTGTGGCAGGAGTCTGAAAGATGGCAGTCTGTGTTCTCAGTGTGAGTACCTGGTCCCAGAGAGGGCAGAGCAGACCTTGTTCTCAGAAAATTGTGTTTATCTGTTTGATTCGTCTGCAGAGGGGATAAGAGTGAAGGAATGACACAAGAGGATTGCCTTAGTTTTGACTAACTCAGAACTCTCAGGGCATAAAAGCAGCTATGCACAGTGTATTCCTTGAAAACATTGAAAGGCAAATAAACAAGCTGCTGCTGCTTGGGGCAAAACATTGCATTTGGGTCAATAAATAGACATGTCAAAAGTCTGGGAGGAAGGCCAGACGTGGTGGCTCACCCCTGTAATCCCAGCACTTTGGAAGTTCAAGGGCAGATCACTTGAGGTGAGGAGTTCAAGACCAGCCTAGACAACATGGTGAAACCCCCGTCTCTACTAAAAATACAAAAATTAGCCGGGCGTGGTGGTGCGTGGCTGTAATCCCAGTTACTTAGGAGGCTGAGGCAGGAGAATCGCTTGAACCTGGGAGGCAGAGGTTGCAGTGAGCCTAGATCGCGCCATTGCACTCTAGCCTGGGGGACAAGAGGGAAACTCCGTCTCAAAAAAAAAAAAGTCTGGGAGGAAAAGGTGAGAAGAGAGTTACTTTGGGGAGCCTTGAGGAACAAGCTTCATATACCCAGCAAGATGACACATGCTCAGAAAAGACTTGAGTGGTCTCTAAGCTTTCAGCTCCAGCTGATCTTTATGCTCAGTGCAAGCAGTAAGTGAAGTCTAAAAGTTTGTAAACTGACTGGATAAGCGTTGAAGGTGTGCACCAACACAGGGCTAATCTACAAAATGTTTGTAGGTGTTTTTTTTTTTGTCTCCAGATGTTTAAGGAAATTTCTGGTAAATTGCTAGCTCACCACTAAGCTCGTGGGACAGAGACTTCAGTGTCCATGACAAAGAATATAGTCTTCCCAAAAATAGTTTAGAAACATCACTAAGCAAAAACTACAACCCACAATGAGCAGCAACAAAGAACCCTGAGGAATGAGGAGAATCTAATTTCCAGAGTTGCCGCATTATAATATTCAAATTTTCCAGTTTTGAACAAAAAATTTATGAGACATGTAAAGAAACAAGAAAGTTTGGCCCCTTCACAGGGGAAAAGATGAACAGAAACTATACCTCAGGAAGCCCACACACTGGACTTACTAGAAATAGACATTACATCATATATTTAAACTATGTTTAGAGAGCTAAAGAAAACCATGTCCAATAAACTAAATAAAATACAAGTAAACAATGTCTCACCAAATACAGAATATCAATAGAGAGATGGATGTAAAAAACAACCACACAGAAATTCTTGAGCTGAAAAATACAATAATAAAAAAATCCTTAGAGGGTTTCTAAAGCATATTTGAGAAAGCAGAAGAAAGAAATAGCAAACAAGAATGATCTTTTGTATTTCTTTGTTCACAAACTAGAAAATCTAGAGGAGATGGATAAATTCCTAGAAATATATAACCTTCCTAGATTAAATCATGAAGAAGTAGAAACTCTGAGCAGACCAATAACAAGTAGTGAGATTGAAACAGTAATTTAAAAATTGCCAACAAAGGCCAGGCGAGGTGGCTCACACCTGTAATCCCAGCACTTTGGGAGGCCAAGATGGGCGGATCACGAGGTCAGGAGATCGAGACCATCCTGGCTAACACGGTGAAACCCCGTCTCTACTAAAAATACAAAAAATTAGCTGGGCGTGGTGGCGGGCACCTGTAGTCCCAGCTACTCAGTAGGCTGAGGCAGGAGAATGGCGTGAACCTGGGGGAGGCGGAGCTGAGCAGAGATCATGCCACTGCACTCCAGCCTGGGTGACAGAGCAAGACTCCATCTCAAAAAAAAAAAAAAAAAAAAAAATGCCAACAAAAAAAGTCCAGGACCAGATGGAGTCACAGCTGAATTCTATCAGACATTCAAAGAATTGCTACCAGTCCTACTGAAACTATTTCAAAAGATAGAGAAAGAGGGAATCTTCCCTAACTCATTCTATGAAGCCAGTATCACCCAATACCAAAACCAGGAAAGGACATAACAAAAAAAGAAAACTACAGAAGAATATCCCTGATGAAAATAGATGCGAAAATCCACAACAAAATACTAGCTAATTGAATCCAACAGCATATCAAAAAGATAATACATCGGCTGGGCACAGTGGCTCACGCCTATAATCCTGGCACTTTGGGAGGCCCAGGCGGGCAGATCACGAGGTCAGGAGATTGAGACCAGCCTGGCTAACACAGTGAAACCCCGTCTCTATTACAAATACAAAAAAAAAAAAAAAATACACACACAAAAAAATTTAGCTAGGCGTGGAGGCATGCGCCTGTAATCCTAGCTACTTTGGAGGCTGAGGCAAGAGAATCGCTTGAACCCAGGAGCCAGAGGTTGCAGTGAGCCAAGATCGCACTACTGCACTCCAGCCTGGGCGACAGAGTGAGACTCAGTCTCAAAAAAAAAAAAAAAAAAAAAAAGCTTAGGCTGGGCACGGTGGCTCCCACCTGTAATCCCAGCACTTTAGGACGCCAAGGCGGATGGATCACCTGAAGTCAAGAGTTTGAAACCAGCATGGCCAACATGGTGAAACTCTGTCTCTACTAAAAATACAAAAATTAGGCCTGGCGCGGTGGCTCATGCCTGTAATCCCAGCACTTTGGGATGCCGAGGCAGATAGATCACAAGGTCAGGAGATTCGAGACCATCCTGGCTAACACGGTGAAACCCCATCTCTACTAAAAAAAATACGAAAAAAATTAGCCAGGCGTGGTGACGGGTGCCTGTAGTCCCAGCTACTAGGGAGGCTGAGGCAGGAGAATGGTGTGAACCCGGGAGGCAGAGCTTGCAGTGAGCCGAGATCAGGCCACTGCACTCCAGCCTGGGCCACAGAGCGAGACTCTGTCTCAAAAAAACAAACAAACAAACACACACACACACACAAAAAAGACAAAAATAATTAGCAGGGAGTGCTGGTGCATGCCTGTAATCCCAGCTACTCAGGAGGCTGAAGCAGGAGAATCACCTGAACCCATGAGGCAAATGTTGCAGTGAGCTGAGGTCGTGCCACTGCACTCCAGCACAGGCAACAGAGTAAGACTCCATCTCAAAAAAAAAAAAAAATCATAAGATCATGTCAATAGATGCAGCAAAAGCATTTGACAAAATTCAACATCACTTTATGATAAAAACCCTCAGCAAAATTGGCATAGAAGGGCCATACCTCAAGGTAGTAAAAGCCATCTATGACAAACATACTTCCAATACCATACTGAACAGGGAAAAGTTTAAAGCATTCCCCCTGAGAACTGGAACAAGGCAAAGATGACCACTGTAGCCACTTCTACTAGTATGGAAGTCCTGGCCAGAGTGATCAGACAAGAGAAAGAAATAAAGGGCATCCAAATAGATAAAGAGGAAGTCAAACTCGCTGTTTGACAATGATAAAATTGTATACCTAGAAAACCGTAAAGACTCATCCAAAAAGCTCCTAGATCTGGTAAGTGAATTCAGTAAAGTTTCAGGACACAAAATCAATATATGCAAATCAGTAGCACTGCTGTACACCAATGATGACCAAGCTGAGAATCAAATAAAGAACTCAACCCCTTTGACAATAGCTCCAAATAAAAATACTTAGGAATATACTACCTAGGAATACAGCTTACAAGGGATGTGAAGGACCTCTTCAAGGAGAACTACAAACCACTGCTCAATGAAATAAAAGAGGATACAAACAAATGGAAGAACATTCCATGCTCATGGGTAGGAAGAATCAATATCATGAAAATGGCCATACTGCCCAAGGTAATTTATAGATTCAATGCCATCCCCATCAAGCTACCAATGACTTTCTTCACAGAATTGGAAAAAACTACTTTAAAGTTCATATGGAACCAAAAAAGACCCCGCATCACCAAGTCAATCCTAAGCCAAAAGAACAAAGCTGGAGGCGTCACGCTACCTGACTTCAAACTATACTACAAGGCTACAGTAACCAAAATAGCATGGTACTGGTACCAAAACAGAGATATAGAACAATGGAACAGAACCGAGGCCTCAGAAATAACACCACATATCTACAACCATCTGATCTTTGACAAATCTGACAAAAACAAGCGATGGGGAAAGGATTCCCTATTTAATAAATGGTGCTGGGAAAACTGGCTAGCCATATGTAGAAAGCTGAAACTGGATCCCTTCCTTACACGTTATACAAAAATTAATTGAAGATGGATTAAAGACTTAAATGTTAGACCTAAAACCATAAAAACCCCAGAAGAAAACCTAGGCATTACCATTCAGGACATAGGCATGGGCAAGGACTTCATGTCTAAAACACCAAAAGCAATGGCAACAGAAGCCAAAATTGACAAATGGGATCTAATTAAACTAAAGACCTTCTGCACAGCAAAAGAAACCACCATCAGAGTGAACAGGCAACCTACAGAATGGGAGAAAATTTTTGCAACCTACTCATCTGACAAAGGGCTAATATCCAGAATCTACAATGAACTCAAACAAATTTACAAGAAAAAAAAAACAACCCCATCAACAAGTGGACGAAGAATATGAACAGACACTTCTCAAAAGAAGACATTTATGCAGCCAAAAAACACATGAAAAAATGCTCATCATCACTGGCCATCAGAGAAATGCAAATCAAAACCACAATGAGATACCATCTCATGCCAGTTAGAATGGTGATCATTAAAAAGTCAGGAAACAACAGGTGCTGGAGAGGATGTGGAGAAATAGGAACACTTTTACACTGTTGGTGGGACTGTAAACTAGTTCAACCATTGTGGAAGTCGGTGTGGCGATTCCTCAGGGATCTAGAACTAGAAATACCATTTGACCCAGCCATCCCATTACTGGGTATATACCCAAAGGATTATAAATCATGCTGCTATAATGACACATGCACACGTATGTTTATTGCGGCACTATTCACAATAGCAAAGACTTGGAACCAACCCAAATGTCCAACAATGATAGACTGGATTAAGAAAATGTGGCACATATACACCATGGAATACTATGCAGCCATAAAAAATGATGAGTTCATGTCCTTTGTAGGGAGATGGATGAAGCTGGAAACCATCATTCTCAGCAAACTATCGCAAGGACAAAAAACCAAACACCGCATGTTCTCACTCATAGGTGGGAATTGAACAATGAGAACACATGGACACAGGAAGGGGAACATCACACACCGGGGACCGTTGTGGGGTGGGGGGAGTGGGGAGGGATAGCTTTAGGAGATATACCTAATGCTAAATGACGAGTTAATGGGTGCAGCACACCAGCATGGCACATGTATGCATATGTAACATACCTGCACGTTGTGCATATGTACCCTAAAACTTAAAGTATAATAATTAAAAAAATACTTAGGAATATACTTAACAAAGGAGGCAAAAGATCTCTACAAGGAAAACTACAATACACTGCTGACAAAACAAGATGACACAAACAAATGGAAACACATCCCATGCTCACGAATGAGTAGAACAAATATAGTGAAAATGGCCAATATTTTGAAATAATTGCCAAAAGCAATCTACATATTCAATGCAATTTCCATCAAAATTCCATCATCATTCTTCACAGAATTTTTTAAAAAACCCTAAAATTCATATGGAACTAAAAAAAGAGCCCACATAGCCAAAGCAATACCAAATAAAAAGAACAAATCTGGAGGCATCACATTACCTGACTTCAAACCATACTACGAGGCTATAGTTACCAAAACAGCATGGCAATGGTATAAAAATAGGCATGTATGCCAGGCGTGGTGGCTCACACATGTAATCCCAGCACTTTGGGAAGCTGAGGCAGGCAGATCATTTGAGGTCAGGAGTTTGAGACCAACCTGACCAACATGATGAAACCCCCTCTCTACTAAAATACAAAACTTAGCCGGGCATGGTGGCAGGTGCCTCTAATCTCAGCTACTTGGGAGGCTGAGGCAGGAGAATCGCTTGAAACCAGGAGGCAGAAGTTGCAGTGAGCCACGATCTCACCATTGCACTCCAGCCTGGACGACAGAGTGAGACTCCACCAAAAAAAAATAAAAAAGGCATGTAGGCCAATGGAACAGAATAGAGAGCCCAGAAATAAAGCCAAATGCTTATAGCCAACTTATTTTTGACAAAGCAAACAAAAACATAAAGTGGGGAAAGGACACCCTATTCAACAAATGGTGCTGGGATAATTGGCAAGCCACATGCAGAAGAATGAAACTGGATCCTCATCTTTCATCTTATACAAAAATCAACTCAAGATAGATCAAAAATTTAAATATAAGACCTGAAACCATAAAAATTCTAGAAGATAACATCAGAAAAACTCTTCTAGACATTGGCTTAGACAAATAATTCATGACCAAGAACTCAAAAGCAAATGTGACAAAAACAAAAGTAAATAGATGGGACCTAAAAAGCTTCTGCACAGCAAAACAAACAATCAGCAGAGTAAACAGACAACCCAGAGTGGAAGAAAATATTCACAAAGGCCCAATATCTAGAATCTACAAGGAATTCAAATCAGCAAGAAAAAAAACCAATAATCCCGTCAAAAAGTGGGCCAAGGACATGAATAGAGAATTCCCAAAAGAAGATATACAAATGGCCAACAAACACATGAAAAAATGGTCAACATCACTAATTATCAGGGAAATGCAAATTCAAGCCACAATGAGATACCACCTTACTCCTGCAAGAATGGCCATAATTGAAAAGTCAGAAAACAATAGATGTTGGCATGGATGTGGTGAAAGGGAACACTTTTACACTGCTGGTGGGAATGTAAACTAGTACAACCAGTACGGAAAACAGTATGGAGATTCCTTAAAGAACTAAAAGCAGAATTACCATTCTATCCGCAATCCCACTACTGCGTATCTACCCAAAGGAAAAGAAGTCATTATATGGAAAAGACACTTGCACGCACGTTTATAGCAGCACAATTCACAACTACAAAAATATGGAACCAGACTAATGCACATTGACCAATGAGTGGATAAAGGAAATGTGATATATATACACCATGGAATACTACTTAGCCATAAAAAGGAATGAAATAACAGCATTCTGGCTGGGCACAGTGGCTTATGCCTGTAATCTCAACACTTTGGGAGGCCAAGAGGGCAGATCGCTTGAGCTCAGGAGTTTGAGACCAGCCCGGACAACATGGCAAAACCCCATCGCTAATAAAAAT
Organism: Homo sapiens; assembly: GCF_000001405.40. NCBI lineage: Eukaryota > Metazoa > Chordata > Mammalia > Primates > Hominidae > Homo > Homo sapiens. The sequence continues at coordinate 77,808,347 of NC_000023.11, read as the reverse complement.
ACAAAAATTAGCTGGGCATGGTGGTGCATGCCTGTAATCCCAGCTACTTGAGGGGCTGAGGTGGGAGAATTGCTTGAGCCTAGGAGGTCGAGGCTGCAGTGAGCAGAGATGCTGCCACTGCACTCCAGCCAGGGTGACAAAGTGAGACCCTGTCTCAGAAAAAAAGGAAAGAAGAAAGAAAAAGAAAGAAAGAGCTGGGCACGATGGCTCACGCCTGTAATCCCAGCACTTTGGGAGGCTGAGGCGGGTGGATACCTGAGGTCAGGAGTTGGAGATGAGCCTGACCAACATGGAGAAACCCCGTCTCTACTAAAAATAGAAAAAAATTAGCTGGGCGTGGTGGCACATGCCTGTAATCCCAGCTAGTTGGGAGGCTGAGGCAGGAGAATTGCTTGAACCTGGGAGGCAGAGGTTGCAGTGAGGTGAGATCGCGCCATCGCACTCCAGCCTGGGTGACAAGAGCGAAACTCCGTCTCAAAAAAAAAGGAAAAGAAAAAGAAAGAAAGAAAGAAAGAAGGAAAGAAGGAAGGAAGGGAGGGAGGGAGGAAGGAAGGAGAAAGAAAGAAAGAGAGAAAGAGAAAGAAAGAGAGAAAGAAAAAGAAAGAGAAAGAAAAAGAAAGAAAAAGAAAGAAAGAAAGAAAGAAAGAAGAAAGAAAGAAAGGCAGGCAGAAGGGCATCCACAGCAACCTGGATGGAGTTGGAAACCATTATTCTGAGGTAAGTAACTAAGGAATGGAAAACCAAATATTGTATGTTCTCACTTATAAGTGGAAGCTAAGCTAGGAGGATGCAAAGGCATAAGACTGATATAATAGACTTTGGGGACTCAGAGGAAAGGATGGGAGAGGGATGGGGGTAAAAGACTACACATTGGGTACAGTGTACACTGCTCAGATGATGGGTGCACGAAAGTCTCAGAAATCACCACTAAAGAACTTATCCATGTAACCAAAAACCACCTATTCTCACAAAACTATTAAAAAACAAAATAAATAAAAAATAAAAAGAAATAACAAACATGAATACGTCAATTGACATTATCCAGTCTAATCCCTTATCTCTCACCACACACAAAAATCAACTAAAAATGCATTCACTTTTTTTTCTTCAAGACAGAGTCTTGCTCTGTCAACCAGGCTGGAGTGCCATGGCGAGATCACAGCTCATTGCAACTTTGAACTCCTAGGCTCAAGGGATCCTCCTGCCTCAGCCTCCAGAATAGCTGGGACTACAAATGCATGCCACCACACCTAGCTACTTCACTATGTTGCCCAGGCTGGTCTCAAAGTCCTGGCCTCATGTGATCCTCGTGTCTCAGCCTCCCAAAGTGCTAGGATTACAGGTGTGAGCCACTGCGCCCGGCCGAGAAAAGGGAACTCTTATTTACTGTTGGTGGGAATGTAAATTAATGCAGCCAATATGAAAAACAGTATAGAGATTGTTCAAAAAACTAAAAATAGGCTGGGTGTGGTGGCTCACACCTATAATTCCAGCACTTTGGGAGGTCAAGGTGGGTGGATCACTTGAGGCCAGGAATTTGAGACCAGCCTGGGCAACATGACAAAACCTCATCTCTACAAAAAATACAAAAATTAGCTGGGTATGGTGGCACACACCTATAGTACCAGCTACTTGGGAGGCTGAGGCAGGAAGATTGCTTAAGCCTGGGAGGCAAAGGTTGCAGTGAGCAGAGATCATGCCATTGCACTCTAGCCTGGGCGAAAGAGTGAGACTGTCTCAAAATTAAAAAAATCTAAAAATAGAACTACCATTCTAGGCTAGGCGCAGTGGCTCACACCTGTAATCCCAGCAAATCAGGAGGCTGAGGAGGGTGGATCACTTGAGGCCAGTTTGAGACCTGCCTGGTCAACATGGTGAAACCCCATCTGTACTAAAAATACAAAAAAATTAGCCAGGCATGGTGACCCATGCCTGTAATCCGAGTTACCTGGGAGGCTGAGGCATGAGAATCACTTAAACCAAGGAGGCGAAGGTTGCATTGAGCTGAGATTGCGCCACTGCACTCCAGCCTGGGTGACAGAGCGAGACTCTGTCTCAAAAAAAAAAAAATAAATAAAAACACACACACACAAAAAAGCACTACCATTCAATTCAGCAATTCCACTATTGGGTATCTACCCAAAGGAAAATAAATCTATACATCGGCCGGGTGCCGTGGCTCACGCCTGTAATCCCAGCACTTTGGGAGGCCGAGGCGGGTGGATAACCTGAGGTCGGGAGTTCGAGACCAGCCTGACCAACATGGAGAAACCCCATCTCTACTAAAAATACAAAATTAGCCAGGCATGGTGGCGCATGCCTGTAATCCCAGCTACTCGAAAGGCTGAGGCAGGAGAATCACTTGAACCTGGGAGGCAGACGTTGCCATGAGCCGAGATCGAGCCACTGCACTGCAGCCTGGGCAACAAGAGCAAAACTTTGTCTCAAAAAAAAAAAAAAAGAAAAAAGAAAAAGAGAAAAAGAAAATAAATCTATATATCAAAAAGATACCCACAATCATATGTTTATCACAGCACTATTCACAGTAGCAAAGATATGGAATCAACCTAAGTGTCCATCAACAGATGATTGGATAAAGAAAATGTGGGGTATACGTGCACAATAGAATGCTATTCAGCCATAAAATAAATGAAATCACCGGGCACGGTGGCTCATGCCTGTAATCCTAGCACTTTGGGAGGCCGAAGCAGGTGGATCATCTGAGCTCAGGAATTTGAGACCAGCCTGAGTAACACGGTGAAAGCCCATCTCTACTAAAATACAAAAAATTAGCCAGGTGTGGCATGCGCCTGTAGTCCCAGCTACTCAGGAGTCTGAGGCAGAAGGATCGCTTGAACCCGGGTGGCGGAGGTTGCAGTGAGCCACCTGGTGACAGAGAGATACTCCATCTCCGAAAAAAAAAAAAAAAAAAAAAGAATAAAATCATGTCCTTTACAGCAACATGAATGGAACTGGAGGTCATTATCTTACATGAGACAAGCCAGGCACAGAAAGACATTTATTGCATGTTCTCACTCATAAGTGGGTCCTAAAAAATGTGTTCACATGGATGTAGAAGGTGGAAAAATAGGAAATGGGGACTGACGCTGGGCACAATGGCTCATGCCTGTAATCCCGGCACTTTGGGAGGCCGAGATGGGTGGATCACTTGAGGTAAAGAGTTCAAGACCAGCCTGGCCAACATGGTGAAACAGCGTCTCTACTAAAAGTACAAAAATTAGCCAGGCATGGTGGCACACACCTGTAATCCCAGCTACTCGGGAGGCTGAGGCATGCTTGAACCCAGGAGGCAGAAGTTGCAGTGAGCTGAGATCGTGCCTCTGCACTCCAGCCTGGGAGACAGAATGAGACTCTGTCTGAAAAAAAAGAAAAAAAAGAAAAAGAAAAAAGAAAATAGAGACTCAGAAGAGTGAGAGGGTAGAAGGAGGGAGGAGGATGAGAAATTACTTAATTACTTAATGGGAACTATGTATGTTATTCAGGTGATGGATACACTAAAAGCCCTGGCTTCACTACTACATAACCTATGCAAGTAACACAATTACACGTGTATCAAATAAGTTTATACATATGAAAAAGAAGAAAGAAATTATTCAGTCTGAGAAGCAAAATAAAAAAGAATGAAGAAAAGTGAACAGAACCTAAGAGACCTATGGGAAACCATGAAGCATACAATATACATGTAATGAGAGTCCCAGAAGGAGAGAAAAGAAAAGGCAGAAAATATATATAAATAAATAAAGTGGCTCAAATGTCATAAAAGATGTGAATATCGACATCTAAGAAGCTCAACAAACTCCAAGTAAAATAAGCACAAAGAGGTCCACACCAAGCCACGTTACAATCAAACTGTTGGAAGCCAGAGAAACAGAGAGAAAGACAGACAGAGAGAGAATCTTGAAAGTAGCAATAGAGAAGTGATTAATCATTCACAAGGGACCTTCTATAAAATTAACAGCCAATTTCTCGTTACAAATCACGAACGTTAGAAAGCAGTGGAATGACATATTTCATGTGTTGAAAGAAAAAGTCAATCAAGAATTCCATATTTGGCACAACAATCCTTCAAAAATGAAGGAAAAAATAAGACATTGCCAGATAAACAAAAGTTGAGTTTGTTTCAGGTAGCCTTGCCCTACAAGAAATGCTAAAGTGAATCCTTCATGCCTAAACAAAAAGTACACTACACTGTAGCTTGAAACCATGTGAAGAAATAAAGAACGCTAGTAAATGTAACTACATAGGTAAATATAAAAGCAAATATTGGCCTGTCGCAGTGGCTTATGCCTGTAATCCCAACACTTTGGGAAGCCGAGGCAGGTGGATCACCTGAGGTTGGGAGTTCGTAGAACAGCCTGACCAACATGGAGAAACCCTGTCTCTACTAAAAGTACAAAATTAGCTGGGCGTGGTGGTGCATGCCTGTAATCTCAGCTACTCAGGAGGCTGAGGCAGGAGAATGTCTTGAACCCGGGAGGCGGAGGTTGCAGTGAGCCGAGATCATACCATTGCACTCCAGCCTGGGCAACAAGAGCAAAACTCTGTCTCAAAAAAAAAAAAAAAAGCAAATATTATTACATTTTTGTTTTGTAACTACTCTTTAATTTCTTATATAATTTTATAGACATACATAAAACAATAATCATAAATCTATATTCATGGGCTTCCAATGCATAAAGACATAAGTCCTGACAATAACAATATAAAGGGGGAAGGACAGAGCTGCATAGGATCAGAGTTTGTATATACTACTGAAGTTACACTGCTATCAATTCAAACTAGACTGTTACAAATTTAACATGTTTATGGTAATTGCCAGGATAACCATGAAAAAAATAATTTAAAAGTATACAGAAAGACATTTATTGCACGTTTGCAGAAAAGGAAATAAGAAGGAAACCAAAATGGCACATTACAAAAGAATTACTTAAACACAAAAGTGGGCAGTAATAGAGGAAATGAAGAACGAAGTACACATAAGGCACATAGTAAACAGGCTGGGCATGGTGGCTCACACCTGTAATCCCAGCACTTTAGGATACCAAGGCGGACAGATCACTTGAGGTCAGGAGTTCAAGACCAGCCTGGCCAACACGGTGAAACTCCACCTCTACTAATAATACACAAATTAGCTGGGCGTGGTGGTGTGAGCCTGTAATCCTAGCTACTCAGGAGGCTGAGGCACAGGAATCGCTTGAACCTGGGAGGCTGAGTTTGCAGTGAGACGAGATCGCAACACTGCATTCAAGCCTTGGCAACAGAGTGAAACTGTGTCTCAAAACAATAAAAAGGACATATAGTAAACAAATAGCAAAATGGCAGAAGTCAGCCATTCCTTAACAGTCATTACTTTTAATGTGAATGAATTAAACTTCCCAATTAAAAGGCAGAGAATAATAAAATAGATTTAAAAAGCAAAACCACAATCAAACCATATGCTGTCAACAAGAGACTCACTTTTGATGGAGAGACACAAGTAGATTGAAAATGAAAGAATAAAAAAAATTCCATGCAAATAGTAATCAAAAGAGAGTGGGGTAGCTATACTAATATCAGACAAAATAGACTTGAAGTCGAAAATTGTTATAAGAGACAAAGGATATTATATATTGAAAAAATGACAACTCATCAAGAGAATATAACAGTTATAAACATAGACACACTTACCAATATTGCCCCAAAATATGCAAATCAAACATTGATCGAATAGAAGGGAGAACTAGACCATTCTGCAATAATAATTGGAGACTTCAATATCCCATTTTTGATAATGAATACAACCAGAAAGGTAAATAAGGAGATAGAAGGCTTGAACAACACTATGAGCCAACTAGACTGACAAATATATACAACACTATGAGCCAACTAGACTGACAAACATATGCAAATATATACAGACAAATATATGCAGAACACCCCAAACAACTTGAGCAAAATTTACATTTTTGTCAGGTGGCCATGGAACATTCTCCAAGTTAGACCATATGTTAAGCCATAAATAAGACTTAATAAATTTGAAAAGATGGAAATCATATGAAATATCTTCTCTGATCAGAATGGAATAAAATGTCTGTAATCCCAGCACTTTGGGAGGCTGAGGCAGGCGGATCACTTGAGGTCAGGAGTTCGAGACCAGCCTGGCCAACATGATGAAACCCCCATCTCTACTAAAAATACAAAAACTAGCCAGGCGTGGCGGCAATTGCCTGTAGTCCCAGGTACTTGGGAGGCTGAGGCAGGAGAATCGCTTTAACCCAGGAGGCAGAGGTTGCAGTGAGCCAAGATCATGCCACTGCACTCCAGCCTGAGCAACAGAGCAAGACCCTGTCACAAAAAAAAAAAAAAAGATTTCAAATCAATGACCCAACTTTACAGCTTAAGGAATTAGAAAAGAAGAGCAAAATTCAACAGCATATTAAAAGGATTACAAAGCCATGCATGGTGGCTGACACCTGTAATCCCAGGACTTTGGGAGGCTGAGGTGGATGGATCGCCTGGGGTCAGGAGTTCAAGACCAGCCTGACCAATATGGTGAAACCCTGTCTCTACTAAAAAAAAAAATACAAAAATTAGCCAGGCGTGGTGGCATGCATCTATACTCTCAGCTACTTGGAAGGCTGAGGCAGGAGAATTGCTTGAACCTGGGAGACAGAGGTTGCGGTAAGCCGAGATTGCGCCACTGCACTCCAGCCTGGGCAACAGAGTGACACTCTATCTCAAAAAACAAACAAACAAACAAACAAACAAAGGATTACACACCATAACCAAGTGGGATTTATCCCAGGAATGCAAAAGTGATACAAAAAGAAATCAATGTGATGCAACAAGGAAATAGAATGAAGGAAAAGAAATTACATGATCATCTCAATAGATGAAGAACAAAATCCAACATGTTTCATAATTAAAAAAAAAACAGAGAAGTAGGAATAGAAGGGAACCTCCTCAACCTGATAAAAGACATTTATAAAAATCTTACAATTACTACAAGGCTACAGTAACCAAAACAGCATGGTACTGGTACCAAAACAGATATATAGACCAAGGGAACAGAACAGAGGTTTTCAGAAATAACACCACACATCTGCAACCATCTGATCTTTGACAAACCTGACAAAAGCAAGCAATGGGGAAAGGATTCCCCATTTAATAAATGGTGTTGGGAAAACTGGTTAGGCATATGCAGAAAACTGAAACTGGACCCCTTCCTTACACCTTATACAAAAATTAACTCAAGATGGATAAAAGACTTAAACGTAAGACCTAAAACCATAAAAACTCTAGAAGAAAATCTAGGCAATACCATTCAGGACATAGGCATGGGCAAAGACTTCATGACTAAAAAGCAATGGCAACAGAAGCCAAAATTGACAAATGAGATCTAATTAAACTAAAGAGCTTCTGCACAGCAAAAGAAACTATCATCAGAGTGAACAGGCAACCTACAGAATGCGAGAAAATTTTTGCAATCTATCCATCTGACAAAGGGCTGATATCCCAAACCTACAAAGAACTTAGACAAATTTACAAAAAAAAAAAACAAACAACCCTATCAAAAAGTGGTGGAAGGATATGAACAGACACTTCTCAAAAGAAGACATTTATGCGGCCAACAAACATATGGAAAAAAGCTCATCATCACTGGTCATTAGAGAAATGCAAATGAAAACCACAATGAGATACCATCTCATGCCAATTAGAATGGCAATCATTAAGAAGTCAGGAAACAACAGAGGCTGGAGAGGATGTGGAGAAATAGAAACACTTTTTTTTCATTTTTTTTTTTTTCGAGACAGAGTCTTGCTTTGTCACCCAGGCTGGAGTGCAGTGGCGCAATCTTGGCTCACTGCAAGCTCCGCCTCCCAGGTTCACACCATTCTCCTGCCTCAGCCTCCCGAGCAGCTGGGACTACAGGCGCCTGCCACCATGCCCAGCTAATTTTTTGTATTTTTAGTAGAGACAGGGTTTCACCGTGTTGGCCAGGATGGTCTCGATCTCCAACCTCGTGATCCACCCGCCTCGGCCTCCCAAAGTGCTGGGATTACAGGCGTGAGCCTGGCCTAAAATAGAAACACTTTTACACTGTTGTTGGGAGTGTAAATTAGTTCAACCATTATGGAAGACAGTGTGGAGATTCCTCAAGGATCTGTAATTAGGAATACCATTTGACCCAGCAATTTATTTACTGGGTATATACCCAAAGGATTATAAATCATTCTACTATAAAGACACATGCACACATGTTTATTGCAGCACTATTCACAATAGCAAAGACTTGGAACCAACCCAAATGCCCATCAATGATAGACTGAATAAAGAAAATGTGGCACATATACACCATGGAATACTATGCAGCTATAAAAAAGGATGAGTTCATATCCTTTGCAGGGACATGGATGAAGCTGGAAACCATCATTCTCAGCAAACTAACACAAGAACAGAAAACCAAATACCGCATGTTCTCACTCATAAGTGGGAGTTGAACAATGAGAACACATGGACACAGGGAGGAGAACATCACACAATGGGGCCTGTCAGGGGGCGGGGGACTAGGGGAGGGATAGCATTAGGAGACCTAATGTAGATGACGGGTTGATGGGTGCAGCAAACCACCAGGGCACGTGTATACCGATGTAACAAACCTGCACGTTCTGCACATGTACCCCAGCACTTAAAGTATATATATATATAAAAAAAATCCTACAACTAAGATTTTGAGGTAGAAAGCTCAGAAAGCCTAACTATTGTATTGAAATCTAGGAAAGTACCTTTTAAAATAATATTGAGCTAAGATTTGTGTGGAGATAATTGCTCTCTGAATTCATATATGCTGGCAGAAAATAGGTAGCCCTGTTACTGCTTACAACGATTAAAATTATTTCATTTCTCCCATCATCTTTATAATATGTTCTCGTTATAGGAAATCTGGAAAAATGGAAAGTACAATGCAGGAAAAAATTACTCAGCCATATCACCTGAAGATATCTTTCCATTGTTGGATGTGTCCTCCAGGCCTTTTTTCTCTTATAACACATCATCTGACTTGTTTTCTTCTTCTGAACATAGCATGTGACTACCTTGACTTTGATAATTTGAAAAATGAAGCGTTATTGTAATAACTTAGTATATGTTAATGACATTTATCATTTAAATATATAATTTTCTTGATGTTCCCCCAAACTAAAAAATCTGTTATTTTGTCATAGATAGCTTCTTAAAATTCCTTATCTTGCTGTTTTCTTCTTCAGTATGTCTATGAGGTTTTTACTTCACTCTATTTGTAATTAGGATCTCTGTCTGGTTCATTTTCAAATATATCTGATCTTTTATTTTCGTTTTAGTAACTCTTGTTGAAAGATTAGATAATTTGGAGAGTAAACACCTTAAATATAAGATTTCCTTAAGTTTAGAATCTTTAAAAACTATTGCATTATTAATTGAACTTTCACTGGTTTATGAGCAGGAAACATCTGGTTTGGGGCTATCAGATTAAGTTTGTTTGATTTACTTTTTTTTTTTTTTAAGATGGAGTCTCGATCTGTCACCCAGGCTGGAGTGCAGTGGCATGATCTCGGCTCACTGCAAGCTCCGCCTCCCGGATTCAGGCCATTCTCTTGCCTCAGCCCCCCGAGTAGCTGGGACTACAGGCGCCCACCACCACGCCCGGCTAATTTTTTGTATTTTTAGTAGAGACAGGGTTTCACCAGATTGGTCCCGATTTCCTGACCTCGTGATCCACCCGCCTCGGCCTCCCAAAGTGCTGGGATTACAGGCGTGAGCCACCGCGCCCAGCCTTGATTTACTGTTAAAGATTGTGGTTAGGCATGGTGGCTCACACCTGTAATCCCAGTACTTTGGGAGGCTGAGATGGGAGGATTGCTTGAGTCCAGGAGTTTGAGACCAGCGTAGGCAACACAGTGAGACACCTTATTTATTTATTTATTTATTTATTTAAGATAGAGTCTCACTCTGTCGCCCAGGCTGGAGTGCAGTGGTGTGATCTTGGCTCACTGCAACCTCTGCCTCCCGGGTTCAAGTGATTCTTCTGCCTCAGCCTCCCGAGTAGCTGAGACTGCAGGTGCCCATCACCACGCCCCACTAATTTTTTTTGTATTTTTAGTAGAGATGGGGTTTCACCATGTTGGAAAGGCTGGTCTCGAACTCCTGACCTCAAGTGATCCGCCCGCCTTGGCTTCCCAAAGTGCTGGGATTACAGGCATGAGCCACCGCACCCAACTTGCCCTCTCTATTAAAAAAATAAAAAATAATAATAATAATAAAAACTGGTGGGGTGGTGAGTGTCTGTAGTCCCAGCTACTTGGCAGGCTGAGGCAGGAGGATTGCTTGAACAGAGGTCAGTAAGCTGTGCTTGCATCACTATACTCCAGCCTGGGCAACAGAGTGAGACTGTCTCAAAAAAAATTGCATTTGTATGGTTCATTTGTTATAACTGATATATTATTATTAACTAAAGTCCACAGTTTACTAAGAGTTCACAGTACATAAGAGTTTTTGTAGTACTTTCTATGGGTTTTGACAAATTTATAATGACATATATTCACCATTCTAGTATCAAACAGAATAGTTTCACTGCCCAAAAATTCCCTGTGGTCCACCAATTTATCAGTTTCCCTCCTTGCCATGTCCCCTCAACCCCTGGAAACCACTAATCATTTTACTGTTTCCATAGTGTTGGCTTTTCTAAAATGTTATATATTTGGAATCATACAATATGTTGCCTTTTTAGATTGTCCTTTTTTTTTTCACCTCAGCCTCTCAGGTGGCTGGGACCACAGGCATGCACCACCACACCTGGATAATTTTTGTATTTTTTTGTAGAGACAGGGTTTCTCCATGTTGCCCTGTGTGGTCTCGAACTCCTGGGCTCAAGCAATCCCTTCTGCCTGAGCCTCCCAAAGCGTTGGGATTACAGGCGTGAGCCACTGTGCTGGGACTAGGTTGGCTTCCTCATCTTAGCAATATGCATCTCAGGTTCCTCCACGTCTTTTCATGACTTGATAGCTCATTTATTTTTATTGCCAAATAATATTCCATTGTATGGATTACCACAGTTTATCCATTCATATATTGAAGGACATCTTGGTTGGTTCCAAGTTTTGGCAGTTGTTAATAAAGCTACTATAAACATTCACTTCAAGGTTTTGTGTAGATGTAAAATTTTCAACTCATTTAACCAAGGAATGCAATAGTGGGATAAATGATAAGGGTAGGTTTAGCGGCTGGGTGCAGTGGCTCACGCATGTAATCCCAGCACTTGGGAGACCAAGGCAGGTGGATCACTTGAGCTCAGGAGTTCAAGACCAGCCTGGCCAACATGGTGAAAACCTGTCTCTACTAAAGAAAAAACAAAACAAACAAACAAAAAAAAAAAAAAAAAGAGAGAGAGAGAGAGAGTACGTTTAGCATTGTAAGAACTGGCCAAACGTCTTTTCAAAGTGGCTGTACTATTTTGCATTTCATGCAGCAATGAATGAGAGCTCCTGTTCCTCTACATCCTTGTCAGCATTTTGTGTTGTCACTGTTTTGGATTTTAGCCATTCTAATAGGTATGCAGTGGTATCATATTGTTGTTTTAATTCACAATTCCCTAATGACATATGATACTGAGAAGCTATTTGCCATATGTATATCTTCTTTGGTGAGGTTTCCAAGTTTTTTGTCCATTTTTAAATTAGGTCTTTGTTTTCCTATTGTTGAGTGGGAAGATTTCTTATATTTTGGATACCAGTTCTTTATCAAATATGTGTTTTGCAAAGATTTTCTCTGTCTGTGGCTTGTGTTTTCATTCCCTTAACAATTTCTTTTGCAGAGCACAAGTTTTCCATTTTATTTTATTTTTATTTTTTTGAGGACAAGTCTCCCTCTTTCGCCCAGGTTGAAGTGCAGTGGCACCATCTTGGCTCACCACAACCTCTGCCTCCCGGGTTCAAGCGATTCTCCTGCCTCAGCCTCCCGAGTAGCTGGGATTACAGGTACGCCCTACCACGCCCAGCTAATTTTTGTATTTTTAGTAGAGATGGGGTTTCACCATTTTTGGCAGGCTGGTCTCAAACTCCCGACCTCAAGTGATCCGCTCGTCTCGGCCTCCCAAAGTGCTGAGATTACAGGCGTGAGTCACCGCGCCCGGCCAAGTTTTTCACTCTGTTGCCCAGGCTGGAGTGCAGTGGCATGAACTCGGCTCACTGCAACTTCCCCCACCCGGGTTCAAGTGATTCTCCTGCCTCAGCCTCCTGAGTAGCTGGGATTATAGGCGCCCGCCACCATGCCCAGCTAATTTTTGTATTTTTAGTAGAGATGGGGTTTTACCATGTTGGTCAGGCTGGTCTCGAACCCCTGACCTCGTGATCCGCCTGCCTCGGCTTCCCAAAGTGCTGGGATTACAGGCGTGAGCCACTGCATCTGGCCCCAAGTTTTCCATTTTAATAAAATCCAACTTATCAATTTTTTCTCTTATGGATCATACTTTTTGTGTTATACCTAAGAAGTCATTGTCAAACCCAAGGTCATCTGGATTTTATCCTGTGCTATCTTCTAGGGATTTTATAGCTTTGTGTTTTAAATTTAGATCTATGATCCATTTTGAATTAATTTTTGTGAAAAGTGTAAGGTCTATGTTTAGAGTCTTTTTTTTTTTCGTTTCTTTGTCAGAGATCAGTTGACTATATTTGTGTGGGTCTATTTCTGGTCTCTCTATTCTATCCCTTTGGTCTATTTGTCTATTCTTTCACCAATAACATTTGAATTTTTAAATTACATTCATGTTTTGAATAGGATATACACTAAGATGGTACCAACTATAAAAGGTAAAAAAGAATATATATTGAAAAGTTTCCCTCCTGTCCTCTTCCCCACCTACCAGATTATCTTCCTTAGGCAACTACTATTATCAAATTTAGTTTTAATTCTTTCAGAGTTATTTTGCCTTTTATCTTCTCTGTCTCTTATCTAACACAGATATTAAAATACTATGCATGGTGTTACGCAACTGCTTTTTTTGTTAACAATGTAACTAGGAAATCATCCCATATCTGTACATCTAGACCTGCCTCTTTAAAATGTTATTTTTATTGTGGTAAAAAAATATGTAACATTAAATTTACCCTCTTGAACATTTAAAAAAATGTCTATAAATTTATGGTGTATAAGTACAATTTTGTTACATGCATAGATTGCATAGTGGTGAAGTCAGGGCTTTTATAGTGTCCATCACCCAAATAATGTACATTATACCTTTCTTTTGTTTTTTTTTTTTTTTTTTTTTTGAGATGGAGTCTCGCTCTGTTGCCCAGGCTGGAGTGCAGTGGCGTGATCTCGGCTCACTGCAAGCTCCGCCTCCTGGGTTCACGCCATTCTCCTGCCTCAGCCTCCCGAGTAGCTGGGACTACAGGTGCCCGCCACCGCGCCTGGCTAATGTTTTGTATTTTTAGTAGAGATGGGGTTTCACCGTGGTCTCGATCTCCTGACCTCGTGATCCACCCATCTCGGCCTCCCAAAGTGCTGGGATTACAGGTGTGAGACACCACACCCGGCCCCCCGCCCTTTTTTTTTTTGAGACATGGTCTTGCTCTGTTGACCATGTTGGAGTGCAGTGGCGCCATCTCAGCTCATTGCAACCTCCGCTTCCTGGGTTCAAGCAATTCTTTCACCTCAGCCTCCTGAGTGCTGGGACTACAGGTGTGTGCCACCACACCTGGCTAATTTTTGTATTTTTTGGTACAGACAGGGTTTCGCCATGTTGGCCAGGCTGGTCTCGTACTTCTGGCCTCAAATGATCCTCCCACCTCAGCCTCCCAAAATGCTGGGATTGCAGGCATGAGCCACCAAGCCTGGTGAAAAGCTTTTTTTTTGTTTTTTATTTTTTTTGAGACAGGGTCTCACTCTATCACCCAGGCTACAGTGCAGTGGTGCAATCTTAGCTCACTGCAACCTCTGTCTCCCAAGTTCAAGAGATTCTCCAGCCTCAGCCTCCCGACTAGCTGGGACTAGAGATGTTTGCCAACACCTGTTTCCCTGCCTATTTTTGTATTTTTAATAGAGATGGGGTTTCACCATGTTGTGCAGGCTCTTCTCGAACTTCTGGCTTCAAGTGATTCGCCTGCCTGGGTCTCCCAAAGTGCTGGGATTACAGGTGTGAGTCACCATGCCTGGCCTCATTATACCTATTTTTAAGTATACAGCTTAGTGCTCTTAAGTATACTCATGTTGTTGCACAACAGATCTGTAGAATCTTTTCGTGTTGCAAAACTGAAACTCTGTATCCACTAAACACTAAATCCTCTCCGTCAACCTTTGTTAGCCACCTTTCTACTTTTTGTTTCTATGTTTCGACTACTTTAGATACTTCCAGTGGAATCATACACTATTTATCCTTTTGTGACTGGTTTATCTTCCTTAACATAGTATCTTTAAGGTATCATCCATGTTAAAAAAAAAAAGGATTTCCTTCTTTTTTTAAGGCTGCATACAATTCCAATGTATGTATACACCACGTTTTCTTTATCCATTCATCTGTCAATGGACATTTGGATTGAATCTACCTCTTGGCTATGGTAAATAATGGGATAGTGGGTCAGGCGTGGTGGATCACGCCTGTAATCCCAGCACTTTGGGAGGCTGAGGCAGGCTGATCACTTGAGGTCAGGAGTTCGAGACCAGTCTGGCCAACATGGCAAAACCCCATCTCTACTAAAAAATACAAAAATTAGCTGGGTGTGGTGGTGCATGCCTGTAATCTCAGCTACTCGGGAGGCTGAGACAGGAGAATTGCTTGAACCTGGGGGGCAGATGTTGCAGTGAGCTGAGATCATGCCACTGCACTCCATCCTGGGTGACAGAGTGAGATTCTGTCTCAAAATAAATAAATAAATAATAATGCTACAGTGAACATGTGTGTGCAGATATCTTTCTAATATACAAATTTGAATTGTTTTGGATATACACCCAGAAATAGGATTGCTGAATCACATGGTAATTCCATTTTTAACTTTTTAAAGAATCTCCACACTTTTTTCCATAATGGCTGGACCATTTTACATTCCCGCTAACAGTGCACATGGATTCTACTTTCTCCTCCATTTTGCTGACATTTACTATTTTCTGTTCTTTTGTTAGCATACATCCTAAAGGGTGAGCAGTGATATCTGATTGTGTTTTTGTTTGTTTGTTTATTTTTGAGACGGAGTTTCGGAGTTTCGCTCTGTCGTCTAGGCTGGAGTGCAGTGGCGCGATCTCGGCTCACTGCAAGCTCCGCCTCCCCCGGGTTCACACCATTCTCCTGCCTCTCCAGAGTAGCTCGGACTACAGGCACCCGCCACTACGCCTGGCTAATTTTTTGTATTTTTAGTAGAGATGGGGTTTCACCATGTTAGCCAGGATGGTCTCCATCTCCTGACCTCGCTATCCGCCCATCTTGGCCTCCCAAAGTGCTGGGATTACAGGCGGGAGCCACGGCGCCCGGCCTGATTGTGGTTTTAATTTGCATTTCTTTTATGATTAGTGATGTTGAGCATCTTTTCATATGCTTAATGGCCAATTTACATTTTCTTTAGAGAATTGTCCATTCAAGTCCTTTGCACATTTTTGAATTTTTTTTAGAAGTCCCTTTTATATTCTGAATATTAACCCATTATCAGATATACGACTTACAAATATTTTCTCTCATTTCATAGGTTGTCTTTTCACTCGGTTGATAGTTTCTTTTTACGTGAATAAGTTTTTAAGTTTGATGTAGCCTCACTTGCCTTTTTTTGCTTTTGTTGCTTGTGCTTTTGGTGTCATAGCCAAGAAATAATTGCCAAATATAATGTCCTGAAGCTTTTCGTCTATGTTTTCTTCCAGGAGTTTTATAGTTTTATGTCTTATGTTTAGTTTTTTAATCTGCTTTGAGTTAATTTTTGTATGTGGTGTCAGATAAGGGTCCAACTTCATTCTTTTACATGTGGATATCTAGTACTTCTAACACCATTTATTGAAGAAACTGTCCTTTCTCATTGTGTAGTTTTGGAATCCTTGTCAAAAATCATTTGGCCCCTGGGCAGGTGCAGTGGCTCATGCCTGTAATCCCAGCACTTTGAGAGACTGAGGTGGGTTGATCACATGAGCTCAGGAGTTCGAGACCAGCCTAGGCAACATGGTGAAACCCCACCTCTACAAAAAATGCAATGATTAGCCGGGCATGGTGGCACATACCTGTGGTCCCAGCTACTTGAGAGGCTGAGGTGGGAGGATCACTTGAGCCCAGGAGGAGGAGGCTGCAGTGAGCCATGACTGTGCCACTGCACTCCAGCCTGGGTGATAGACAGGGAGAGAGACCTTGTCGCAAAAAAAAAAAAAAAAAAAAAAGAAGAAGAAGAAGAAAATTATTTGGCCATATATGCAAGGGTTTATTATTCTGTTTCATTGGTCCATATATCTATTTTTAAGTCAGTACCACACCATCTTGTTTACTAATCAGGAAATTTGTGGCCCCCAGCTTTGCTGTTTTTTTTTGTTTGTTTTTGTTTTTTTTTTTTTTGAGATTGTTTTAGCTTTTCAGCATCCTTTGAGATCCCACGGAAATTTTAGGATGGGTTTTTCTCTGCAAAGAATGCCATTGGGATTTTGATAGGGATTGCATTGAATCTGTAGATTCCTTTGAGTAGTATGGACATTTTTACAACATTAAGTCCTCTAATTCATCAGCATGGGATACCCTTCTATTTATTTGTATCTTCTTTTATTTCTTTTAGGTATGTTTTGGAGTTTTTAGTGTGTAAGACTTTTACCTCCTTGGTTAAGTTTATTCTAAACATTTTATCCTATTTGATACTATAGTAAATGGGATTGTTTTGTTTTCTTAATTTCCTTTTTTTTTTCTTTTTTTTAGACAGGGTCTTACTCTATTGCCCAGGCTGGAGTGCAGTGATACAATCTTGGCTCACTGCAACCTCTGCCTCCCAGGTTCAAGCAATTCTCCTGCTTCAGCCTCCCAAGTAGCTGGGACTGCAAGCACATGCCACCACGCCCGGCTAATTTTTGTATTTTTAGTAGAGATGGGGTTTCACCATGATGGCCAGGCTGCTCTTGAACTCCTGACCTCATGTGATCCACCTGCCTCGGCCTCCCAAAGTGCTGGGATTACAGGCGTGAGCCACCATGCCCGGCCTTAATTTCCTTTTTGGATTGGTCATTGTTAGTACATAGAAATGCAACTGACTTTTCAAAAAAACTTATGGAGCTATATGGTATTTCCTGTGTGGATGTAACATAATTTATTTAACCAGTCTTCTGTTAAGGAGCATCTGGGTTGTTTCTAATATATATATATATATATATATATAGAGACAGTGTCTTACTATGTTTCATATATATATATATATATATATATATATATATACACATATATATATGTATATATTTATAGAGACTGTGTCTTACTGTGTTACCCAGGATGGTCTTGACCTACTGGGGTCAAGCAATCCTCCCACCTCAGCCTCCCAAAGTGCTGGGAATACAGGGGTGAGCCGCCATGGCTGGCTGGCTTTTTTTGTTTGTTTGTTTGTTTTTTCAGAGATAGGGTCTCACTATGTTGCTCAGGATGGCCTTGAACTTCTGGGCTTAAGCAATCCTCCTACCTCAGCCTCCTGAGTAGTTGGAACTACAGGCCCACACCACTGTGCCCAGCTATCCAGTGTTTTGATGTTACAAATGATGCCGCAGTGAATAATCTTGTGTACATCTCATTTTGTCCCTGTAAAGTATATCTGTTGGATAAATTCCTAGAAGTTAAATTGCTGGGTTAAATAATATATGTATTTTAAAATTTCATAAATATTGCTCAAGAATTATGATTCTGACATAAAATAGGGGTTTTGAAGCTGTTTGTTTGCTTATTTATTTATTTATTTTCAGATGGAGTCTCACTCTGTTGCCCAGGCTGGAGTGCAGTGGCATAATCTCAAGTCACTGCAACCTCTGTCTCCTGGGCTCAAGCGATGCTCCCTCCTCAGCCTCCCAAGTAGCTGGGATTACAGGCACACACCACTACGCCCAGCTAATTTTTTTGTGTGTGTATTTTTGGTAGAGACAGGCTTTCACCATGTTGGCCAGGCTGATCTTGAACTCCTGAGCTCAAGTGATCCACTCACTTTGGCCTCCCAAAGTGCTGGGATTACAGGCTTGAGCCACTGAGCCCAGCCAAAGCTGTATATTAAAAATTATGGAGTAACTATTTTCTCAGCTGATTTGCTCTCTTTCAGGTACTGTATCTCTTATTCCCTTCCAAAACAAATAAGCACATTCACAAGTTACGCATTTATGGTCAAGAGTCAGAGAAAGGTCTAGGTTGCCTTCTGTGGCAATTTGAAGAAAAATGTGAAGATGTGTACCAGTAAACTTCTTCTAAAATAGTTGATGGGAACCCGTTGATAATCATCACTGAAAGCGATACACCTATATGTATATCAGTAAAACTTTGTCGGCCATCCTTTACTAACAAAGGAATTCTTTTTCTTTCTTTCTTTTTTTTTTGAGATGGAGAGATGGAGTCTTGCTCTTGTTGCCCAGGCTGGAGTGCAGTGGTGCAATCTCGGTTCACTGCAACCTCCGCCTCCTGGGTTCAACCAATTCTCCTGCCTCAGCCTCCCCAGTAGCTGGGATTACAGGCACCCACCACCACACCCGGCTAATTTTTTATATTTTTAGTAGAGATGGGGTTTCACCATGTTGGCCAGGCTGGTCTTGAACTCCTGACCTCAGGTGATCCACCTGCCTCGGCCACCCAAAGTGCTGGGATTACAGGCATGAGCCACCGCGCCTGGCCTCTTTTTCTTTTTTTTTTAAGTAAAAAAAAAATTTTTTTTAGAGAGGGAGCCTCACTATTTTTCCCAGTTTGGTCTTGAACTACTGAATTTAACCCATCTTCCCTTCTTGGCCTTCCAAAGTTAAGAGATTACAGGCATGAGCCACCATGTTCGGCTCAGGTATTCTCTTATGCTTCACAAATATAGTGAGTTGTTATTCACAATGTATTCACAAGTTGTTATTCACAACAATATTCACAAATGTTGTTCATTTTGAAAATGCTGTGATTATTGCTGGGCATGGTGGCTCACGCCTGTAATTCAAGCACTTTGGGAGGTTATGGTGGGAGGATAGTTTGAGCTCTGGACTTTGAGACATGAGCCTGGGCAACATCGAGACCTACTCTCTAAAAAAATAAAACAAAAAGATAAAATTAGCCGGGCTGTGGTGGCTTAGGCCTGCAGTTGTAGCTACTTGGGAGGCTGAGGTGGGAGGATCACTTGAGCTTGGGAGGTCGAGGCTGCAGTGACCCATGATCACGCCATTATGCTCCAGCCTGGGAGGCCAAGTGAGGCCCTGTCTCAAAACAAAATTAAAATTTAAAAAATCTATGATTGCTTGGCATGGTGGCTCATGGCTGTAATCCCAGCACTTTTGCAGGCCGAGGCGGGTGGATTACCTGAGGTCAGGAGTTCAAGACCAGCTTGGCTAACATGGTGAAACCCCGTCTCTACTAAAAATATGAAAATTAGTTAGTCGTGGTGGTGGGTGCCTGTAATCCCAGCTACTAGGGAGGCTGAGGCAGGAAAATCGCTTGAACCTGGGAGGTAGTGGTTGCAGTGAGCCGAGATCATGCCACTGCGCTCCAGCCTGCAGCCTGGGCTACAAGAGCGAGACTCCATCTCAAAAACAAAACAAAACAAAACAAAACAAAAACAAATTGTGATTATAGTTTTATTATTAAGTTTCTTTTGTGAGACTTGTCATTTAAAGCTGTTTAGTGTTGAGAAGTCTCTCAGCAACAGCTAGTTTCTACCTTAATAATTTCAATTCATTTAAAAATAATGTGAGGCAGGAGAATAGGGTTTGGAGGCAGGGAACCTAAGGCTGAGTAAAGTTGACTTCCTAGAACTGAATCAAAAGGAAAACCCCAACTTTCCACACCTAAGTAACAAAAAGACTACTCCCTTTGCAAATCCTCTTCCTTTTCCGCTTGGCAGATGGAAAACTGAAAGTATCTCTGATTGGTTGCAGAAAGCAGATGTTTGTATAGCAGTGTAACTTTGTAACTTCACTTTAGCCTCTGATTGGTTGCTGTCCACAACCAATTAGATGCTTGCATAGGGTGTGACCCTTGTAACTTCACTTTAGCCTCTGATTGCGGGCCACTACTTTATTTACATAGGGTGTACACCAAGTAACCAATGGAAAACCTCTAGAGAGTATTTAAATCCCAGAAAATTCTGTAATGGGGGTCTTGAGCCCCTGTGCTCTGGCAGCTCCTGCAGTCTTGTGGAGTGTACTTTCATTTTCAACGTGTCTCTGCTTTTGTTGCTTCATTCTTTCCTTGCTTTGTGCATTTTGTCCAATTCCTTGTTCGAAACGCCAATAACCTGGTAACATGTTGACTATTTACTATTTTTCTCATAGTGAAGTCAGTTGAACAGCAAGCACATTTCTGTGCTGCCTTGTGATGGAGTACATCATTCAAATTCACTGCATTTACCAAGGAGAAAAAAATGACTCCTGTAAATTGTATGTTGAAATGATATTTAATGTGTACAAGACAAAATCAGTATAGCAGGTACAGAGGTCTGGTTTCTATAATTGCCAACTGAACTCAAACATTTGAAAGATATAATTGCAATGTGTACAGGCGTCTGTTGATTAAAAAGTTGCCTGAGGCCAGGCGCGGTGGCTCACCCCTGTAACTCCAGCACTTTGGGAGGTCGAGGTTGGAGGATGGCTTGAGCTTAGATGTTTGAGACCAGCCTGGGCAACAGACAGACCTACCTCATCTATACCAATACATAAATACATAATTAGCTGGGCTTGATGGCACGCGCCTGCAGTCCCAGCTGCTTGAGAGGCTGAGGTGGGAGGATTGCTTGAGCCTAGGAGGTCGAGGCTGCAGTGAACTGCGTCACGCCACTGCACTCCAGCCTGGGTGACAGAGCTAGACCCTGTCTCAGAAAAAAAAAAAAAAAAAGTTGCCTGAGCCTATCAGATTTTCAAAGTGTTTCATTCAAAAAAGGCTCCCCTCTTGCTATCCCAGTAGAAAGCAGCAACCCTGTCACCTAACCCCGACAGGAGCTCTTGCATATTTCAAGAAAAATAAATAGAATGAACTAAAGCATGCATGGCAGAATAAATTTGGAAATAAATTTCGAAGCGATTAGATTTTAGAGGACTTGTTTGTGATTAGCAGAGATTACCAATGTAAAATCAAATTATAGATCATAAAAGCGGGAAAGGCATTTACAGATCATCCAGCCAAGCTTCCTCTGTAATGAGAAGGAAGCAGATCTAAATTGATTGGTTTGTGAGCTAAACATCACATCAAATTGGGGAAATGGCCCGTGTGTGTGTGTGTGTGTGTGTGTGTGTGTGTGTGTGTGTGTGTATTCTAAGAGACACTTTATTCAATATGGAAAGAATTTTATGCAGCGTTCAAGTTGGTCTTATGTCGTCTGCACACATATACATATATATAAGTATATTATACACATATACATTTCCAAGCATGTTGGTGTGCCAAATATTATGTATAAAACATCTAGGAAAGCAAATAACTTGATGATAGCCTAGCATATAGGAAAGAAAATACTTACATAGGATGGCCATACAGATTAGTGGTTAAGAGTGTCTGGTGAATCTCGGCTCCACTACTGTGGGACTTTGTGTCTTGGTTTCCTCATCTGGAAAATGTAGGTTTGTCTACCTCAGAGAGTGTAAAGATTAAATGAGATAACCCGGATAAAGGATTAGTGTAGTGCCGAGCATATAGTAAACTCTCAATAAATGTAGGTTGCTGTTATTACTTCGTTAATATGTCAAAGAAAAAAGAGGTTGGACCAAAAGAGCATTTTCAAAATAAAGTCAAACTATGTCACTAGCACTTTCAGGTCAATTGGGACTAAATTGGACCCCCTGCGAAAAGGTGGAGGGGATCAAATGACGTCGACCGCCTTAGCAACAGGCCCCCAAAGAAGGTGAATTTCCGTAGCCAATAAGACTCTGTGCTTTGGAGGAGGTAGCCAATGGCTGACGGAAAGAGAAAGAGGGAGGACGCGCCAATTCTCCTGCCTGAGCCTCGGCCCAACAAAATGGCGGCGGCAGCGGTGTCGCTTTGTTTCCGCGGCTCCTGCGGCGGTGGCAGTGGTAGCGGCCTTTGAGCTGTGGGGAGGTTCCAGCAGCAGCTACAGTGACGACTAAGACTCCAGTGCATTTCTATCGTAACCGGGCGCGGGGGAGCGCAGATCGGCGCCCAGCAATCACAGAAGCCGACAAGGCGTTCAAGCGAAAACATGACCGCTGAGCCCATGAGGTAAAACGCAACCCCGTCTCATGGGCCCCAGCGGTCTGGGCCCAGGCACCGTCTGAGTCGGGTGTTTGGGAAGGCGTTCGCTTGGTGGGTTAGGCCTGTGTGTTGCTTAGCCGAAAGAGGCATCGTTTTCTCTTTAGGTGAGAAGGGTTTCGGGGTATCGGCGCAAGGCTCCGACGGGGGTGGGGGTGGGGATGGGGTGGGGGGAGGTGGGGGGGGCGCGGCCTAGGGTATGGGGCGCTTCTTGCAATCTCCCCTAAACGGTGACGCTTGGTCGGGCTCCTCTGTTTATTCTTTGGTGCCTGTGGGATTGAGACCTCGAAGTCGGAGGCGGTCTTTGGTATCCCGGTCATTTTTGCTAATCTTTGGGCCTAGAAACTGCGTGGGGAAGAAGCGGGGGGAGGGTGAGAAGAGGGGGAGGGGTGGGCGGGCGCGAGGATGTGAGATCCCAGGACGACTTAGAGGCGTTTAGGTTGCTGGAGATGGGAAGCACCCGGGCCCTGCGGGATTTTTTTTCTGCAGCCCCAGGAGACAAGCCTTTTTTTGATTGGGTTGTGGTGCAGTTCCAGGTATTTAGGTATCTTTTCTACTCCATATCCTGAAGGATATCCTTGGGTTTATTTCTAGGCGAGGGGGGACTTAACACAGGGTTTTGCTTCCAGAGGACCCTAGTATACTACTTTTTGTGATGTCCAGCCTTAATGGGACCTCAAGTGTTTCCCCACTTTCTGGGCAAATTTCGAGGAGTAATTAGGCCCTATCTTTATTTACTTATTTATTCCATGAAGGATGAAGGGCAGGTTAACGTGGGCTGATGCGAAGTAAGATTTATTGCAAGGGAAAATGCCTGGCAGGCCTCCTCTTAACCAATCAAGCACGTTTATTAGGTTGAAGCTGTTTTTCTGTGTGCTTCTGATTTGCCTCTTGACGGGTCTGAAAATTTGGGTAGTCAATATGAAATGTATACACTTTTACCCAGGTGGCTGGCTGGCGTTTCAGTTTGACATTTGAATTTTCATCCCACAATGTGAATTAAGTAATTTTTTTACTCGGAGATGCATCCTTGGCGTCCAGTGGCAAAATAAAATTACAAGGAGCATGGGTCAGAATTGCATTTCAAGTTGGCGAAATGTGCCTTTGAGTAACTCTTAGATTGGCATATGTTTTTAGAGCAATTTAGCTAGAATGTAGAATTGGGCAATGAGCCTATGATACGTATGTCTGTATTTCTGCATGAACAAGCAGTAGATTATATTTTCTTTACCTTGGGGAAAGATATGCTTCAGTTCTTAGATTGTAGATCTCTAGTTGTGTACACGATTGTGGCCTTGGTTTCTGAATTTGTCAGTAGGCTCAAATACAACAAATCTTTATCTGTGGGGTATTAGGCACGTAAGTGGTACCCAGTATAACTTGTTGGCCTGTAATTACCAGGCACTCATGTTCATATGCATGGATGGTGTACCTTACAGTTAAATTATGACCTCTAGATTTTACTAAGTTTCACAAAGTCTACATTTGAAACTATAGTTTGAAGTCGGATCTTCTCAGTTTCTTTAGAATGAACAAATTACGTATATAGAATTTCTGAATAGAATAATTAATTTTACACAAGGGTCAGTTTTTCTTACTAGTCTTGGATTTTTGTAGATCTTGATGATAAGAGTAATAATCATAACTAAGTTGAGTGCTTATTGTCGTTCTTTATAATCTTGATGAATTCTCAAACCTGTGAGGTAAGTACTTGGTTTTGCCCATTTTACCGATGAGGAGGAAAGTGAGACATAGATCAAGAACTTGACCGAAGTTATACAGCTTGTAATTGGTGGAGCTGGAATTGAACCCCATCTTGACTTCACAGCTTATGTTCTTAACCACAAGGCATTAATGCCCCCTTCAGCTGCCAGGTCTAACCTGATTATGACCATTTAAATTTAGCCCAAGTGTTACAATGAAAGAAGTTCATATTACCTACTCTGATTTGTTGCAGGTCTATGATTTTGTAGCTGTTTATAATGTTACATTTTTTGTGTCCAGGTGTACTATGTAGTGAGATAACTGAAATATTTAATGCTAGGAGAGTCTTAAGCTACATGAAAAACCTCTAGTAAAGAACTGCATATATGCATGTAGGGAATTAATTAAAAAGTGTGACACTCCCTGATGATTTACTATGAAAGAGCTCCAAGTAGGTGTTCAGAACTGTCTCAGGCTGAAGTGTCATCGATCTCCTAAACCATAATCATGGTTAAAGGAGAATCTGACAGGTAATGCTTGAGTTGAACCCACAGTACCAAATCCCTCTTGAGTCTTTTCTAATG
Source organism: Homo sapiens (assembly GCF_000001405.40). Classification (NCBI taxonomy): domain Eukaryota; kingdom Metazoa; phylum Chordata; class Mammalia; order Primates; family Hominidae; genus Homo; species Homo sapiens. The sequence goes on along the minus strand of NC_000023.11, from coordinate 77,783,663 downwards.
TGAGGCAGAAATAATATAAGCATTATTGTTAATATTATTTTACACAGTAGTTCCAGATTTTCTCTTTATCAAATATTTTGTCAAGCACTTAAAAAGCAGGAACAAAGACTAGTTCTAATTTTTACTTGTGTTTATAAAAAAAAGTAATATTCTAGGATTCTGTGGTGGAAAAATGGCCAGAAGACAAGAGGAAGGAAAATAAACCGATGACCTGGCTAAAACATACACTGACTAATCAGTGGCTCAGTCTTTAAAGGTTTTGTTGTTTTTAAAGGATTTTTTTGGTTGTTTGTGTTGTTTGAAATAAGATTGACTTGCTTCTGGCATTATAAAAGATAAGGTCTTTTATAATCACCAAGCTCTCAATGTAGTACTTGGGTACCTGGGTGTCACTGCTGATTATTTTTTAATTTTTAAATTTATTTTTTTGAGACAGAGTCTCACTTTGTTGCCCAGGCTGGAGTGAAGGGGCGTGATCTTGGCTTACTGCCGCCTCCGCCTCCCAGGTTCAAGTGATTCTCATGCCTCAGCCTCCCAAGTAACTGGGATTAACAGGTGTGTGCCACCACGCCTGGCTAATTTTTGTATTTTTAGTAGAGAGGGAGTTTCACCATATTGGCTAGGCTGGTCCTGAACTCCTGGACTCAAGTGATCTACCTGCCTTGGCCTCCCAAAGTGCTGGGATTACAGGTGTGATCCACCGCGCCTGGCTCTCTGCTGGTTATTCAGGGCCCAAGGGCTCTTCAGTTATCAGGTGATGTATGCTGCTAGGACTGGGACCTTCCCTTCAGGGCAGCAGATTCCCTTCTGGCCCAGGATGTGTCTAGAATTGTCATCCTGGAGCTAGGGCCTGGAATGGAGGCTTCATGACTGATGAACTTTAATTTGTTTTCTTTATTTTTATTTTTTTTGAGATGGAGTCTCACTCTGTTGCCCAGGCTGGAGTGCAATGGCACCATCTTGGCTCACTACAACCTTTGCCTCCTGGGTTCAAGCGATTCTCCTGCCTCAGCCTCCCAAGTAGCTGGGATTACAGGCAAGTGCCACCACACCTGGCCAATTTTTGTATTTTTAGTAGAGACGGGGTTTCACCATGTTGGCCAGCCAGGCTGGTCTCAAACTCCTGACCTCAGGTGATCTGCCCGCCTCTGCCTCCCAAAGTGCTGGGATTACAGGTGTGAGCCACTGCGCTTGGCCTTAATTTATTTGCATATAAAGATTTCAGTATTGGGAGATTTGGTGAAATTTGTCATTCTAATCCTTATGGCAATTGATTACTTGAAAAGCTGACAGCTATATTACCTTGTTATTGATCTTAAATATAAAAAGGCAGAAGTTGTCTAAATTGAGAGATTTTGAATGTCTTAGAAAGTATCTGTTAAGGTGGTAGTTTACAAGCAGTTACATTGTAACCTAATTGTTGAAAAATGTTATCTGTGAAATACTTGCATTTCCACTATGAAAAGCATGAAACCAGGCCCTTGGAGGGGGAGGAGATGCAAATTTTATAAAGGTTTTTAAAAAGCATTTAAATATCAATGGCTTGGTTATGTAATGGGTTGGGGTGAAAAGAAAGACATTTGTGACCTTAATTTTTATCAGGCCCAGTTTTATTATTGGCCACCCTTGGCATAGTTGGCCTTGAGCTTTCAGTTATGTATTGTATTTCTAGAGATAAGATAAATGTAGTACTTAAAATAATATTTAAGTATTGATGTAGGTGTGTGAAATAATTGTTTCATAAGTAATTGTATGTGTCTTTTTCACTTTTGGGGTCTGAATAAACTTATGGGTTGGGTAATAGGATACGGGCAATTCTTGAATTTACATGAAGTGCTTTCCCCCAGACCGTGAATGTTCTTTTGGATATCAGAAACTATTTAAATAGTTGAAGCCAGTGAAAACTGATGCATAGATCTTCCTTTAGAAATGTTGAATATAACAGGGCAGTGAAAGGAGGGTCTAAGCAGTCTGTCTCTAATTTTATCCTAATGCTTGTCTTATGATCAGCTTGGAAGCTGACATGCAAGATGTTTAACTTCTATTTTTCCATCTGTAAAATGGGAATAAGCTCAAATGGGAGTAAATATCAATATTTATCAATAATAGATATTGATAAAGTCTAAAGGTATTCTGAAGGAGGTAACATGTTTGTAACAATGGTTCTTAAAAGAGAAACTAAAGCTCTGGGGTCCTAGTTTTTTTTTTTTTTTTTTTTTTTTGAGACAGAGTCTCACTATGTTGCCCAGGCTGGAGTACAGTGGCACGATCTCAGGTCACTGCAAACTCCGCCCTCCGGGTTCACGCCATTCTCCTGCCTCAGCCTCCCGAGTAGCCGGGACTACAGGCACCTGCCACCATGTGCGGCTAATTGTTTGTATTTTTAGTACAGACAGGGTTTCACCGTGTTGGCCAGGATGGTCTCGATCTCCTGACCTCGTGATTTCCACCCGCTTCGGCCTCCAAAGTGCTAGGATTACAGGTGTGAGCCACCGCGCCCGGCTGTTAATTTTTAAGAGTGAAAAGAGGTGCTGCGACTAAATGGTTTGAGAACTGCTTGTATAGAGGAATGAACACTGAACTGTGAGCCAAGCCTTGGTTTTTCAGTTATAGCTCTGTTGCTTGATTGTATGACTGTGGACAAATCATTTATCTGTTCCAGGCTTCTGCTTTGTCATTTGCAGAACGAACAAGACTAGATGGTCTGTAGCATTAATTTTTTTTTGGGACAAGGTCTCACTGTCACCCAAGCTGTAGTGCAGTGACACTGAACATGGCTCACTGTAGCCTTGACCTCCTGGCTCAAGCAATCCTCCTGCTTCAGCCTCCCATGTAGCTGGGACCACAGGTGTGTCATCATGCCCCGCTAATTTTTTGATTTTTTTGTAGAAACAGTGGTCTCACTTTGTTGCCCAGTCTGGTCTTGAACTCCTGGACTTAAGCGATCCTCCTGCCTTGGCCTCCCAAAGTGCTGGGATTACAGGTGTAAACCACCATACCCTGCCTAAAGTTAGTTTTTAAAAAATTCTGCTTACAGGCCACGTGCAGTGGCTCACGCCTGTAATCCCAGCACTTTGGGAGGCCGAGGCAGGTGGATCATGAGGTCAGGAGTTCAAGACCAGCCTGGCCAAGATGGTGAAACCCCATCTCTACTAAAAATACAAAAAAAAATCATCTCGGTGTGGTGGTGGGCACCTGTAATCTCAGCTACTAGGGAGGCTGAGACAGAGAATTGCTTGAACCCAGGAGGCGGAGGTTGCAGTGAGCTGAGATTGCGCCACTGCAGCCTGGGCGACAGGGTGAGAGTCTGTCTCAAAAACAAAAACAAAAACAAATAAGCAAAAAATTCTGCTTATATGAGTGTTTATCATTTTCTCTTATCTGCCTTTTGTGGGTTAGGGAGAAGGGTAGTGGTGAGATAAAGTTTCTTTATTCAGTGTATTTATATCTTTTTGCCTTAAAACTTACATGGTTAGGTTACAGGTGTTTTGTTGCTGATACTTGTCATAGTATCATGTATACCTGGTTGTATAAACATTTATTGGAAAGGAAAAAACATTTTTGTTGGAAAGTTTGGTAATTATTGTGGCTTAGGATATGTTCTATTTTGAAAGATTGCTATATCCAGTATATTTCTGCCCTTTTATGATTGAAGATGTACGTCTGAAAATACCTATGTTAGTTCTAGCCGGTTGTTCTTTTTGCGCTGGGAAGTCTTTGAATTTTGCACTGTAGCTGCTATTTTCAGATCCTGTCTCTGAAACTTTGTCTCTCAGTTTTAGCTTGAAGTAGCCATTTCCTGTATCTGTAGTCCAGCACTCTTGTTAACTGTCCCATACAATATTTGTTAAGAAATTATTGTTCTGGCAGTAGTATTCACATGTATATATCCTGCACTCCATATTTTGGGGGAATGCTTTATTAGTTGATCAAATACTTAAGTATCAATTTGGGGCCAGGCATGGCACTGTGTTAGGGTTATGCCAAAGGTAATAAAATTCCTGCCATCTTAAGGCATTCTTAGTCAAGTGAGGGAGATTGGTAAGTAAATGAGCAATTAGAAAGCAGTGCTAAAATATGGAAATATATTGATTGCGCTAGGGATCAGAAATGAAAGAAAGCCTAATTTGGGGGATGTCTAGGAAAGTTTTGCAAAGGAGATGTTAACTGTATTGAGTCTTGAATGAGTTAGCAGTTAAGGGTTGACTGTGAGAGGGCAGTCCAGACAGCTATTAGTATGGTTAAAGATTAGTCTTATTTTCCATATATCAGAGGAAATAAGACATGTACACGATTAGTTTTGGTGCAAGATATAAAGTGATAAATGCTGCATGAAGTAAAAGTAAGTTGTTGTGTGAGTTCAAAGTAGAAAGACATTTCTGGTGGGGACCAAGGAAAGCTTTATAGAGAGATAGCATTTGAGCCGGGCGCCGTGGCTCACACCTGTAATCCTAGCACTTTGGGAGGCTGAGGCGGGTGGATCACGAGGTCAGGAGATCGAGACCATCCTGGCTAACATGGTGAAAACCCGTCTCTACTAAAAATACAAAAAAAAAAAAAAAAAAAAAAAAATCCGGGCATGGTGGCGGGCGCCTGTAGTGCCAGCTGCTCGGGAAGTTGAGGCAGGAGAACTTCGTGAACCTGGGAGGCGGAGCTTGCAGTGGGCCGAGATCGCGCCACTGCACTCTAGTCTGGGCAACAGAGCGAGACTCCGTTTCAAAAAAAAGAAAAAAGAGAGATAGCATTTGAATCTAGTCCTTGGAATATAGGTACAGTTTTGACAAAGGAGACTGTGGGAGAATTCCAGATGTGAGGAGTAGCAGCTTGAGCAAAGGAATGTTGTGTATATTAGCATTTTCTATTTGGAAGAAGGTCAACATCGAATTTTAAACTTAATTTCTGGACAAATACTGTATAACTATTGTGCCTTTTTTTTTTTTTTTGAGACGTAGTCTCGCTCTGTCACCCAGGCTGGAGTGCAGTGGCATGATCTTGGCTCACTGCAACCTCCGCTTCCCGGGTTCAAGCGATTCTCCTGCCTCAGCTTCCCGAGTAGCTTGGACTACAGGCGTGTGCCACCATGCCTAGCTAATTTTTGTATTTTTAGTAGAGATGGGATTTCACCGTGTTGGCCAGGATGGTCTTGATCTCCTGACCTCATGATCCGCCCGCCTTGGCCTCCCAAAGTGCTGGGATTACAGGCGTGAGCCACCGCGCCCTGCCTATTGTGCTTTTTTTTTTTTTTTTAAGAGACAGGGACTTCCTCTGTCACCCAGCCTGGAGTGCAGTGGGGTGATCATAGCTCATAGCTTACTGCATCCTAGAACTCCCGGGCTCAAGTGATCCTCCCACCTGAGCCTCCTGAGTAGCTGGGACCACAGGCATGTGCCACTATGCCCAGCTACTATTGTGCATTTTGTATGGTAGCTTTTGTGGCTTGATGATCTTGTAAAAGGTACATGTGCCTTTGTGAATGGGCCTGATAATTTTAGTTCAGAATTGTCAAAAGTATTATCTACTTTTTTTTTTTTTTTTGAGACAGAGTCTCACTCTGTCACCCGGGCTCAGTGGCACCATCTCAGCTTACTGCAACCTCCACCTCCTGGGTTCAAGCGATTCTTCTGCCTCAGCCTCCGAGTAGCTGGGACTACAGGTGTGAGCCACCATGCCTGGCTAGTTTTTGTATTTTTAGTAGAGACGGGGTGTCACCATATTGGCCAGGCTGGTCTCGAACTCCTAGACCTCGTGATCTGCCCACCTCGGCCTCCCAAAGTGCTGGGATTACAGGCATGAGCCACCGCGCCTGGCCAGTATTACCTACTTTTAAATAAGATTGTGTAGGATTTAATGCACAGATTTTGAATCACTGTGATAAAAATGCATCCTTAGTTGTCTTCATTTTGCTCATTTGAAGTGCTCAGTTGACTTTTGGGTGGGTAACATTTGACTTATAGAATCTAAGATAAAAAATTATTTCTGAGTAATACTGGATTTGTTATTTTGCTTATTTGGATTATATTAGTTATTTTTTGGTTTATTTGATAGCATTCCAGATTTAGTTTTGCTATAATGCTTGTTTTGAAAATGTGGATTTTTTCCAAAAGGGTTGATATTTCAGGGAACAATTTGAAGCATACGACAAAATTTGCATTTGCTTATGGGGGATTTTGTCTGCAGGGTCAGGGATCAGCATACTGTGGCCTACCAACCAGTGGCCTGTTTTTTGTAAATAAAGTTCTTTTTTTTTGTTTTTGATCTTTGTTTTGTTTTGTTTTGTTTTGTTGAGACGGAGTCTTGCTCTGTCGCCCAGGCTGGAGTGCGGTGGTGTGATGTCCGCTCACTGCAACCTCCGCCTCTTGGGTTCAAGCGATTCTCATGCCTCAGCCTCACGAGTAGGTGGGATTTCAGGCATTTGCCACCACGCCTGGCTGATTTTTGTATTTTTTTTTTTTTTTTTTTTTTTTTTTTTTTTAGTAGAGACAGGGTTTTACCACATTGGCCTGGCTGGTCTTGAACTCCTGACCTCAGGTGATCCGCCTGCCTTGGCCTCCCAAAGTGCAGGGATTATAGATGTGAGCCATGTAAATAAAGTTCTATTGGAATACACCTATGTCCATTTATTTACATTGTCTGTGGCTGCTTTTGCACTGTAGTTGCAGAGTTGAATAGCTGCAGCAGAGACCTAGTAGCCCACAAAGCCTAAAATGTTTACTGTCTGGCCCTGTATTGAAAGAGTTTGCTGATTATTGTGCTAGATGAATGCAGGATACTACACCCCTCTAAAAAGAGCTGCATAGAAATACATGCATATAGATGCACACACGTCTGACATCTACCAGCTACCTCATTTCACCACTTGGGTTATAAACCACACATATTTACATCTGTTGTACAATTTTCAATCCGATTTCAGATAACCTTCCTTCTACCACTTCACAATAATTCATGAGCTGCAACCCTTTTGATGCCCACTTCACAAGCAAACTTCAGGTCTTTTTCAAAGTAAAGTGCCACATTTATTGTTATATTTGAGCATTTATTATTTAACATGTCAAACTGTGCTACCATTTTTCTTTGGTTTCTTTGTTTTAAAAAAAGTCACTGATGAAATTTTTGAATGTTGTGCTTCTAACCTCATTTTTCCTATGAGTTCTATGGTGTTAATTGCACAATTTTACATAGTTTGGTGGTTTTTAGGAACCCATATGTTACATTATTGAGGAACTGACTAATTATCATCCTGTAAAAAGTACTAATTCATTCACCAAACATTTCTGGGGTGATGTAAATATTAAGTGAGTTAAATGGGCATAAAGCACTTATGTCTTTATTGTTACTCAAATATTAGTTATTACTGATTACTATTACCATGTGTCAGGAACTGTAATAAGTAGTGCATTGATGAACAAGACAGATAAGGGACCTGTCTCCATGAAGCTTACATTGTATTTTTAAAAATCTATTAATATACATTTTGGCTAGTAACCGAGCCCTTGCCCCACAGAAAAGTTGTGCTGTTACACAAAATAATATTTTAAGATCCATCCACAAGTCAAAGACATTTCACTTAAAACAGCTTTCTCAGCAGTGTCTCCTTGATAGGGTATAATATTTTATTGAATTATTGTTTTTGGCTGGGTGCAGTGGCTCATGCCTGTAATCCCACCACTTTGGGTGGCCAAGGCAGGTGGTTCTCCTGAGGTCAGGAGTTCAAGACCAGCCTGGCCAACATGGTGAAACCCCGTCTCTACTAAAAATACAAAAATTAGCCGGGCGTGGTGGCGCATGCCTGTAATCCCAGCTACTCAGGAGGCTGAGGCAAAATTGCTTGAAGCCGGGAGGCAGAGGTTGGAGTGAGCCGAGATATCACCACCGCACTCCGGCCTGGGCGACAGAATGAGATTCCGTTTCAAAAATAAATAAATAAATAAATAAATAAATAAATAAAGAATTATTGTTTTTAATTTTTGTTTTTTTCTGAGATAGGCTGTTACTCTGTCACTCAGGCTGGAGTGCATTGGTGCAGTCATGGCTCACTGCAGCCTCCGCCTCCCTGGTTGCAGGTGATACTCCCACCTCAGCCTCCCGAATATCTGGGACTATAGGTGCATGCCACCATGCTGAGTTAATTTTTGTATTTTTTTGTGGAGATGAGTTTTTGCCATGTTGCCCAGGCTGGTATCGAACTCCTGGACTCAAGCTATCTGCCCTCTTTGGCCTCCCAAAGTGCTGGGATTATAGGCATGAGCCACCAAACCTGGCCATGTGATTGTTTTTTTGTAACTGTAACCTCAGGAGATGAATCCGATCTATCTTTAGGGAGATAAAGAGTAATCATCCCTTCCTTTTTTTACTGTATAAAAGGTTACAAAATATAATTTCAGACTTGTAGAAAATTTGTAAAAATAGCACAAAGATTCTCAGATGTGCTTCATCCAGATGCAGCAAGGGGTAACATTTTACCATGTTTACTTTATCATCCTCTATTATTATTTTTCTGAATTGTTTCAGAGTAAATTGCAGACATGATGTCCCTTTACTCCCAAATACTTTAATACATATTTCTCGAAACTAGGAATAGTCTGTTACATGATCCCAGTATAGTTAGCAAAATTAAAAATTAGCATTAAGGCTGAGTGCGGCCTCCCACACCTGTTATCCCAGCACTTTGGGAGGCTGAGGTGGGAGGATTGTTTGAGGCCAGGAATTCAAGACCAGTCTTCTCAACATAGACCCTGTCTCTACAAAACAAACAAACAAACAAACAAACAAACAAACAAAAGTACTAAATTAGCCGGTGTGGAGCATGCCTGGAGTCCCAGCTACTCAGAAAGCTAGAGTCAGGAGGATCACTTGAGCCTAGAAGTTCCAGGCTGCCATGAACTATGATCATGCCACTGCAGTCTAGTGTGAATGACAGAGTGAGACCCCCATCTCTTAAAATAAAAGAGAGATTAGCATTGATACAATACCATTTTTTTTTTTTTGAGACAGAGTCTCACACTGTCGCCCAGGCTGGAGTGCGGTGGCGCGATCTTGGCTCACTGCAAGCTCCGCCTGCTGGGTTCACGCCATTCTCCTGCCTCAGCCTCCCGAGTAGCTGGGTCTACAGGTTCCCGCCATCACGCCCAGCTAATTTTTTGTATTTTTAGTCGAGACGGGTTTTCACCGTGTTAGCCAGGATGGTCTCGATCTCCTGACCTCATGATCCGCCTGCCTCGGCCTCCCAAAGTGCTGGGATTACAGGCGTGAGCCACTGCACCCGGCCGATACAATACCATTTTTAATCTACAGACCTTATTCACATTTTACCAATTGCTTCATGACATCCTTCATGATGAAAGACAAAAAGTTCTTGTTTTCTGATCTACCATCTAATTCTAGAACACTCATTATATTTCATTGTCATCTGGAACAGCTCACCTTGCCATTTTTTTTTTTTTGAGACAGTTTTGCTCTTGTTGCCCAGGCTGGAGTGCAATGGCATAGTCTTGGCTCACTGCAACCTCCATCTCCCAGGTTCAAGTGATTCTCCTACCTCAGCCACCCGAGTAACTGGGACTACAGACATGCCCCACCACGCACGGCTAATTTTGTATTTTTAGTAGAGATGGGGTTGCACCATATTGGTCAGGCTGGTCTTGAACTCCTGACCTCAGGTGGTCTGCCCGCCTCGGACTCCCAAAGTGCTGGGATTACAGATGTGAGCCACTGCGCCCGGCCTCTTCTCCATTTTTAAAAGAACACAGGCCAGTTGATTTGAATTTGTCTGATGTTTCCCTTTGATTATATATTTTGGTAGGAACACTATGAAGTGATGTTTTGTCCTTCACAGCACATTTTATCAGGAGGTGTATAATGCCTTTGCTTTTACTATGTTTTAGAATGATTTTGCTTTGTTTTTTTTTTTCTGAGACAGAGTCTTGCTCTGTCGCCCAGGCTGGTGTGCAGACGTGCGATCTCGGCTCACTGCAGCCTCCGCCTCCTGGGTCCAGGCGATTCTCCTGCCTCAGCCTCCTGAGTAGCTGGGACTACAGGCGTGCACCACCATGCCCAGCTAATTTTTATATTTTTAGTAGAGACGGGGTTTCACTGTGTTGATCAGGATGGTCTCGATATCCTGACTTCGTGATCCGCCCGCCTTGGCCTTTCAAAGTGCTGGGATTACAGGCGTGAGCCATCGTGCCTGGCCGATTTTGCTTCTCATGCTAAAATTATTAATCAGCTCATTCTCTGCCATTTTATTTAGAGGTTTGAAGTTTGGCTTGATTAATTTCTACAGAATTGGGGAGAGTTTTCCCACCTCCCATTTTTCTTGCTTTTTCCATTTCCTCCTTCCTCAGATACCCCCAAAGTTCAAAACCAACCACCCCGATTATGAATTTTCATTTTGTATTCTGAACATATAGCTAAAAGCAGAGAATTAAGGGTGAATGTTTCATGTTAAAGTGATTGGACCTGTTGTTAAGCATATGAAATAATATATTTCCTTCAAAGGCTGACTATACTATAGTGCATCCAACATAGCTTGTTGAATATCTCAGTTCTTTTTTTTTTTTTTTTTTTTTTTTAGCTGAAATTTGCCACAGGGAAATATCTCTCCAGCCTGGGCAACATAGTGAGACTCTGTCTCAAAAAAAAAAAAAAAATTAGCCAGGTGTGGTGGTGCACAACTGTAGTCCTAAATACTTGGGAGGCTGAGGAGGGAGGATCCTTTGAGCACAGGAGTCTGAGGCTGCAGTGAGCTATGATTATACCACTGTACTCTAGCCTGGGAGACAGAGCAAGACCCCGTCTCTCAAAAAAAAAAAAAAATTGGTGGTGAAATACACATACCACAAGATTTAGCATTTTAACCATTAAAAAAGTTTGTTTTTGGCTGGGTGTGGTGACTCACGCCTTTGGGAGTGATCCCAGCACTTTGGGAGGCCGAGGCGGATGGATCACGAGGTCAAGAGATGGAGACCATCCTGTCCAAAATGGTGAAACCCTGTCTCTACTAAAAATACAAAAAAAAAAACTAGCTGGGCATGGTGGTGTATGCCTGAAGTCCCAGCTACTCGGGAGGCTGAGGCAGGAGAATTGCTTGAACCCAGGGGGCAGAGGTTGCAGTGAGCCGAGATGGCGCCACTGCCCGCCAGCCTGGAGACAGAACGAGACTCTGTCTCAAAAAAAAGCTTTTTTTTTTTTTTTTTTGAGAGAAGGGATCTCGCTATGTTTCCCAGGCTGGTCTCAAACTTCTGGCCTCAAGCAATCCTTCTGCTTCGGCCTCCCAAAGTACTGGGATTACAAGAGTGAGCCACTGTACCTGGCCTCATTTTTCTATTTTGATAAACACTTTTTTTTTTTTTTTTGAGACGGATTCTTGCTGTGTTGCCCAGGCTGGAGTGCAGTGGCATGATCTTGGCTCACTGCACCTCTGCCTCCCGGGTTCTCTGCCTCCCGGGTTCAAGCAATTCTGCCTCAGCCTCCTGAGTAGCCGGGACTACAGGCGTATGCCACCGTGCCCAGCTAATTTTTTTTGTAGTTTTAGTAGAGACGGGTTTTCCCCATGTTGGTCAGGATGGTCTCGAACTCCTGACCTCAGGTGATCCGCCCGCCTCGGCCTCCCACAGTGCTGGGATTACAGGCGTGAGCCACCATGCCTGGCTGATAAACACTTTTAAGGCTTAACATGAGCTAAGTATTATTTTAGAACAGATTGTCTCAACCTTGGCACTATAGACATTTTGTCCAGAAAATTTTTTGTTAGAGGCTGTCCTGTGAATGCATTTTATCCCTGACCTCTACCCACTAGATACCAGTAACACCCCTACCCTGAGTTGTGACAAGCAAAAATATTTCCAGAAATTGCCAGATGTTCCCTGTGGGCGGTATGGGTTTGAGAACCACTTTTCTAGATAATAGGCATTTGTAGATAATGAATACTGAGCTAAGTGGAGGAGTAAATGGTTGAAATAGACTATGTGGTTAAGTACAGTTACAGAGATATAAACCAAGAGATGTGGAAGAATAGCAAAAAATTTCCTTAGAGAGTTGATAGCAAGTATTTTCCCAAGAGAGACAGCAATTCTGAGTTGGGTCATTGGGGATGGTGGGGGGAAATGTGCTGAGGAGGGGGAAATATTCTAGGTGGTGGAACGGGTTATGTCTAGAGATACGGTAGAGGAGCCCTTGGGTGCCTTGAGAAAAATGAGATAATAAGTATGATTGGAGAGAATATGGGAGGTAGAATTGGAAAGAAGGATGCTAGTTGGGGTCAGGTTTGAGAAAGGCTTTTTTTTTTTTTTGAGACGGAGTCTTGCCCTGTCACCCAGGCTGGAGTGCAGTGCCTCACTCGGCTCACTGCAACCTCCGCCTTCTGGGTTTAAGTGATTCTTCTGCCTCAGCCTCTTGAGTAGCTGGCATTACAGGTGCGTGCCACCACTTCCGGCTAATTTTGTATTTTTAGTAGAGACCGGGTTTCACCATGTTGGCCAGACTAGTCTCAGAACTCCTGACCTTGTGATCCGCCAGCCTCGGCCTCCCAAAGTGCTGGGATTACAGGCATGAACCACCACGCCCGGCCGAGAAAGGCTTTTTATGCTATGCTAAAATGTTTCATTTTCCCCCTTTCATTATAGAAAATCAACAAATACTTTTAAAGTCTGTAGAGTTATATGATCAGCTTTTTAAAAGAATAGTGATACAGTGAAATGGTAAAAATGGTCAATGGTGAATATTAAACTCAAGAAGATAACTCTAGCCTGTAAAGTAGGAAAATAGGAAGGGATGGAGATTTATATAAAACTAAAACTAGATGTCATATGTTGCCCTTAAATCACATCACCCTGTGTGTAGACTTCTTCATCCTCATTTGTCAAAATTCTGACATATTGTCAATACTGATGAAGATTCTTGATATTCAAAGCAGGAGTGAAGTGGGCAAAAATCTGTATTCTAATTTTCATTACCCTAATAATGTCCTTTTAATTTGGAGCAGTTCTGTGGCCTCTCTTTGTCTGTCCTGATCTTGACATTTTTGAAGAGTATAGAACAATTATTTTTTAGAATGTATCTCTATTTGGGTTTGTGTGATGCTTCTTTATGATTAGATGAAGGGTATGCATTTTTGGAAGAAATAACAGAAGTGATGGTATGTTGTTTTCAGTGCCTCTGTAACAGGAGATGCATGACATTGGTTGGTCCCATTACTGATGATGGTAATTTTAATCACTTGGGTGGTTTCCAGTAGATTTTTCTATGTAAAGTTTATCATTTTTGGCCGGGCATGGTGGCTCACGCCTGTAATGCCAGCACTTTGGGAGGCTGAGGCAAGCAGATTACTTGAGGTCAGGAGTTTGAGACCAGTCTGACCAATGTGGTGAAACCCCATCTCTAAAAAAATACATAAATTAGCCAGGCATGGTGGCATGCGTCTGTAATCCCAGCTGCTCAGGAGGCTGAGGCAGGAGAATCACTTGAACCCTGGAGGTGGAGGTTGCAGTGAGCCGAGATTGTGCCACTGCACTTCAGCCTGGGTGACAGAGTGAGACTCCGTGTCAAAAAAAAAAAAAAGTTTATCATTTCCCATTTTTATTTTGAAACAGTCTTGCTCTGTTGCCTAGGCTGGAGTGCATTGGCACAATCTCAGCTCACTGCAGCCTCAACCTCCTGGGCTCAAGTGATCCTCCCACCTCAGTCTCCTCAGTAGCGTGTTCCACCACACCCGGCTGCTTTTTGTATTTTTTGGTAGAGGTGGAGTTTCACCATGTTGCTCAGGCTGGTCTGGAACCCCTGAGCTCAAGGGCACTGATCACCTCAGCCTCCCAAAGTGTTGGGATTACAGGTGTGAGCCACCACGCCTGGCCCTGAAAAATATTTTTAACGGTTACATTATCATGGAGAATTGGATGGTATAAAACAATAGCAGTTCTCATATTTGAAAATAAATTGATGTAATGAAACAAATGAGAGGATCAAATAATATTGTAAAAAGAATAAAAACCCACATATGGACAGGTCTGTGGAAATTGTATTAAAGCCTACCTCTCCCAGATTGTTTCCGTTTGTTGCAATCCATTTAAGAACAGTTTTTGGGCTGGGCACGGTGGCTCACGCCTGTCATCCCAGCACTTTGGGAGGCCCAGGCAGGTGTATCATGAGGTCAGATTTCAAGACCAGCCTGGCCAACATGGTGAAACCCTGTCTCTACTAAAAATATAAAAATTAGCTGGGCATGGTGGCATGCACTTGTAATCCCAGGTACTCGGGAGGCTGAGGCAGGAGAATTGCTTGAACCAGGACTCGGGAGGTGGAGGTTGCAGTGAGCCAAGATAGCACCACTGCACTCCAGCCTGGCCTGGGCTACAGGGTGAGACTCAGTCTCAAAAAAAAAAAAAACAAACAAAAAACAGTTTGTGGGAAAAAACAATCCTTGTGTATGACATAATTTGCTGCTTTTCCCATTTAGAAAATTTAAAAAATACTTATTTGAGATGGGGTCTCACTATGTTGTCCAGGCTAGGGTGCAGTGGCTATTCACAGGTGTGAACATAGTACACTACAGCCTCGTACTCCTGGCCTTAGCATCTTGAGTAGCTGGGACTGCAGGTGCACATCACAGTGCCTCGCTTACTTTTTCCATTTTTGTCTGTTGATCCTCTCTCTCTTCCTTTGGGGTAAAAATTGTGGCTTGTGATGGTGGTTTGTGGGGAAAGAAAAAGTTGGTAAGCTACAAGCTCTGAGCCTTTAATGTGTTTTTGTTAACCATGCAGACAGACATTAGATACATAGATACAACATAGATGAGTTAAATTTGAAAGAAGGCACCAAACTTTGTTACTTTAAAGCAGGATTTCTCAAAGGGACACTGTTGACATTGATTTCAGAAGTGAGATTTTCATGGTTTTTAATGTTATTATTATAATGGTATGGATAGTGTTTTGCCCTCTAAGAAGTAGCTAGGAGTGTTTCCATAGATGCATTTAGTTTATATCACTTATGTATTCTGTCTCTATTTTGTAAGAAAATTGCCTATGAACAGAATTTTTTCTGTATGTGGATTTAATGTCTTCTTCTAAAGGAAACATGGGTGTGGTTCACATTTCCTTAGTTTTGAGTAGCATGGCTTAAGTTGTGATCCAATTTTAAAAAATCAGTTGAATAAATAAATAGAAAATAAAAGGATAATTTCTGTACTAAAAAAGTCAGCTGGACAGTTAAAACATCTCCTTTTATTCGTAAGTTTTTCAATAAAAATTGTTAAAAGCAGTATTCATTTGTGTAATGATATAATCTTTGTTATTGTTTTATGTGCTTTTCTAAAATGCAGGAAACATAAGGTAAGGAGAAGTCTTTCCTTACCCTGGGACCAGATGTCTATGAGGACTGTTGACTTTTCTGCTATAAACAGGATGATAAATTAACAGTGGTGTGATAGGTAAAGTAGATTTGTTATGACATATCTTCCATTAAGCGATAATAACTTGATTTTTACTTAGTTGATGAAATAAAATAACTTTGAAACCTTGGGTAACATGAAATTGAATCAAAATATTTTCAAGTTATGGAACATAGTGTTATTAATAGAATGGAGTGTTGAAAAAGCACTGGATTATGCTTTCTGTAACTTTTAGTTCTGGGTCTTATGATAACTGTGACCCTGAGCCTCAGTGTTTTCCTTTTAATCTGTAGTGATATTTTTTAGTTCAGTCTCTCATTTTAAACTGCTTTTAGCTCTAAAATTTTATCTCAGTGACCTGTTGAGTTATATAACAATCGTATCAGGTAACCTAGATAAGAAGAGGAAGGCAGTAACATTTCAGAAATACAGTTTGGGGTTGGGAATCCTTAAGTGATCCAGACTTCTCCTTTGGTCCGAAGATAGTGTGAATAAAACAGCTGAGGGATGTGGGCATCAATATATTGCAGAGGAAAAGGTTATTTCCAGGAGTGGATTTGCAGCTACTCTTAAATCTATTATGTTGGGGCTGGGCACTGGGGCTCATGGCTGTAATCCCAGCACTTTGGGAGGCTGAGGCGGGCGGATCACCTGAGGTCAGGAGTTCAAGACCAGCCTGGCCAACGTGGTGAAACCCTGTCTCTACAAAAATACAAAATTTTGCCGAGCATGATGGCGGGTGCCTATAATTCCAGCTACTTGGGAGGCTGAGGTGAGAGAATTGCTTGAACCCAGGAGTCGGAGGTTGCAGTGAGCTGAGATTGTGCCATTGCACTCCTGCCTGGGTGACAGAGCGAGACTCTGTCTCAAAAAGAAAAAAAAAATCTATTATGTTGGATAGATGGTCTTTTCCAGAAGCAAATTTTATAGATGGAAAGCATTTTAATTAATCTAGTAAAATTCTCTCATTTTACAAATGAGGCTCCCTCTACCTCTCTCCCCCTCTCCCCCTCTCCCTCTCTCCCTCTCTCCCTCTCTCCCTCTCCCCACGGTCTCCCTCTCCCTCTCTTTCCACGGTCTCCCTCTGATGCCGAGCCGAAGCTGGACTGTACTGCTGCCATCTCGGCTCACTGCAACCTCCCTGCCTGATTCTCCTGCCTCAGCCTGCCGAGTGCCTGCGATTGCAGGCGCGCGCCACCACACCTGACTGGTTTTCGTATTTTTTTGGTGGAGATGGGGTTTCGCTGTGTTGGCCGGGCTGGTCTCCAGCTCCTAACCGCGAGTGATCCGCCAGCCTCGGCCTCCCGAGGTGCCGGGATTGCAGACGGAGTCTCGTTCACTCAGTGCTCAATGGTGCCCAGGCTGGAGTGCAGTGGCGTGATCTCGGCTCGCTACAACCTCACCTCCCAGCCACCTGCCTTGGCCTCCCAAAGTGCCGAGATTGCAGCCTCTGCCCGGCCGCCACCCCGTCTGGGAAGTGAGGAGCGTCTCTGCCTGGCCGCCCATCGTCTGGGATGTGAGGAGCCCCTCTGCCTGGCTGCCCAGTCTGGAAAGTGAGGAGCGTCTCTGCCCGGCCGCCATCCCATCTAGGAAGTGAGGAGCGCCTTTTCCCGGCCGCCATCCCATCTAGGAAGTGAGGAGCGTCTCTGCCCGGCCGCTCATCGTCTGAGATGTGGGGAGCGCCTCTGCCCCGCCGCCCCGTCTGGGATGTGAGGAGCGCCTCTGCCCGGCTGCGACCCCGTCTGGGAGGTGAGGAGCGTCTCTGCCTGGCCGCCCCGTCTGAGAAGTGAGGAGACCCTCTGCGTGGCAACCGCCTCGTCTGAGAATTGAGGAGCCCCTCCGCCTGGCAGCCGCCCCGTCTGAGAAGTGAGGAGCCCCTCTGCCCCGCTGCCACCCCGTCTGGGAAGTGAGGAGCGTCTCCGCCCGGCAGCCACCCCGTCCAGGAGGGAGGTGGGGGGGTCAGCCCCCCGCCCGGCCAGCCGCCCCGTCGGGGAGGTGAGGGGCGCCTCTGCCCGGCCGCCCCTGCTGGGAAGTGAGGAGCCCCTCTGCCCGGCCACCACCCCGTCTGGGAGGTGTGCCCAGCGGCTCATTGAGAACGGGCCATGATGACAGTGGCGGTTTTGTGGAATAGAAAGGGGGGAAAGGTGGGGAAAAGATTGAGAAATCGGATGGTTGCCGTGTCTGTGTAGAAAGAGGTAGACATGGGAGACTTCATTTTGTTCTGTACTAAGAAAAATTCTTCTGCCTTGGGATCCTGTTGATCTGTGACCTTACCCCCAACCCTGTGCTCTCTGAAACATGTGCTGTGTCCACTCAGGGTTAAATGGATTAAGGGCGGTGCAAGATGTGCTTTGTTAAACAGATGCTTGAAGGCAGCATGCTCGTTAAGAATCATCACCACTCCCTAATCTCAAGTACCCAGGGACACAAACACTGTGGAAGGCCGCAGGGTCCTCTGCCTAGGAAAACCAGAGACCTTTGTTCACTTGTTTATCTGCTGACCTTCCCTCCACTATTGTCCTATGACCCTGCCAAATCCCCCTCTGCGAGAAACACCCAAGAATGATCAATAAAAAAAATAAAAATAAAAATAAAAAAAATTAAAAAAAAATGAGAAAATTGAGCTCTCCTGAGGTTGCAGTTTGCTTAACAGCATAGATCTAATTAGTAATTAGGACTAGAACCAAGGTTATCTGACTCCCAGTTCAAGGTTCTTGGTACAGTACCGTGTTTTTAACTAGTCCATTAGGTTGTTTTCTGTGTATTTTATAACACTTCTGTAAGAAAGTGGAATATTTTTCTCTAAGGTATGTTAAAACTCTTGTTCGAGAAAATACAGTAAAGGATACCTGTTGTATCTTAAAGTGATTTTTATGTTTTTCTGTCAATGCCACAATCTGAAGAAAGTAAATTAGCTACACTTCTATTGCTGTGACAATAGATTATTTAGAATCTTCTTGATTACTTGTATTATTGTTCCCGTGCTTCAGAGCTGTTTCCTTGCTATTTAAAATCATTATGGTATAGCCCAGAGGCTAAGGGGGTTTTCTAAGAGTATGCAATTTGTCATTGACATAGTTTTTTTGTTTGTTTTTGTTTGTTTTGTTTGTTTTTGAGACAGAGTTTTTGCTCTGTTGCCCAGGCTGGAGTGCAATGGTGTGATCTCGGCTCACTGCAACCTCCACCTCCTGGGTTAAAGCAATTCTCCTGCCTCAGCCTCCCGAGTAGCTGGGATTACAGGCACCCACCACCACACCTGACTAATTTTTGTAGAGGCAGGGTTTCACCATGTCGGCGAGGCTGGTCTTGAACTCTTGACCTCATGTGATCCACCTGCCTCGGCCTGTGAGGATTACAGGCATGAGCCACCGCACCCTGCCAACACAGTTGTTTTTGATTGGAAAAGTTTATTTTCCTAATCTCAAAGTAGCTTGTATCTGTTCTTTATTGTGAAATGCAGTTTCTACATTGAATTTGTGTAGTCTGTAGTTTTGACTGTTTTAAGTTCAATAACTAGCTTAGTAGTATACTTGTTAGAGGTCAGAGTAGGTTAACTACTAGAAAGAACAGTCCTTCTGCTTACTGTACTAGGAGGAAGTCTGTGGTGGAGGGAAAAAAGGAGTAAAACAATTCCAGTCTTCTGTAAAATTTGAGTAATTTCTTTCTCTACTCCTTCTACATGAAAAATACATCTTATTTGATTTTTGCATCACATGCCTTCTATATGTGTTGGAATCTGGATCACCATTTCTTCATTACTTGTGGGTTTTTGTTGTGAAAAATGTGGAGTAAGTTAGAAGTTGACTGTAGAATAGGTAACATTCTCTTAAATTCTTTGATCAGAGTGAGCAGAGTCCAGAAGCTTGGCTCAGACTTAGGGAACTCATGACACTTCTCTTAATATCCTAAGTTCATGACATGTCTCTTAATACCCTAAGTGTACAATACAATAGTAGATCAAGGAAGGCAGAGGTATCTGGCAGACTTAGAAGTAACTGTTCATAAAAACAAGGATCAGTATGTTTCTACAAGATAATGATTTAAAGTTGAGCCAGGATTAGTTATACCTTTAATATAAAAAATTGAAATAGCTTATTTAATCTGTTCTAGGCTATAGTATACGGAGCTAGGTATTAAAACATTCTCTATATATTTAACTCTTTTTTTTGAGACAGGGTCTCACTCTGTCTCCCAGGCTAGAGTACAGTGGCATGATCTTGGATCACTGCAGCCTAGACCTCCTGGGCACAAGTGATTCTCCCACCTTAGCCTCCACAGTAGCTGGGACTACAGGCCTTTGCCACCACACCTGGCTCATTTTTGTATTTTTTGTTGAGACGGGGTTTCACCTTGTTGCCCAGGCTGGTCTTAAACCCCTAAGCTCAAGTGATCCGCTTGCCTCAGCCTCCCAAAGTGCTGGGATTACAGGTGTGCACCACTGCGCCCAGGCTATTTGACTTTTTTATTCTGTAAAATTGCAAGCATATTCAGAAATAAGAAAATAGTATAACGGGGCCGGGTGTGGTGGCTCACGCCTGTAATCCCAGCACTTTGGGAGGCTGAGGCAGGTAGATCACGAGGTCAGGAGTTCGAGACCAGCCTGGCCAACATGGTGAAACCCCGTCTCTACTAAAAATACAAAAATTAGCCAGGCGTGGTGGTGGGCGCCTGTAATCCTAGCTACTCGGGAGGCCGAGGCAGGAGAATTTCTTGAACCAGGGAGGCGGAGGTTGCAGTGAGCCGAGATCGTGCCACTGCACTCCAGCCTGGGTGACAGAGCAAGACTCATTTTTTTTTTTTTTTTTTTTAAAAAAAAGAAAAAAGAAAATAGTATAATGGGTTGGGCCCGGTGGCTCACGCCTGTAATCCAGCACTTTGGGAGGCCAAGGTGGGCGGATCACCTGAGGTCAGGAGTTCAAGACCAGCCTGGCCAACATGGTGAACTCTTGTTTCTACTAAAAACACAAAAATTAGCTGGGCATGGTGGCAGGCACCTGTAATCCCAGCTACTTGGGAGGCTGAGTTAGGAGACTCACTTGAACCTGGGAGGTGGAGGTTTCAGTGAGCCAAGATTGTGCCATTGCAGTCCAGCCTGGGCAACAAGAGCGAGACTCCATCCCAAAAAAAACAAAAAACAAAAGACAACTATATATATATATATAAAATAACGAAACCCCCTAAGTACCTGTCACCCAGCTTCAACAATTATCATCTTGCAGTTAGTTGAATTTGGTTAACACTTACCCTTCAGTGGATTATTCTAGACTAAATTTCCAAACATAATCATATTGTATTGAAGTGTTTTTTGAACAAACTATACTATGGGGTATTTACCTAAAATGAACTATTTGCAAAAAGATAAGTTGATTTTTTTTCTTCTGGTGCCAGTACACATCATAATTGTAGTTAAAAGCTATTATCCTCACATTAAAGTTTAATTTTTAACACATTATGAAAATTTAAAACTTACAGCAAAGCTTTAAAAATTTTACACTGAACACCAATATTATTAACATCTAGATTCTACCTTTAACATTTTACTCTTCTTTTTTTTTTACTCTTCTTGTTTTATCACATATTGATCCATCTGTCCAACTCTCCATTGATGTAACATTTCATTTTATTTTCTTATTCATTTCAAAGTAAATTACAGATATTAGTATAGTTGAGGTTCAGTTTTTAAAGTCATATTTTCAACTAATTGTTTTTCCTGTTTTGAAAGACTGTTATATCTGAAGTTCCACATTATGACAACTCATAGTCTCTATGGTTCCAGTGCTTCCCATTTTGAACTTTTCTTTCATGTTCTACGAACCTTTATTAAAATATTTAGAGCTATGTACAAGTAATATATACAGTATTTAGCTAAAACTAAGTAGAATGAATGAGGGTTTTGCTTGTGTGTTTATTGCAGTCTTTAAAAAAAATCTCTTCTAGTGAGTCAATGTGTATCTTTTTTTTTTTTTTTTTTTTTTTTGAGACAGAGTCTTGCTCTGTCGCCCAGGCTGGAGTGCAGTGGCGTGATCTCTGCTCACTGCAAAGCTCCACCTCCCGGATTCATGCCATTCTCCTGCCTCAGCCTCCCGAGTAGCTGCGACTACAGGCGCCTGCCACCACGCCTGGCTAATTTTTTTTGTATTTTTTGTAGAGATGGGGTTTCATTATGTTAGCCAGGATGGTCTTGATCTCCTGACCTCGTGATCTGCCCGCCTCGGCCTCCCAAAATGCTGGGATTACAGGCATGAGCCACCGCGCCTGGCCAAGTCATTGCGTATCTTAAGATGGTACACTAAACTAATATGCTTGCCATTGGTGACAACATAGATGAACCTGGAGGACATTATGGCAAGTGAAGTTAGCCAGACGTGGAAAAAATAATACTTCATGACTTCAACCTATATGTGGAATCTAAGAATGCCAAGTCTGCAAAAGAAGAGAGTAGAAAAGTAGTTAAATGGGTAGGAAGGTGGGAGAAATGGGGAGATATTGGTTAAAGGTTACCAAGTTGGAATCACGTAGGATGACTAGGTCTAGAGATCTAATGTACAGCATGAACACTATAGTTAATAATACTGTATCATGTACTGGAAAGTTGTTAAAAGAGTAGATTTCAGGTGTTTTCAGCACACACAGAAAAAGATAACTATATGTGGAGATGGGACATTTTGCTTGACCATAGTAATCATTTCACTATGTATATGTATATCAAAACATTCATGTTGTACACTTTATTGATTGATTGATTGAGACAGGGTCTCTCGCTGTTGCCTCAGCTGGAGTGCAGAGGCATGATCACAGTTCACTGCCTGCTTGACCTCCCAGGCTCAAGCGATCATCCCACCTCAGCCCCCCAAGTAGCTGGGACTACAGGTGTATGCTACCATGCCTGGCTAATTTTTATAGTTTTTGTAGAGATGGGTTTTGCCGTGTTGCCCAGGCTGGTATTGAACTCCTGAGCTCAAGCAATCTGCCCGCCTCTGCCTCCCAAAGTGCTAGGATTACAGATATGAGCCACTGCGCCTGGCCATACCCTTTAAATATATACATAAAAAGAAGAATGCCTTTAAAAATTTTCCATTTAACAATTACTCTCAGGGCCAAAACTCACTGTTTAAGTATTTTGCTCTTTTACTTTGATCTTGGTGTTCTATGTAGTGCTAAAATATACTTTCATCTCCATATGACTGCTTGTAACAAAAAGCTGTTCACCACATTATGAACTCCCTGAATACACACAATAATCATATAGTAAATGCTTGTTGAATAAACAAGACAAAATTCATCAGTTTTTATCCTTACTTAATTTTTTGAACTTTTCCTTGAACTTCTGTTATCAAACTTAATACATGAACAACAGAAAGATGCTACGGATCTATGTAGTACAAAGTAAAATATGAAATTTACACACTAAATATTTCTGTAGCATATTTTCAGAAGTAAGTAATTGAATATAAACAGAAGCAAGCATATTCTATTTTTTTATTATTTAAGTGGGAAATATTTTAAAATCTTATGTCATATTTGCTTTAGATTTCTTTTAAAGAATTAAAACATTACAGATAGAGTTGAAGCCTCATGGGTTATTTTAATGTTTTCTACATAAACATGTTTCCATATACATAAACCTTATTTAGAATTTTTTCAGTTTATTTATTTATTTTTATTATTATACTTTAAGTTTTAGGGTACATGTGCACATTGTGCAGGTTACATACGTATACATGTGCCATGCTGGTGTGCTGCACCCACTAACTTGTCATCTAGCATTAGGTATATCTCCCAATGCTATCCCTCCCCCCTCCCCCCTCCCCCCACCCCACAACAGTCCCCAGAGTGTGATGTTCCCCTTCCTGTGTCCATGTGATCTCATTGTTCAGTTCCCACCTATGAATGAGAATATGTGGTGTTTGGTTTTTTGTTCTTGCGATAGTTTACTGAGAATGAAATTTTTTCAGTTTTATACGTTTATGTAAGTGGCACCATACAGTACATATTATTTTGCAACTTGCCTTTTTTTTTTTTGTTTGTTTGCTCAATGTTGTTTTTAGGATTTTGATGTAACTCCAGATCTGCACTGTCCAATACAATAGCCACTAACTATCTGTGGCTATTGAGTACTGGAAATGTAGCTAGTCCACATTGAGATGTGCTAGAAATATATTTGTACATGGAATTTCAAATATTTAGTATTAAAAACATGTAAAATATCTCACTAAAAGTTTAGTATCCCTAAGAATCTGAAATAGAAAATGCTCCAAAACCCAAAATTTTTTGATTACTGACATGACTCTCAAAGGAAATGCTCAAAGGTTTAATGCAAATATTCCAAAATCTGAAAAAATCTGATATATTGACCACATATGGAACTGATAATAGTTTGGATGTATTGGATTAAATAAAATGTAAAAATTTTACCAGTGGTTTCCTTTTTTAAAATATGGCTACTAGAAAATTTAAATATATATTTGAAATGCCTTACATTATATGTCTGTTGGGCAGCACTGATCTATATTGCCCACTTTTCATTCCTGTTTATTTATTATTATTTTATTTTTATTTTTATTTTTTGAGACAGAGTCTCGCTGGGTCGCCCAGGCTGGAGTGCAGTGGTGCTATCTTTGCTCACTGCAGCTGCTGCCTCCCAGGTCCAAGCAATTCTCTTGCCTTGGCCTCCCAAGCAGCTGCGATTACAGCTGTGCACCACCACACTTGGCTAATTTTTGTATTTTTAGTAGAGACGGGGTTTCTCTGTGTTGGCCAGGCTGGTCTCGAACTCCTGACCTCAAGTGATCCACCTGCCTTGGCCTCCCAAAGTGCTGGGATTACAGGTGTGAGTCACTGCTCCCAGCCTTCACTCCTGTTTAGTATTAAGTTATATAGATAATAGTTTGCTACTGGTGGATAGTTGTTGTTTTTTTTTTTTACGAATTTGGTGCTACTAAAGACTGTTCTCATGAGCATTCTTAAACATGTCTCCTTTGCACATATGCTAGAGTTTCTTTCTCCCTAATGGTTCTTCTGATTTATACTTCCACTGGCAGTTTGAGAATGTTCTTGTTCTGCAGTTCTTCATCCTGGTCGATGTTTTTGTGTAGATAACTGTAATTTAATACTTAAAGTCAAAAGCATAAGGAAGCATTGGTAATTATTTAAGTGAATATAAAATGTCAGCTTATTTTTCTCAGTGAATCTTTTGTAATAGTCAACTCACATTGCCTATTTTTTATTGTAGTGCTTCTGATCTGAATAAATAAATTTAAAATTTAACAGCCATGTTATGTATCTTATTAGTAGGCAGCTGCAGTTATGCAACCAAAGAATGTCCCATCTTTAAGTTCCATTAGCTTGAAAAAGAAATGGCAGCTTTACGTCATGGAATACTGTGCTGCCACTAAAAATGATGTTTTAGAAGAATATTTAATGATGCAGAAAAATATTCACAGTATCTTAATGGAAAGAAAAGATTATAAAGCAGTAACCATTTCGTTTTGTTAAAATCAGGTCTATGTTAGCTTTTTTTTTTTGAGATGGAATCTCGCTCTGTCACCCAGGCTAAAGTGCAGTGGCGTGATCTCGGCTCACTGCAACCTCCGCCTCCTGGGTTCAAGTGATGCTCCTGCCTCAGCCTCCCTAGTAGCTGGGATTACAGGAGCATGCCACCACACCCGGCTAATTTTTTTGTATTTTTAGTAGAGATGGGGTTTCACCATGTTGGCCAGGCTGGTCTTGAACTCCTGACCTCAAGTGATCCACCCGCCTTGGCCTCCCAAAGTGCTGGGATTACAGGTGTGAGCCACCGTGCCCGGCGAGCATTTCCTTACATGCTTATCTCTGGATGGTCAGATTGTAGGTAACTTCTATTTTGCACTTCACACTTTTTTTTTTTTTCTTGAGATGGAGTTTCGCTCTTGTTGCCCAGGCTAGAGTGCAATGGCGTCATCTTGGCCCACTGCAAACTCCGTGTCCCGGGTTCAAGCGATTCTCCTGCCTCAGCTTCCAGAGTAGCTGGGATTACAGGCGCCCGCCACCACACCTGCCTAATTTTTAGTATTTTTAGTAGAGACAGAGGTTCACCATGTTGGCCAGGCTGGTCTCGAACTCCTGACCTCAAGTGATCCACTCGCCTCGGCCTCCCAAAGTGCTGGGATTACAGGCGTGAGCCACCGTGCCCAGCCTGTACTTCACACTTTTAATATTTCATTTTCTGTAGTGGATTTACTATTACCAGGGAAGGGGAATGCAAGGAGGAGGGAAGAGTTCTTAACCTAAAATTTTCATAGTTGGAATATTATTATAGGAAAGAAGAGATTGAATGAGGTGTCACTGTTCCCATGTTTAAAGATAAGTCAATTGGGAGGCCGAGGCAGGTGAATCACGAGGTCAGGAGTTCAAGACCAGCCTGGCCAATATGGAGAAACCCCATCTCTACTAAAAATACAAAAATTAGCTGAGCGTGGTGGCAGGGGCCTGTAATCCCAGCTACTCGGGAGGCTGAGGGAGGAGAATGGCTTGAACCCAGAGGGTGGAGGTTGCAGTGAGCTGAGATCGTGCCACTGCACTCCAGCCTGGGCGACAGAGTGAGACTTTGTCTCCAAAAAAAAAAAAAAAGATAATACTTTCCTTCTATTCAATTTCAGGCTTTTCTTAAGTTACAAATGGAACCAGCCAAACTATGTTATTGCTTACCCATTGTTTTTCCAGCGTTAGAGGAGTTTTTCAAAGAATATTTTTTGATTTAGAGATTATTTTATTTATTATCTATTTAGAGATTATTCATCATTTAGAGATTGCCATTTAATTTCAGTAAGAGTTCCATTTGCATCTGATATTTTTTAGTTTCGGAGAAAGGAAATGGTGGAGAAATGGATTCATCTCCAATCCTTTGGAATAAAATTCAGACAGTTTAAGCTCTAGTCTCAACTTGATTTAATTTGGAATTGCATGATGTGGTGTCAGATTTGGGTTCACATCCAGTTCTCTTGCTGTGTAACCTTGGGAAATTTACCCAGCATCTGAGTTGTTTCTTCATGTGTGCAGTGGAGACAATACCAAGATGAAGATTTCATGAGATGTCTAGTGTAGACATCTATTTTTCAGAGTGGATGCATTTAACAGTTGGATGCTGAATTTATAAGAGTATGGATTTCATAAAAAGAGCATAAATTTCATGATATGATGTATATATCAAAAGATATAGGTCGGGTGCAGTGGTTCATGCCTGTAGTCCCAGCACTTTGGGAAGTTGAAGCGGATGGATCACTTGATGCCAGGAGTTCGAGACCAGCCTGGCCAACATGGTGAAACTTCGTCTCTACTAAAAATACAAAAATTAGCCAGGCGTGGTGGTGTGTGCCTGTAATCCCAGCTACTTGGGAGGCTGAGGCAGGAGAATTGCTTGAACCCAGGAGGCAGTGGTTGCAGTGAGCCGATTTTGTGCCACTGCACTCCAGCCTGAGTGACAGATTGAGACTCCATCTTAAAAAAAAAAAAATGATGGCTGAATAGGAACAGCTCTGGTCTGCAGCTCCCAGTGAGACCAAAATGTAGAAGGCGGGGGATTTCTTCATTTCCAACTGAGGTACCCAGTTCATCTCATTGGGACTGGTTAGGCAGTGGGTGCAGCCCATGGAGGGTAGCAGAAGCAGGGTGGGGCGTCGCCTCTCCCGGAAGTGCAAGGAGCGAGAGATCTCCCTTCCCCAAGCCAAAGGAACCCGTGAGTCTATGCTATCCGGCACAGATACTACACTTTTCCCATGATTTTTGCAGTCCGCAGACCCGGAGATTCCTTAGTGTGCCAACTCCACCAGCCCTGGGTTTCAAGCACAAAACTGGGCATCTGGGCAGACAGTGAGCTAGCTGCAGGAGTTTTTTTTTTTTCCCCCTCTTCATACCCCAGTGGTGCCTGGAACCCCAGTGAGATAGACCCATTCACTCCCCTGGAAAGGGGGCTGAAGCCAGGGAGCTAGGTGGTCTTGCTTAGCGGGTCCCACTCCCACAGAACCCAGCAAGCTAAGAACCACTGGCTTGAAATTCTCATTGCCAACACAGCAGTCTGAAGCTGACCTGTGAAGATTGAGCTTGGTGAGGGGAGGGGCGTCTGCCATTACTGAGGCTTGAGTAGGCAGTTTTCCCCTGACAGCACTAAGGAGGCTGGGAAGTTCAGACTGGGCAGAACTCACCACAGCGTGGCAAAGTGGCTATGGCCAGACTGCGTCTCTAGATTCTTCCTCTCTGGGCAGGGCATCTCTGAAAGAAAGGCAGCAGCCCCAGTCAGGGGCTTATAGATAAAACTCACATCTTCCTGGGACAGATAACCTGTGGGAAGGTGCAGCTGTGGGCGCAGCTTCAGCAGACTTAAATGTTCCTGCCTGCTAGGTCTGAAGAAAGCAGTGGATCCTGACAAGGAGGATTCTCCTAGCACAGCACTTGAGCTCTGCTAGGGGACAGACTGCCTCCTCAAGCGGGTCCCTGACCCCAGTGCCTCCTGACTGGGAGAGACCTCCCAGCAGGGGTTGACAGACACGTCACACAGGAGAGCTCCCGTGGGCATCAGGCTGGTGCCCTTCTGGGACGAAGCTCCCAGAGGAAGGAGCAGGCAGCAATATTTGCTGTTCTCCAGCCTCCGCTGGTGATACCCAGGCAAACAGGGTCAGGAGTGGACCTTTAGCAAATTGCAGCAGACCTGCATAAGAGGGGCCTGTTAGATGAAAAACTAACAAATAGAAAGCAATAATATCAACATCAACAAAAAGGACCCCCACACAAAAACCCCATCAAAAGGTCATCAGCCTCAAAGATCAAAGGTAGATAAATCCACGAAGATGAGGAAAACCCAGTGCAAAAATGCTGGAAATTCCAAAAACCCGAATGCCTCTTCTCCTTCAAATGAACACAGCTCCTCTCTAGCAAGGCCGCAAAACTGGACGGAGAATGAGTTTGACGAATTGACAGAACTAGGCTTCAGAAGGTGGGTAATAACAAACTCCTCTGAGCTAAAGGAGCATGTTCTAATCCAATGGAAGGAAGCCAAGGAACTTGATAAAAGGTTACAAGAACTGCTAACTAGAATAACCAGTTTAGAGGACATAAATGACCTGATGGAGCTGAAAAACACAGCACAAGAACTTCGTGAAGCATACACATGTATCAATAGTCAAATCGCTGAAGCGGAAAAAAGGATATCAGATATTGAAGATGAACTTACTGAAATAAGGCATGAAGACAAGATTAGAGAAAAAAGGTTGAAAAGGAACAAACAAAGCCTCTGAAAAAATATGGGACTATGTGAAAAGACCAAACCTATGATTGATTGGGGTCCCTGAAAGTGATGGGGAGAATGGACCCAAGTTGGAAAACACACTTCAGGGTATTATCCAGGAGAACTTCCACAGCCTACCAAGACAGGCCAACGTTCAAATCAGGAAATACAGAGAACACCACAAAGATACTCCTTGAGAAGACCAACCCCAAGACACATAATCGTCAGATTCTCCAAGGTTGAAATGAAGGAAAAAATGTTAAGGGCAGCCAGAGAGAAAGGTCGGGTTACCCACAAAGGGAAGCTCCCAGAGGAAGGATATCTGGGCAGAAACCCTACAAGCCAGAAGAGAGTGGGGGCCAATAGTCAACATTCTTAAAGAAAAAACTTTTCAACCCAGAATTTCACATCCAGCCAAACTAAGCTTCGTAAGCGAAGGAGGAATAAAATCCTTTACGGACAATCAAATGCTAAGAGATTTTGTCACCACTAGACCTGCCTTATAAGAGCTCCCGAAGGAAGCACTAAATACAGAAAGGAAAAACTGGTACTAGCCACTGCAAAAACATTCCAAATTGTAAAGACCATCGACACTATAAAGAAACTGCATCAACTAACGGTCAGAATAACCAGCTAGCATCATAATGACAGGATCAAATTCACACATAATAATATGAACCTTAAATGTAAAAGGGCTAAATGCCCCAATTAAAAGGCACAGACTGGCAAATTGGATAAAGAGTCAAGACCCATTGGTGTGCTGTATTCAGAAGACCCATCTGATGTGCAAAGACACACATAGGCTCAAAATAAAGGGTTGGAGGAATATTAACCAAGCAAATGGAAAAAACAAAAAAAAAAGGGGTGTTGTAATCCTAGTCTCTGATAAAACAGACTTTAAACCAACAAAGTTCAAAAAAGGACAAAGAAGGGCATTACATAATGGTTAAGGGATCGATGCAACAAGAAGAGCTATTTTAAATGTATATGCTTCCAATACAGGAGCACCCAGATTCATAAAGCAAGTTCTTAGAGACCTACAAAGAGACTTAGATTCCCACACAATAATAGTGGGAGACTTTAACACCACACTGTCAATATTAGACAGATCACTGAGACAGAAAATTAACAAAAATATTCAGGACGTGAACTCAGCTCTGGACCAAGCAGACCTAATAGTAACCTACAGAACTCTCTACCACAGATCAACAGAATATACGTTCTTCTCAGCACATCACACTTATTCACTCAAAACCCCACAACTACATGGAAACTGAACAACCTGCTCCTGAATGACTGCTGGTAAATAACGAAATTAAGGCAGAAATAAAGAAGTTCTTTGAAACCAATGAGAACAAAGAGACAACGTACCAGAAATCTCTGGGACACAGATAAAGCAGTGTTTAGAGGGGAATTTATATCACTAAATGCCCCCATCAGAAAGCAGGAAAGATCTAAAATGAACACCCTGATATCACAATTAAAAGAACTAGAGAAAAAGAGCAAACAAATTCAAAAGCCAGCAGAAGACAAGAAATAACTAAGTTCAGAGCAGAACTGAAGGAGATAGAGACATGAAAACCTCTCCAAAAATCAATGAATCAAGGAGCTGGTTTTTTGAAAAGATTAACAAAATAGACCATGAGCCAGACTAATAAAGAAGAAAAGAGAGAAGAATTAAATAGACACAATAAAGAATGATAAAGGGGATATCACCACTGATCCCACAGAAATACAGACTACCATCAGATAATATTATAAACACCTCTACGCAAATAAACTAGAAAATCTAGAAGAAATGGATAAATTCCTGGAAACATATACCCTCCCAAGGCTAAACCAGGAAGAAGTTGACTCCCTGAATAGACCAATAACAAGTTCTGAAATTGAGGCAGTAATTAATAGCCTACCAACCAAAAAAAGCCCAGGAGCAGATGGATTCACAGCCGAATGATACCAGAGGTACAAAGAGGAGCTGGTACCATTCCCTCTGAAACTATTCCAAGCAATAGAAAAAGAAGGATTCCTTCCTAACTCATTTTATGAGGCAAGCATCATCCTGATACCAAAACCTGTCAGAGACACAACCAAAAAAGGAAATTTCAGGCCAATATCCCTGATGACCATCGATGTGAAAATCCTCAATAAAATACTGGCAAACAGAATCCAGCAGCACATCAAAAAGCTTATCCACCATTATCAAGTCTGCTTCATCTCTGTGATGCAAGGCTGGTTCAACATACGCAAATCAATAAAAGTAATCAATCACATAAACGGAACCAGTGACAAGAACCACATGATTATCTCAATGGATGCCGAAAAGGCCTTCGATAAAATTCAACACCCCTTCATGCTAGAAACTCTCAATAAATTACGTATTGATGGAACATATTTCAAAATAATAAGAGCTATTTATGACAACCCATAGCCAGTATCATACTGAATGGGCAAAAGTTGGAAGCATTCCTTTTGAAAACCAGCACAAGACAAGGATGCCCTCTCTCACCACTCCTATTCAACATAGTGTTGGAAGTTCTGGCTAGGCAAGAGAAAGAAATAAAGGTTATTCAAATAGCAAGACAGGAAATCAAATTTTCTCTGTTTGCAGATGACATGATTGTATATTTAGAAAACCCCATCATCTCAACCCAAAAACTCCTTGAGCTGATAAGCAACTTCAGCAAAGTCTCAGGATACAAAATCAGTGTGCAAAAATCATAAGCATTCCTATGTACCAATAATAGACAAACAGCCAAATTATGAAGGAACTCCCTTTCACAATTACTACAAAGAGAATAAAATACCTAGGAATGCAACTTACAAGGGGTGTGAAGGGCCTCTTCAAGGAGAACTACAAACCACTGCTTGAGGAAATAAGGACGCAAACAAATGGAAAAACATTCCATGCTCATGGATGGGAAGAATCAATATCGTGAAAATGGCCATACTGCCCAAAGTAATTTACAGAGTCAATGCTATTCCTATCAAGCTACCATTGACTTTCTTCACAGAACTAGGAAAAACTACGTAGAGCCAAAACAATCCTAAGCAAAAAGAACAAAGCTGGAGGCATCCTGCTACCTGACCTCAAACTATACTACAAGGCTCCAGTAACCAAAACAGCATGGTACTGGTACCAAAACAGATATATAGAACAATGGAACAGAACCGAGGCCTCAGAAATAACACCACACATCTACAACCATCTGATCTTCAACAAATCTGACAAAGACAAGCAATGGGGAAAGGATTCCCTGTTTTATAAATGGTGCTGGGAAAACTGGCTAGCCATATGCAGAAAACAGAAACTGGACCCCTTCTTTAGAGCTTATACAAAAATTAACTCAAGATCGATTAAAGACTTAAATGTAAAACCTAAAACCATAAAAACCCTAGAAGAAAACCTAGGCAATACCGTTCAGGACATAGGCATGGGCAAAGACTTCCATGACTAAAACACCAAAAGCAATGGCAACAAAAGCCAAAATTGACAAATGAGATCTAATTAAAGAGCTTCCACACAGCAAAAAAACTATCATTGGAGTGAACAGGCAGCCTACAGAATGTGAGAAAATTTTTGCAATCTATGCATCTGACAAAGGGCTAATATCCAGAATCTACAAGGAACTTAAATTACAAGAAGAAAACAACTCCATCAAAAAGTGGGTAAAGGATATGAACAGACATTTCTCAAAAGAAGACATTTATGTGGCCAACAAATGTGAAAAAAAGCTCATCATCACTGGTCATTAGAGAAATGCAAATTAAAACCACAATGAGATACCATCTCACGCCAGTTAGAATGGCGATTATTAAAAAGGCAGGAAACAACAGATGCTGGAGAGGATGTGGAGAAATAGGAACACTTTTACACTTTTGGTGGAAGGGTAAATTAGTTCAACCATTGTGGAAGACAGTGTGGCTATTCCTCAAGGATCTAGAAACCAGAAATACAATTTGACCCAGCAATCCCATTACTGGGTATATACCCAAAGGATTATAAATCATTCTACTATAAAGACACATGTACCTGTATGTTTATTGCAGCACTATTTACAATAGCAAAGACTTGGAACCAACTCAAATGCCCATCAATGACAGACTGGATAAGGAAAATGGGGCACATATACACCATGAAATACTATGCAGCCATAAAAAAGATTGAGTTCGTGTCTTTTGCAGGTACATGGATGAAGCTGTAAGCCATCATTGTCAGCAGAGTAACACAGTAACAGAAAACCAAACACTGCACGTTCTCACTCATAAGTGGGAGTCGAACAGTGAGAACACATGGGCACAGGGAGGGGAACGTTACACATTGGGGCCTGTCAGGGGTTGGGGGGCAAGGGGAGGGAGTGCATTAGGACAAATATAATGCATGTGGGGCTTAAAACCTAGATGATGGGTTGATAGGTGCAGCAAACCACCATGGCACATCTATACCTGTGTAACAAACCTGCATGTTCTGCACATGTATTTCAGATCGTAAAGTAAAAAAAAAAAGATATGGAAGTTACTATGCGCGTTAATAAAATATGTTTATACCTCCTCCCTTAGGTGTCTATTATGTAGAACAAGTTTATTACATTCTAATGATAAAGTAAACACTCTGTTTTCAAAGGTGGTGTTATACGTTTGTGTATCTTTTGCCCCGGGCATGATGATTTCATCGTTTGTGTAATAAATTTAATACTACCATAGTCTCCCCTTATTCACACGGGATAAGTTCCAAGACCCCAATGGATGCCTGAAACTGTGGATAGTACTGAATCCTATATACACTTATGTTTTTTTCCTGTACACTCATATTTATGATAAAGTTTAACTTATAAATTGTGCACAGTGAGAGACTGACAATAACTATAATAAAATAGAACAATTATAACAATATACTGTAATAAAATTTATGTGAATTTGGTTTCAAAATATCTTATTGTACTGTACTCACCCTTATGATGATGATGTTAGATGATAAAATGCTTATGTGATGTGATGAAGGTAGGTGAATTATGTTAGGCATTGTAATGCAGCATGAAGCTACTATTGACCTTCTGGTGTTACATCAGAAGGAGGATCATCTGCTTGGGTGGTCCTGAATCATCACGTCCTGATGATGTCTGTTGCTGGTTGTCAGGAGCAGACAGTGTCCATGACTAATGGGCAGGCAGCGTATATAGCATGTATACACTGGACAAAGGGATGTCTCATGTCCACGGCTGGACAGAGCAGGAGAGTGCAAGATTTTGTCACACTACTCAGAATCGTGCAGTTTAAAACTTACCAATTGTTTATTTCTGGAATTTTCCGTTTAATATTTTTGGACTGCAGTTGACCACAGGTAACTGAATTCATGGAAAGCAAAACAACCATGGACAAAGTGGGATTACTGTATTATTTCAGATTTTAATTAGCATTTTTCAAAACTCTGTCTAGCTAGTGCTTGCATTGTAGAATTTGTCTGATTTCATTTTTATTGATTAGGGAAATAAGCTTTATTTTTATCTGGAGTGATTTGTTTCTTTGTGCTTCCTCAAAATTGAGTAGTGGCTACTGAGTATATATCGAAAAGGAAATAAATTATTATGTCAAAAAGATACCTACATTTGTATGTTGATTGTAGCACTGTTCACAAGATTAAAGATATGGAATCAACCTAAGTGATGAAGAAAATTGGTGTGTGTGTGTGTTTGTGTGTATACATACACACTGTGGAATAATACTATTCAGCCACAAAAAAGAAAAAAAAATCATGTCTTTTGCAGCAACATGGATGGGACTGGAGGCCATTATCCTAACTGAAATAACTCAGAAAGTCAAATACTACATGTTCTCACTTACAGGTGGGAACTTAAATGGTTACACATAGAATAGAGTAGAATAATAGACATTGGAGACTCCAAAAGGTGAGAGGGTGGCAGGGGGGTGAGGGTTGAAAAATTACCTATTGAGTACTTTGTTCAGTATTTGGGTGATGGGTACACTAAAATCCCACTTTACCACCATGCAATATATGCATGTACGAAATCTGCACTTGTACCCCCTAAATATATACAAATAAAAGTTTTTTAAAACACTTAGTAAATAGCCTGTCATAGGGAATAATTGAAACCATTTCGTATCTCACTTTAAAACCTTTAGGCTGGGTGCTGTTGCTTATGCCTATAATCCTAGCACTCTGGGAGGCCGAGGTGGGTGGATCACCTGAGGTCAGGAGTTCGAGACCAGCCTGGCCAACATGGCGAAATCCCATCTCTACTAAAAATATAAAAATTAGCCAGTCATGGTGGCACACGCCTGTAATGCCAGCTCCTTGGGAGGCTGAGGCGGGAAAATCACTTGAACCCAGGAGGCGGAGGTTACAGTGAGCCGAGATCACACCACTGCACTCCAGTCTGGGCAACAGAGCGAGACTCCATCTCCAAAAAAAAAAATAAAAATAAAAATAAAAAACCTTTTTAGTTCTGTTTCAATGTTATCTTCTTTTTATTTAATTATTTTTGGAATAAGAAATAATATTTATATGGTTTGAACACCAAAAGGTATAAAAGATATTTTTAAAGGTATAAAGTATAAAAGTTAGAAATTTCCCCCACTTCCCTGTTCTCTGTTCCCACAGCTGCCAGCAGCTTACCACCCCCCAGCCCAATCACTGCTACTGATGCCTAACCTATCTTTCCAGAGTTCTTTGTGTGTTCAGTAGCAGTTAACCACAGATCTTTAATCATTCCCCTTTATACCATAAAAGGTGGCATGTTATGTACACTTGCCTCCCCTTTGCTTTTTCCACTTAATGTGTCTTGAGAAGCTTTCCATATATCAGTACATGGAAAACTTTCTTATATTGTTTTATTTTAAATTTATATACAATAAATGCATGGATCAGAAAAATAATTGAATAGTGGGCCCCAAATTAAATGATTACTCTAATGATTTGTAGATGGGTTTAGTTAAAGCACTGGGATATTTAGCTACAGGTATAGGAATGCATGATTATTTTCTGTCAGGAAACCTAGATTTTGTTCTTCTCCCCTTCTTTATCAAAGGTGAAATCAGACTCTTATTTAAACCAGGATTAAGTATTCTTTGCATAATAATATATATTTGCTTTCCCAAGTTATTCTTCAGGAAAGTCTTGACTCTCTAGCAAACTTTGTTTCTTAAAATGGAGGTTAGCAGGTGTTGGAAATAAGGTGAGAGTTTTAACACTTAAAGGAAACTATATAAAGATTAGATATAGTCAGAAATTTAGAAAACATTAGGAAATTCACAGAGAGATGGATCCCCCTTTTCTACCCTAGATTACCCCTGGGCTGCTTAATGGCTTGTCTTTACTATTAGATTGTGAGCTCCTTGAGGTCAGGTTTTATCTGTTTTTTATTTCAATACCAAGTGCCAAGAATATATTCAGCATTTGGTGTAAATATTATAAAATGAGTAAATGAATGTGCTCTTGAATAGAAGTTAACTCTGATTTTGGGTTAAGTCCCCCGCCCCCTTTTTTTGAGACAGTCTCACTCTATAGCTCAGGCTGGAGTGCAGTAGCGCAGTCTCAGCTCACTGCAACCCCCTTCTCCGGGGTTCAAGCAATTCTTATGCCTCAGCCTCCCAAGTAGCTGGGATTACAGGTGTGTGCCACCACACCCGGCTGATTTTTGTATTTTTAGTAGAGATGGGGTTTCACCATGTTGGCCAGGCTGGTCCTGATCTCCTGACCTTAGGTGATCTGCCTGCCTTGGCCTCTCAAAGTGCTGGGATTACAAGTATGATCTACTGCGTCTGGCTGATTTTGTGTTAAAATCCTTTATGTCAGTTCCAGAAGAGGTTAAATGGAAGTTTTCGAGGCAAGAGATACTTGTGAATTTGACATGAGTGGCCTTTGTTTTGAAATTTTAATGCTACACAGATGCTGTAAAAGGATTTTTTCAGGCCGGGCGCGGTGGCTCACGCCTGTAATCCCAGCACTTTGGGAGGCCGAAGCGGGTGGATCACGAGGTTAGGAGATCGAGACCATCCTGGCCAACATGGTGAAACCTCATCTCTACTAAAAATACAAAAATTAGCCGGGCGTGGTGGTGTGCGCCTGTAGTCTCAGCTACTCAGGAGGCTGAGGCAGGAGAATTGCTTGAACCCGGGAGGTGGAGGTTGCAGTAGAGCCGAGATCGCGCCACTGCAACTCCAGCCTGGGCCACAGAGCAAGACTCCATCTCAAAAAAAGGGTTTTTCAAAAAATCATGTACAATTAGAAAATTGTGTCTCTTAAATCTATTTGCTTATGTTATTAATCCCAGATTATGACTGTTCTTTCCCCTAAGGCATTAGCCTGTTGAAAGAAACAGACCTATAGGACTTTTGTTGATGTTAAAGCCAGACCAGAAATTTAGAAAATCAGGATATTTGCCATTTTGATAAGAAAACCATTTAATAGTTGAATATAGGAATTTGCATTTTGAGAGTGTGTACTAATTTAGATTCTCCAGGAATAGAACCATCATCTGAAAATAAATAAGTTTAACCAGACGGACAAGGAGTGATATGTAGTTTTAGGTGGTAAGACTGTGATATTGTTAGGTTACATGTATCTAGGGCAAGATGCTCAAATACAATAAGTATATACAGACTAGGAACTCTAGTTGTCTTTTTTTAATTAATGAAAAGAGGGTTTTATGCTTCATTTCTAAACATTCTCAAAGGAATTTATGTTTTGTTGATGATCTTTTTTTATTTATATAAATTTACGGGGGTACTTGTGCACTTTTTTTTTAAACATGGATAGATTACAGAGCCGTCAAGTCAAGCCTTTAGAGTTTCCATCACCCAAATAACACACATTGTATTCATTAAGTAATTTCTCATGATCTCCCACCTCCTGCTCTCTCACCTTTCCAAGTCTGTTATCTATCATTCCATGCTCTACGTCCATGTGTACACATTTTTCAGCATCCACATGTGAATGAGAACATGTGTTATTCCCACCAACAGTGTATGAGTGTTCCCTTTTCTCTGCAACCTCACCAACTTGTGTTATTTTTTGTCTTTTTAGTAATAGTCATTCTAACTGGGGCTGGATGATACCTCATTGTGGGTATTTTTAAAATAAAAAAAAATTTGTGTGTACATAGGTATATTTATTTATGGGGTACATGAGATAATATTGATACAGACATACAATGTTCAATAACTACATCAGGGTTGTATCCATCACCAAGCATTTATCCTTTCTTGGTGTTAGAAACAATCTAGTTTCTAATCTCTAATAGTTTCTAATCTCTAGTAGTTATATTAAAATGCATAATGAATTATTATTGACTGTAGTCACCCCATTGTGCTATCAAATGCTAGGTCTTATTCATTCTATCTAACTATATTTTTATACATATTAGCCATCCCCACTGTGCCACCATCCCCATTAGTGCCCTGGCCCCCACTACCCGTCCTAGCCTCTGGTAACCATCATTCTACTCTCTATCTCTATGAGTTCAATTGTTTTGATTTTTAGATACCACAAATAAGTGAGAACATGTGAAGTTTGTTTTTCTATGTCTAGATTATTTCACTTAATATAATGACCTACAGTTCCATCCATGTTGTTGCAATGACAGGATCTCATACTTTTTTAAGGGCTGAATAGGACTCCATTGTGTATGTGTAACACATTTTCTTTATTCGTCCGTCTGTTGATGGACACTCAGGTTACTTCCAAATCTTGGTTATTGTGAATAGTGCTGCAGTAATCATGGGAGTGCAGATAACTCTTTGATATACTGATTTCCTTTCTTTGGGGTACATATTTAGCAGTGGAATTGCTGGATTATATGGTAGCTCTCTAGTTTTTTTTTTTTTTTTTTTTTTTCATTTTTGAGACAGGGTCTCACTCTGTTGCCCAGGCTGGAATGCAGTGGCGGAGGTTCACTTCAGCCTCAACCTCGCAGGCTTAGGGGATCCACCCACTTCAGTCTTCCAAGTAGCTGGGACTATAGGCGCATACCACCATGCCCAGCTAGGTTTTTGTTGTTGTTGTTGTTGTTGTTGAGGCAGAGTCTCACTCTGTCACCCAGGCTGGAGTGCAGTGGTGCGATCTCGGCTCACTGCAACCTCTGCCTCCTCGGTTCAAGCCATTCTCCTGCCTTAGCCTCCCAAGCAGCTGGGATTACAGGCGCCCACCACCATGCCTGGCTAACCCAGCTAGTTTTTAATTGTTCGTAGAGATGGGGTTTCACCATGTTGTCTAGACTGGTCTCGAACTCCTCGACTCAAGTGATCCTCCTGCGTTGGTGTCTCAAAGTGCTGGGATTGCAGGCACAAGGCACCGTGCCTGGTCAGAATTTTTTTTTAAGGGTTTCTCCTTTGTAAATTTCTTATTCATATCTTGAATTGATTTTCTGAGTTTCTTGTATTGGTTTTCAGACTTTTCTTGCATCTCAGTGACCCTTAAAATCAATATTTTGAATATTTTATCTGGGATTTTGTGGATTTCATTTTGGTTAAGATCTGTTGCTGCAGAATCGTGTTCCTTTGACAGTGTCATATTACCTTGGTTTCTGATGTTTCCTTTGTCTTTTCATTGATTTCTGTGCATGTGCTGTAACAGTCACTTCTTATCTTTGAATTTACTTTCATGGTGAGGGGAGATTTCTTCCTGAAGATGTGACTATAATGTTGGTTGGGCCTTGCTTCTGGGTGCGTGCAGTAGTGAAGTCTCTGTATGATTTATTTTGAGACAGCTCTGTTGCCCAGGCTGGAGTGCAGTGGCACATTCATAGCTTGCTTCAGCCTCAAAGTCCTGGGCATAAGTGATCCTTCTGCCTCAGCCTCCTGAGTACCTAGGACTACAGGCGTGTGCCACCATGCCTGGCTAATTTTCAATTTTCTTTTAGAGATGGGGGTCTCATTATATTGCCCAGGCTGGTCTTGAACTCCTGGTCTCAAGCAATCCTCTCTCCTTGGCCTCCCAAAATGTTAGGATTACAGGCATGAACCACCGTGCCCAGCCTCTGTATGATTTCTTTGGCTATAAATAGCATTAATGGTGTCTGTGGTTTCCTTGATGTCTTAGCTTGAGTTTATTTGTGGAGGCTGAAGTTGCGCTGGGGATTGGAATGCCTAATAGGCCTGTCTTTAGGTTTCAATGGTAGTGATGGTGGGCTAAGCATGTCTATCCATGTGCCCTGGGGCAGTGTGTGCTGGTAACTGTGTTGGCAGTTCCAGGCAGGCTGATTCTTGGGCTTCTGAGTGACTTTCTCAGATGCCTGTTGTAATGGTGTACCAGGTGGGTGAGCTGGCTCTTGAGCTCCTGGGCAACTGGCATGGCATAGTTTATGGTGGTAGTAGTTTTGTTGAGATACTCTTGTGGGTCCCAAGCACTTTGCATTTGTGTTAGCAGTGGTTACAATGAGATCCAGGCCAGTAAGGTGGTACTTGCAGGCATGAGGCAGCTGAGGCGGTACTGGTAGGGTGTTATCCCTGACCTCTGTCCCCTGGGAGAAGTACTCTGGTGTTTCAGAGTGTTTCAGGTAGTGGGTTTGGTTGTGGAATCCCCTGGTAACCTGGATCCTGCACTGTTTCTCAGCCAGGTCAAAGCCTGGTAGAGCTGGACTGGGAAAGCTTGCACTCAGGCCCCCACAGTGGTGTAATGTCATGATAGGCGGGGTGGAATGATCTTCAGGCTGCTGGCAAAATGCTTGGGTGAGGGATGAGTGCCACTGCTGAGATCCTGCCATGGGGAAGTTGGGCCTGGTCCCAGGAGTGAGTTGTGTTCCTTTCATGCCCCAGTCCAGGCGGAGTTCCTTCCTCTTGTCCCTGCTGTTCAGTCAGAACTCTGCAGTTCTTGCCTAGTCCCTAAATCATCCCAGGGTCGGGTCATATAAGCCCCATCCAGCTCAAGACTTAAGCCTCCAGGGCAATTAATCGTGCTCAAATCCTGGGGGTGGTGTTTGCTTCTAGCACTGGTGGTGGCTGCATCCCACACCAGGCAGAGCCACCCCATCCCCGCCCCTACTCACACTCTGCCTCTCCAAACAGCAGCCCAAGTTTCCCTAATGGCTAGGACTGGCCCTGTTGCTTCCCCGTACTGCTCACAGTTATGAGCTGAGATCCTGCATCGTGTCTTGTTACAGCTGCTTAGGTTTCAAAAATGGCATGGGACACAGAATGTGTTCCCTCCCTGAAACAGTTCTTTCTCACAGTCTTCCAGTCATTCCCTAAATTAATTAGATTCAGGGCTTAAGAGGGTCAGGGTGCTCTACTGAGGACTGGATTGTATGGTAGTGGACCACAGAAAAATACTCACCCTCTCCCATATTGGGGAATCACTTCTGGTTCCCTGTGGGTCCCAGCCACACAGGCTCTCTGTTTTCCTTTTGCTTCCTAGATTTTGGTTTTTGCTGTCGCTTTTCTGTTGAACTCCTGTGTTCCCTCTGGGATAATATATCCAAAGTGTCATTGTCTACACAATTTTAGCTCTTGTACCTGGATGAGGCACGCTTGAAATTCTTGCAGTCATCCATCTTTTCCTGATCTTGTTTCTTCTGCCCCATTCCCCAGGTTCCTCCAGGGTCTCACAGTTCCCCTGTATGTGGGAAAGGCAGTTTTCTTTCTGCCCAATCCTGCTTCTCCTTTGTCCACCCAGATGAGGTTTCCGCTAGAATTGCTACTTAAAGTGGTTCTGTGGAACATTTTGTAGCAGAGAAAATCAGGGCTGAGGGAGCACCATAAAGGTTAGAAAAGATTAGAACATTAGGTTAGAAAATCTGAACTACTCTACCTGTCTTGATTAGGAGGATTAGAGTTGATGTTGGATGGGTTTGTTGGTTTATTTTCCACTTATCTATCAGAATGAAGAACTTACTGCCTTTTCTTCTTAGTTGGTCTAATATTTATCACTTTAATTATTTTTAAGTGTACAATTCAGTGGCATTAAATATATTTATAATGTATCATGATCATTACTACCTATGCCCAAAACTTTTTCATCATCCCCAACAAAACTCTATATCCAAAAAAAAATAAAACCCTCTATATGTACATGGAACAATTAAGTTGGGCCCCTATCTTGCACCATATAAAACAGTTAAATGCATCAAAGATCTTAACGTTAACAGCTAAAATTATAAAACTCTTAGCAGAAAACATTTGGGCTGATTTTCATGACCTGGGATTTGGCAATGATTTCATAAACATAATGTAGAAAGCACAGGCAGCAAAAGAATAAGTAAGTTGGACTTCATTAAAAATTTAAAAATTTTTTTACATCAGAGGTCACTATCGGCTGGATGTGGTGGCTCACACCTGTAATCCCAGCACTTTGAGAGGCTGAGGCGGGTGGATCACTTGAGGTCAGGAGTTCGAGACCAGCCTGACCAACATGGTGAAACCCTGTCTCTACTAAAAATACAAAAATTAGCTGGGCATGGTGGCGCGCACCTGTAGTCCCAGCTACTTGAGAGGCTGTGGCAGGAGAATCACTTGAGCATGGGAGGTGGAGGTTGTAGTGAGCTGAGATCGTGCCACTGCACTAGAACCTGGGCGAGAGCGCAAGACTCCATCTCAAAACAAACAAACAAACAAAATGAAGCAATCCCCCCCCCAAAAAAAAGGTCACTATCAAGAGAATAAAAAGAAAGACAACTCAGAATGGGAGAAAATATTTGCAAATCATATGACTGATGAGGGTTTAATATCCAGAATGTGTAAAGAACTTTTACTGAGCAGCGAAAAGAAAACCCAATGAAGAAATGAACAAAGGCCTTCAAGAAATGAACAAAGGCCTTCAATAGCCATGACTTTACTTTTTTAAATTTAAATTTAAATTTTTTGAGACAAAGTCTTACTCTCTTGCTTGGGCTGGAGTGCAGTGGTGTGACTGTGGCTCACTGCAGCCTTGATCTCCCAGACTCAAGTGATTCTCCTACCTCAGTCTCTGGAGTAGCTAGGATGACAGACTCACACTACCACATGTGACTTTGTGTGTGTGTGTGTGTGTGTGTGTGTAGAGACAGGGTCTCACTATGTTGCTCAGGCTGGTCTTGACCTCCTGGGCTCAAGTGAGCCTCTCACTTTTATTTTTATTTGTAGTAGAGATGAGATCTTGCTAATGTTCCCCAAGCTGGTCTCGAACTCCTGAGCTCAAGCAATCCTACCTTCCTCGGCCTCCCAAAGGGCTGGGATTATAGGCGTGATTCACTGTGCCTGGCCTAGTTTCTTTGTTTTAATTTTTTTCCTCCCCATTTGTCTTTTGAGTTTCCCTGAGAATCTGTCTTGCTGCTGTCTCAGTTGTCATTCACTGTTATTACACTGGAACCCTATTGATGTAGTGGTAAGGAATTAGGGAGGGGAAGTGTTTTGTAATCTCATGATTAAATGTCATTTCTTTTTTTTTTAATTGGTCCTGAGTCCCTGAATTGTGACTCTCAGAAGTGTTTCTTAGCCCTTGCCCTCCCACTTAGATGAGACAGGAAGGCTATAAGCCTCGGGGGTTTTCTAATTGTCTTTCCTCTTGGTAGATAATGGTGTGAGCATATTTGAATATAGTTTCTTTCCTCTCCTCCTGCTCAAGGCACAAGGAAATTTTCCTCAAATATTTGCAGTGAAAACATACTAAAACCCTTGTAGGATTCCTGGAGGTAAAACCTAGGAAAGTGTAGGGGCCCCTCTAAGACTGGGATGTCAGGATTTTTAAACTCTCAAACTAATCCATATTTGGCCTCCAGAAGTTGTCAGTTTCTACTTGAGTGTTTCTGTTCTAGGAAAGCTGTGATATTCTGTATCTGTCTTTCTAGTTTTTTTTGGTGGTGGTTTGCCTTGTGACCTCAGTTTTTGGATTGATCTAAGATAAATTACTGATTTTCAGTTTTCTCAGCGTTTTTTCTTGTCAGGATAGAAGTGAGGACCTCCAAAATCCTTACATATTATAGCTGCCTGGTGAGTTTTGTTTGTTTCTTTTTTTAAAAATTTTTTTTTTTTTTTTTTTTTTTTGGGATGGAGTTTTGCGCTTCTTCCCCAGGCTGGAGTGCAGTGGCGCAATCTCGGCTCACTAAAACCTCTGCCTCCCAGGTTCAAGCAATTCTCCTGCCTCAGCCTCCCAAGTAGCTGAAATTACAGGTGCCCGCCACTATATCTGGCTAATTTTTTTTATATTTTTGATAGAGATGGGGTTTCGTCATGTTGGCCAGGCTGGTCTTGAAATCCTGACCTCAGGTGATCTACCCACCTCGGCCTCCCAAAGTGCTGGGATTACAAGTATGAGCCACCTTGCCTGGCCCGTTTTTTCTTACTTTTAGTAAAAATAACCTCACGTAAACTGTCATAGGTGTCTGTGGGCTTATTTTTGATGTTCTCCTTTGTTGGAAATTCTTGTGAAATACCTTCCAGGTCTTAGTCTTTGTGAGGATCAGGTTCTGCTTTCAATTGGATGTTTTAAGAATTAGTTTTAAAATAATTTGTTTTTCTTATTATTAGCACCCTATGTTTAGTTGCTGTACTTATTTGGATAGTGTGGTAAGCACAGTGGCTTAGGCATGAGAAATATAACTAGAGATCTCATAATTTTATGTGTTTATAAAGTGTTTTATTTAAAAATTAAATAATTGCAAATGAGTGGATAAAGAAACTGATATATATATATCTGATTATATATATATATATCTGATTATGTATATATATCTGATTATATATATATGATGGAATACTACCCGGCTATAAGAATGAATGAATTAATGGCATTTGCAGTAACCTGGATGGGATTGGAGACTATTATTCTAAGTGAAGTAACTCAGGAATGGAAAACCAAACATCGTTATGTTCTCGCTCATAAGTAGGAGCTAAGCTATAAGGATGCAAAGGCATAAGAATGACACAGTGGCTTTTGGGGACTCAGAGGGAAAGGGTAGGAAGGAGATGAGGGATAAAAGACTACAAATTGGGTTCATGTGTACTGCTTGGGAGATGGGTGCAACAAAATCTCAGAAATTACCACTAAAGAATTTACTCGTGTAACCAAATACCACGTATTCCCCAGAAGCCTGTGGAAATAAAAAATTAAAAAAATTGCAAATGTAAATAAGACAGTAACAAAGATGGCAAAGAACAAAGATGAAAAAGTATGCTGTATTACCTGAAAGTGCTTTTATGGATATCTTAGCTTATCCTTCGTCCATTTAAATATTGTTAGTTTTAGCCGGGAACATGCCTGTAATCCCAGCACCTTGG
Organism: Homo sapiens; assembly: GCF_000001405.40. NCBI lineage: Eukaryota > Metazoa > Chordata > Mammalia > Primates > Hominidae > Homo > Homo sapiens. The sequence goes on along the minus strand of NC_000023.11, from coordinate 77,738,820 downwards.
GAAGCTGAGGCGGGCAGACCACTTGAGACCAGGAGTTTGAGACCAGCCAGGCCAACATGGTGAAACCCGTCTCTACTGAAAATATAAAAATTAGCCGGGCGTTGGGGCGCATACCTGTAATCCCAGCTATTTAGGAGGCTGAGGCAGGACAATCACTTGAACCTGGGAGGCGGAGGTTGCAGTGAGACGAGATTGTGCCACTGAACTCCAGCATGGGTGACAGAGTAAGACCCTGTCTCCAAAAAAAAAAAAAAAAAAAAAAGACACAAAAGAGAAACAAAAAAAACATATTGTTAGTTTTGATGATTATCTACTAGGGTAAGTACTTTTCTACTCATTAAATTCCATTAGTGACTGTGCCTTGATTTCCCTGAAAGGATGCAGTATAGAGTAGGCTTTTGATTGGAGATAGACTTCCTGATTTTCCACTTAGTATTTAGGAGTGAAAATTATTATTATTATTATTTATTGTTTTTTTTTTTTTTGGAGACAGGGTGTCACTGTATCGCCTAGGCTGGAGTGCAGTGGCTTGATCCTGACTCACTGTAGCCTTGACTTCCTAGGGTCAAGCAATCTTCCCACCTCAGCCTCCTGAGTAGCTGGGACTACAGGCACGTGCCACCACAGCCGGCTAATTTAAAAAAATTCTGTAGAGATGGGATCTCACTATGTTGTTCAGGCTTGTCTCAAACTCTTGGGCTCAAATCATCTTCCCACCTCAGCCTCCCTAAGTGCTGGGATTATAGGTGTGAGCCACTGCACCCAGCCGGAAGTGCAAATTATTTAACTCCTTTATTTTATTCAGCAAATAAATGTCTTTCTGAGCCTCAGTTTCCTGTAATAAGGTTCTTATAAGTTTTAAATGAGGTCAGTGTGCATTAAATGTACATGTTAGAATTTGGTAAGGTTAGTAAGAAAACCAAAGACATGTGGACCCTTTACAAAAAATTCCAGCATTTACCCTAAGAGATGCTTTTTAAGTGGTTGAAATTTGGTGGCATGGAGGAAATGTATATGGGCTCGTATCACATTTGGGAGTAAAATTAAGGCATGAAATTTAAACAAAAAATAAAATTGTGGGTACATAGTAGGTGTATATATTTATGGGATTTATGAGATTCTGAGACAGGCATGAAATGTGTACTAATCACATCATGTAAAATGGGCTGTCCATCCCCTCAAGCATGTATCCTTTGAGTTGAAAAACAATCCAATTTTATTCTTTCAGGTATTAAAAAATGTACAATTAATTTAATACAGTAAATAATACATTAATTTGATCTCAAACTCCTGACCTCAAATGATTAATTAGATTAATTAATGTATTATCTATTATTTATTATATACACCCTGTTGTGCCATCAAATACTAGGCCCCCCCCCCCCTTTTTTTTTTTTGGAGACAGAGTCTTGCCCTGTCGCCTAAGCTGGAGTGCAATGGTGCGATCTTGGCTCACTGTAACCTCCGCCTCCTGGGTTCAAATGATTCTGCTGCCTCAGCCTCCCGAGTAGCTGGGATTACAGGCGCCCACCACCAAGCCCAGCTAATTTTTGTATTTTTAGTAGAGACGGGGTTTCACCATGTTGGCCAGGCTGCTATCGAACTCCTGACCGCGTGGTTCGCCCGCCGCGGCCTCCTAAAGTGCTGGGAGTACAGGTGTGAGCCACTGCGCCTGGCCAAATACTAGGTCTTATTCATGCTTTCCAACTGTTTTTTTTTTTGTACCCATTAAACGTCACCACATCTTGCCCCCCCTCGCACTTCTCTTTTCTTTCTACTCTGTGTCTCCATGAGTTTGTTTTGATTTTTAGATTCCACAAATAAGTGAGAATATGCAATGTTGGTCTTTCTGTGCCTGGCTTATTTCACTTAGCATAATAACCTCTAGTTCCATCCATGTTGTTGCAAATGACGGGATCTCATTCTTTTTTATGGCTGAATAGTAGTCCATTTTGTGTAACTACCACATTTTCTTTATCCATTCATCTCTTTTGATGGATACTTAGGTTGCATCCAAACCTGGCTATTGGGAACAGTGCTGTAATAAACATGGGAATGCAGGTATCCCTTTGATATGCTGATTTGCTTTATTTCTGGTGTATACCCAAGCAGCTGGATTGCTGGATCATATGGTAGCTCAATTTTTAGTTTTATAAGGAACCTCCAAACTGTTCTTCGTAGTGGTTGTCCTATTTCACGTTGTTGCCAACTGTGTATGAGGATTTTCTTTTCTTTACATCATTGCCAACATTTGTTATTGCCTGTCTTTTGGATATAAGCCATTTCAACTCAGGCAAGATGGTATCTCATGGTAGCTTTGATTTGCATTTCTCTGATGATCAGTGATGTAGAATGCTTTTTCATATGCCTATTTGCAATTTGTATGTCTTCTTTTGAGAAATGTGTATCCACATTTTTTGCCCATTTTTGATTGGATTATTAGATTTTTATTCTGTAGAGTTGTTTGAGCTACTTACATATTCTGGTTATTAATCGCTTGTTAGATGGATAGTTTGCAAATACTTTCTCCCATTCTTTGGGTTGTTTGTTCACTTTGTTGATTGTTTCTTTTGTTATGCAAAAGCTTTTTAACTTGATGTGATCCCATTTGTCAAGTTTTGTTTGGTTACCTGTGCTTGTGGGGTATTGTTCAAGAAAATTTTGCCCAGACTAATGGCCTAGAGAGTTTCCCCAATGTTTTCTTGTAGAGGATTCATAAATTGAAGTTTTAGATAAAATTCTTTAATCCATTTTGATTTTATTTATGTATAGAGCAAGAGATAGGAGTCTAGTTTCTTTTTCTTTTTTTTTTTTTGAGGTGGAGTTTCGGCTCTTGTTGCCCATACTGGAGTGCAATGGCACGGTCTCAGCTCACTGCAACCTCCGTCTCCCAGGTTCAAGCGATTCTCCTGCCTCAGCCTCCCGAGTAGCTGGGATTACAAGAGCCCACCACCATGCCCGTCTGATTTTTGTATTTATTTATTTTTATTTATTTATTTATTTATTTATTTAGTTTTTTGAGACGGAGTCTTGCTCTGTCACCCAGGCTGGAGTGCAGTGGCACGATCTCGGCTCACTGCAAGCTCCGCCTCCCGGGTTCACGCCATTCTCCAGCCTCAGCCTCCCGAGTAGCTGGGATTACAAGAGCCCACCACCATGCCCGTCTGATTTTTGTATTTATTTTTATTTATTTATTTATTTATTTATTTATTTATTTATTTAGTTTTTTGAGACGGAGTCTTGCTCTGTCACCCAGGCTGGAGTGCAGTGGCACGATCTCGGCTCACTGCAAGCTCCGCCTCCCGGGTTCACGCCATTCTCCAGCCTCAGCCTCCCGAGTAGCTGGGACTACAGGCGTCCGTCACTGTGCCGGCTAATTTTTTGTATTTTTATTAGAGACGGGGTTTCACCGTAGCCAGAATGGTCTCGATCTCCTGACCTCGTGATCCGCCTGCCTTGGCCTCCCAAAGTGCTGGGATTACAGGCGTGAGTCATTGCGCCAGGCTAATTTTTGTATTTTTAATAGAGACCGGATTTCACCATGTTGGCCAGGCTGGCCTTGAACTCCTGACCTCAGGTGGTCTGGCCGTCTCGGCCTCCCAAACTGCTGAGATTACAGGTATGAGCCACTGCACCCGGCCTGGAGTCTAGTTTCATTCTTCTGTATATGGATATCCAGTTTTCCCGGCACCATTTATTTATTTATTTTTATTTATTTTATTTTTTTTTGAGACAGAGTCTCATTCCATCACCCAGGCTGGAGTGCAGTGGTGTGATGTGGGCTCACTGCAACCTCTGCCTCCCGGATTCAAGCAGTTCTCCTGCCTCAGCCTCCCGAGTAGCTGGGATTACAAGCTAATTTTTATATTTTGAGTAGAGATGGGGTTTCACCATGTTGGCCAGGCTGATCTCGAACTCTTGACCTCAAATGATCCACCTGCCTCGGCCCCCCAAATTACTGGGATTACAGGCGTGAGCCACCGTGCCGGGCCAGCACCATTTATTTTTATTTTATTTTACTTATTTTTTTGAGAGTGAGTCTCCCTATGTTGCCCAGGCTGGAGTGCAGTGGTGCTATCTCATCTCACTGCATGCAGCCTCTGCCTCCTGCGTTCAAGCGATTCTCCTGCCTCAGCCTCCCAAGTAGCTGGGATTACAGGCACCCACCATGATGCCCAGCTAATTTTTGTATTTTTAGTAGAGACGGGGTTTCACCATGTTGGCCAGGCTGGTCTCAAACTCCTGACCTCAGGTGATCCTTCCGCCTTGGCCTCCCAAAGTGCTGGGATTACAGGCATGAGCCACCATGCCCAGCCTGGAGTCTAGTTTCATTCTTCCGTATATGGATATCCAGTTTTCCCGGCACCGTTTACTTATTTATATTTATTTATTTTATTTTTTTTGAGACAGAGTCTCATTTCATCACCCAGGCTGGCGTGCAGTGGTGTGATCTAGGCTCACTGCAACCTCTTCCTCCTGGGTTCAAGCAATTCTCCTGCCTCAGCCTCCTGAGTAGCTGGGATGACAGGTGTGTACTACCACCATGCCCAACTAATTTTTGTATGTATGTATGTATGTATGTATGTATGTATGTATGTATGTATGTATGTATTTGAGACAGAATCTTGCTCTTTTGTCGAGGCTGGAGTGCACTGGCACGATCTCGGCTCACTGCAACCTCCGCCTCCCAGGTTCAAGCGATTCTCCTGCCTCAGCCTCCTGAGGAGCTGGGATTACAGGTGCATGCCACCACGCCTGGCTAATTTTTTTTTCGTATTTTTAGTAGAGATGGAGTTTCACCATGTTGCCCAGGCTGGTCTCGAACTCCTGACCTTGTGATCTGCTCACCTCAGCTTCCCAAAGTGTTGGGATTACAGGTGTGAGCCAGCGTGCCTGGCCCCAGCACCTTTTATTTTATTTATTTTATTTATTTTTCTGAGAGTGAGTCTCACTGTGTTGCCCAGGCTGGAGTGCAGTGGTGCTATCTCCCCTCACTGCAACCTCTGCCTCCTGGGTTCAAGTGATTCTTCTGCCTCAGCCTTCCAAGTAGCTGGGATTACAGGTGCCTGCCACCATGGCTGGCTAATTTTTTTTTTTTTTTTTTTTTTTTTTTTAGCATAGATGGGGTTTCACCCTGTTGGCCAGGCTGGTCTCAAACTCCTGACCTCAAGTGATCCGTCTGCTTTAGCCTTCCAAAGTTCTGGGATTACAGATGTGAGCCACTGTGCCTGGCCCCAGCATCATGTATTGAGCCTTTTTCTTTTCCCCAGCATATGTTCTCGGCACCTTTCTAGAAATAGAAAATGAGTTCACCGTAGATGTGTGGATTTGTTTCTGAGTTCTGTATTCTGTCCATTGGTTTATGTGTCTGCTTTTATGCCAGAATCATGCTGTTTTGGTTACTATAACTCTGTGGTATAATTTGAAGTCTGATAATGTGATTCTTCCAGTTTTGTTCTTTCTGCTTAGTATAGTTTTGGGAATTCTGGAACTTTTGTAGTTCCGTGTAAGTTTTAGGATTGTTTTTTCTATTTCTGTGAAGAGTGTCATTGGTATTTTGATAGGGATTGCATTGAATCTATAGATTGCTTTGGATAGTATGGACAGTTTAACAATATTGATTCTTCCAGTCCATGAACATGAAATATCTTTACATTTTTTGGTGTCCTCTTCAATTTCATTCAGTTTGCTTTTCAGATTGGTCACTGTCGATGTTTAGAAATGCTGCTGATTTTTGTATATTGATTTTTTATACTGACAGTTTACTGAATTTGTTTATCCGTTCTAATAGTTTTTTTGTAGAGTCTGTAGGTTTTTCTAAATATAAGATCATATCATCTGCAAATAAGGGTAATTTGACTTCTTCCTTTCCCTTATTTCTTTCTCTTGTCTGGTTGCTGTAGCTAGGACTTCCAGTAGTACCATGTTGAGTAACTGCTGGAAGTGGGCATTCTTGTCGTGATCTGGATCTTAGAGGAAAGGCGTTCAGTTTTTCCCCTCAGTTTGATACCAGTTGTGGGTGTGTTGTATATGGCTTTTATTATGTTGAGGTATGTTCCTCCTAAACCCATTTTTTTGAGGGTTTTTATCATGAAGGAATGTTGAATATTATCAAATAGTTTTTAAGCATCAATTGATATAATATGGTTTTTGTTCTTCATTCTGTTGATATGATGTATCACATTGATTTGCATATATTGATCCCCTCTTGCATCCAAGGGATAAACTCCACCTGGTTACGATGAATGATCTTTTTAATGTGTCTGATTTGCTAGTATTTTGTTGAGGATGTTTGCAGCAATATTTATCAGAGATATTGGCCTGTCATTTTCTTTTTTTGATGTGTTTTTGTCAGGTTTTGGTAACAGGGTAATACTGGCCTCACAGAATGTGTTTGGAAGTATTGCTTCCTTTTATTTTTTGGAATAGTTTGAGTAGGAATAGTATTGATGCAGGAATTTTCTCGGCCCCTTTGTTGGACTTGTGACAGGGGCGAATGTTTACTCAGCCTGCCGTGCTCAACCCCTTGTTGGAGGGTGCATGTGAGTGAGTGAGTGCGGGACCTGGCCAGCTGGTGGGGGCACTGACACAGCAGCAAGCCCTGTGCAGGGACCACGGCCAGACCAGGCACAAGCGAGTGAGTGTGGGACCCAGCTGTTCTGAGCACCAGCAGGAGCAGGCCTGTGCACAGCACCCAGGTTGATGGGGAGGGGGGTGGTGTCTGTGACCCCGAGGCCCCTGAGGGGGTGTTAACAGTGCTCCTTTAGTTCTGCTGTCTGCTGATGGCTGTGTGTTAACAAGTTGGCCTCTTGCCTTGTCATGTGGGGTGGCTGCCCTCCACTGGTGAGGGCAAAGGGCTGGTGTGACAGTCTTTTTTGGGTACCTGCACTCAGTGGGTCCTGAGCTCTTGTCTGGCATCCAAGAAGAATGAGGTTGAGTGGACACTTGAAGGATGGTGAAGGTGAAGAATTTTATTGAGCAGTGGGAATGGCTCAGTGGAGAGGGGAGCTGGAGAGGGGATGGGAAGGGCTGATCTCCCTGAAGTCCGGCCGTTTCTTCCCTAAGTCATGCTGTCTCCTTTCCCAAAGTTTGGCCATCTTCTCTCCGAAATTAAGCTGTTTCTCTCCTCTCTACCAACTGAATCTGGGGTCTTTATAAGCATAGGATCCTCTTTATAAGCACAGGATGGGGGCGGGGCAGGCTGTAGAAGTTTTGGAAAAGGCAACATTCTATTGGTAAAGAGACATTATTCAAACAGAACCAATCGGGAGAGAGCGGACAAACAGGAATAGAAGTTTTCACTTTGGGCTGTGGGTTTCAGGCTTTTTGGCTTGAACGTGGGGTTTCACCAGGGACTGCCCTTGTCTTCCTAGAATTTCTCTGCCTCCTGCCTCTATCAGTATTAGATCTTCTTTAAATGTTTGGTAGAATTCAGCAGTGAAGCCATCAGGTCCCAGGCTTTTATTTACTGGGAGAATTTTTATTATGGTGTCAATCTCGTTATTTGTTATAGCTGTGTTCAGGTTGCAGATTTGTTCATGGTTCAATCTTGGTAGATTGTGTCTAGGAATTTGTCCATTTCTTCTAGGTTTTCCAGTTCATTAGCATATAGTTTTTCATAGTAGCCATGAATGAACCTTTTTATTTCTGCAGTATTGGTTATCATTGTAATGTCTCCATTCTCATCTCTGGTTTATATATTTGGATCTTCTTTTTTTTTTCTTTTTTTTTTTTTACTCTGGCCAAAGGTTTTTAAATTTTCTTTTAACTTTTACAAAAACCAACATTTTGTTTTATTGATATTTTGTATTATTTTCTTTATTTCAGTTTCGTTTGCTTCACTCTGATCTTTATTATTTCTTCTAATTTTGGGGTTGGTTTACTCTTGCTTTTCTTATTCTTTAAGATGTGTTGTTAGGTTGTTTATTTGAAGTATTTCTTCTTTTTTCATGTAGGCACTCACAGCTATAAACTTCCCTTTTAGTAATGCTTTTGCTGTATCCCATAGGTTTTGGTATGTTGTGTTTCAGTATCATTTGTTTCAATGAATTTTCCAATTTTCTTCTTAATTTTTGCATTGACTTACTGATCATTCAAGAACATATTGTTTAATTTACATGTATTTGTATACTTTTCAAAATTTCTCATTATTGATTTCTAGTTTTATTCCGTTATCAGAGGAGATGCTTGATATTATTTCAATATTTTTAATGTCTTAAGACTTGTTTTGTTACTTAACATATGTTCTATCCTTGAGAATAATCCATGGGCTGAGGAGAAGAATGTGTATTCTGCAGCCCTTGGATGAATTTTTCTGTAAATATCTATTAGGTCCATTTGGCCTCTAATGCACATTAAGTCTGATGCTTCATTGTTGGTTTTCTTTGGAAGGTCTGTCCAATGCTGAAAGTGGGATATTGAAGTCTCCAAGTTTTATCATATTGGGGCCTGTCTCTCCCTTTTGCTCTAATAATACTTGCTTTATATATGTGAGTGCTCCAGTGTTGGGTGCATTTATGTTTAAAATGGTTACATCCTCTTGCTGAATTGACTGCTTTATCATTATATAGTGACCCTCTTTGGCTTTTCCTATAGTTTTTGTCTTGAAATCTATTTTGTCTTATATTAGTATAGCCACTTCTGCACTTTTTTGGTTTCCATTGGCTTTGGAAAAGATTTCTCGTAATTCTGTTTGATAAGGACACATGTTAGGAGGTTTTCAACACTTCAGTGAGTAGTAAACTTGTAAGTAAAGCAGGTATGAACAGAATCTCTTGAATTAGTGAAAAGTCAAAATCGTTAATTACTGTTTAATTTAAAACTGAAATTATAGGTATTAACAAATAACTATATGCCTTATACTGTACTTTATTTATTTATTTTTCCGAGACGGTCTTGCTCTGTTGCCCAGGCTGGAGTGCGGTGACGTGATCTTGGCTCACTGCAGCCTCTGCCTCCCGGGTTCAAGCAATTTTCATGCCTCAGCCTACCGAGTAGCTGGGACTACAGGCATGCACTGGCACACCCAGCTAAGTTTTTTGTATTTTTAGTAGAGATGGGATTTCACCATGTTGCCCAGGCTGGTCTCCAATTCCTGACCTCAAGTGATCCACCCACCTTGGCCTCCCAAAGTGCTGGGATTACAGGCATGAGCCATCATGCCCGGCCATATAATGTACTTTAAACATGATGATTTTGAAACTGGAAACACACGCACATGTGAGTAATTTCTTAAATGGAATTGAATTACCTTGAAGAATCTTAGAAAAATGATGTTTTTAATTTTAAATTAGTTTTGCGTCATACATGTCTTTATTTCTCAAATTTTAAAGAAAAGTCTATGAATTAAAGAAAATAAAACTTTTCCTGCATGAAAGCAATGAGTGTATTATGTACCAAAAAGGTAGAAGAAAAATATCTTCTGTAATATTAGCTAGATATTACTTACTAAAGATATTTTTGGGGTATATTTATTAGCAATATTTTAATGCAATTTTAAACATAATTGTCATCATACTTCATAGACAGTTTATAGCCTGCTATTTTTGGTTAGCATTGTAGTATGAGCTATTTTCCATATTATTTGAACTTTTAAAATTTAATGGTTGGTATGATATTGTATGACTTGTATGCATCCTTGTTTACCTAGTCTTTATTATACACTTTAATTGATTACAGTTTTTTTTTTTTTTTTTTGCTTTTGTGAGCATCTGGCAGATAACTTTCTTGAGTAAAGTTATTATGTAGAAATATTTTCTTTGGGCCAGGTGCGGTGGCTCATGCCTATAATCCCAGCACTTTGGGAGGCTGAGGCAGGTGGAACATGAAGTCAGGAGTTCAAGACCAGCCTGGCCAATATGGTGAAACCCCGTCTATACTAAAAATACAAAAATCAGCTGGGCATGGTGGTGCATGCCTGTAGTCCCAGGTACTCAGGAGGTTGAGGCAGGAGAATTGCTTGAACCCGGGAGGTGGAGAGGTTGCAGTGAGCCGAGATCGAACCACTGCACTCCAGCCTGGGCGACAGAGCAAGACTCCAACTCAAAAAAAAAAAAAGAAAAGAAAAGAAAAGAAATACTTTCTTACTTTCTTTGTATAGATAAAGGGAGATAGAATTACTAGATCAAAGTCTCTTGATGGTTTTTGCCAATTTGTTTTGTAAATGTATGTATCACCACAGGCTATCTATGAGAGTGTCTATTTCATGGAAACTTAGCCTACAATGAATAGTCATTTTACCCCTAAATATTTGATAAGTTAAAAAATGCTATCACATTTAACATTTCATAGGCTTTAAGAAGTTGCAGTTTTATATTCATTTCTTCATGCATTTTGTGTACTATTTCAAAAGTTTCTATAGGGGAATGAGAGCAAAGTAATGTGTTTTTCATTATTTATTTTGCTAACCAAACATATTTAATTACTAACCAAAAGGATGATCCTAATTAAGCCAACACTTGGAATTATTTTCATGTAAAATGTCTGTGATAGAGATAATTGAATTTAATAATGAAAAAAGTATTACAGAAATTTGCTCATTAAACTGAGCTTGTTTTCAGCTAATCCTTCTGCGAAGTGATAATGACTTTTTTTTTTTTTTTTTAAATAAAGATGGGGGCTCGCTATGTTGACCAGGCTGGTCTTGAACTCCTGGCCTCAAGTGATCCTCCCATCTCCGCCTCTCAAATTGCTAGGAATACAGGCATGAGCCACCACACTTGGTTTAATAGTGGAATTTTTATTACACTTTTTTATGGATTCGAGGAGAGGTGGCATTGTACATAACACATTCTACCGCTAATTTTCCATCTTTCACTTTTCTCATTGTGCTTTCCTTCCCATTCCGTTCCTGGTGTTGAACCAATGCATCATTTGTAAATTTGTAGACAGTCTGAGTTTTTCTGCCATAATCTGTTGTTTCTTCAGACTTCTTCTCTGGTTTATAAGAAAACTGTTGTTTTAAAACTCTCAGTTTTGTATTTTTTATTTCTTATTATACTTTAAGTTCTGGGATATGTGAGCAGAACGTGCAAGTTTTTTACATAAGTATACATGTGCCATGGTGGTTTGCTGCACCCATCAACCTATCATCTCCATTGGGTATTTCTTCTAATGCTATCCCTCCCCTTGCCCCCAACCCCCCAACAGGCCCCAGTGTGATGTTCCCCTCCTTGTGCCCATATGTTCTCATTGTTCAACTCCCACTTATGAGTGAGAACATGCAGTGTTTGGTTTTCTGTTCCTGTGTTAGTTTGCTGAGAGTGATGGTTTCCAGCTTCATCCATGTCCCTGCAAAATATATGAACTGATCCTTTTTTTATGGCTGCATAGTATTCCGTGGTGTATAGGTGCCACATTTTCTTTATCCAGTGTACCATTGATAGGTATTTGGGTTGGTTCCAAGTCTTTGCTACTGTGAATAGTGCTGCAGTAAACATATGTGTGCATGTGTCTTTACAGTAGAATGATTTATAATCCTTTGGGTATATACCCAGTAATGGGATTGCTGGGTCAAATGGTATTTCTAATTCTAGATCATTGTGGAATCGTCACACTGTCTTCCACAATGGTTGAACGAATTTATCCTCCCACCAACAGTGTAAAAGTGTTCCTATTTCTCCACATCCTCTCCAGCATCTGTTGTTTCCTGACTTCTTAATGATCGGCATTCTAATTGGCATGAGATGGTATCTCATTGTGGTTTTGATTTGCATTTCTCTAATGACCAGTGATGCTGAGCTGTTTTTCATGTTTGTTGGCCATGTAAATGTCTTCTTTGGAGAAGTGTCTATTCATATCCTATGCCCACTTTTTGATAGGGTTATTTGTTTTTTTCTTATAAATTTAAGTTCTTTGTAGATTCTGGATATTAGCCCTTTGTCAGATGGATAAAAAAACACTATTTTTTTAAAAAATTTTCCAATTCCTCATCGGTAAAAAAGCAGTAAAACATTCATGGTAATGATCATGGCCTATAGTTTTTTTTTTTTTTAAGTGACATTAGGATTTAAAACTGGTATGAAACCTAATCATTTATTTTAGTTAGCTAATATCAGGATTTAGATTTATTTTTTTGACCCAATTGCAGATAGGCAGATCAGATCTCATAGACTGCCATCTGCCTCAAGCTCCTTTTGTAGTTATGTGAATGTGAGCCTGAAGGCTGAACCCACTTTTCTCTAATGGAGATTTTTTTTTATTACACTTTAAGTTCTAGGGTACATGTGCACAACGTGCAGGTTTGTTACATATGCATACATGTGCCATGTTGGTGTGCTGCACCCATTAACTCGTCATTTACATTAGGTATATCTACTAATGCTATCCCTCCCCCCTCCCCCCACCCCATGACAGGCCCCGGTGTGTGATGTTCCCCTTCCTGTGTCCAAGTGTTTTCATTGTTGAATTCCCACCTATGAGTGAGAACATGCGGTGTTTGGTTTTTTGTCCTTGCGATAGTTTGCTGAGAATGATGGTTTCCAGCTTCATCCATGTCCCTATATAGGACATGAACTCATCCTTTTTTATGGCTGCATAGTATTCCATGGTGTGTATGTGCCACATTTTCTTAATCCAGTCTGTCATTGATGGACATTTGGGTTGGTTCCAGGTCTTTGCTATTGTGAATAGTGCTGCAATAAACATACATGTGTGTGAGTCTTTATAGCAGCATGATTGATAATCCTTTGGGTATATACCCAGTAATGGGGTGGCTGGGTCAAATGGTATTTCTAGTTCTAGATCCTTGAGGAGTCACCACACTGTCTTCCACAATGGTTGAACTAGTTTACAGTCCCACCAACAATGTAAAAGTGTTCCTATTTCTCCACATCCTCTCCAGCATGTGTTGTTTCCTGACTTTTTAATGATCGCCATTCTAACTGGCATGAGATGGTATCTCATTGTGGTTTTGATTTGCATTTGTCTGATGACCAGTGATGATGAGCATTTTTACATGTGTCTTTGGCTGCATAAATGTCTTCTTTTGAGAAGTGTCTGTTCATATCCTTTGCCTACTTTTTGATGGGGTTGTTTGATTTTTTTCTTGTAAATTTGTTTAAGTTCTTTGTAGATTCTGGATATTAGCCCTTTGTCAGATGAGTAGATTGCAAAAATTTTCTCCCATTCTGTAGTTTGCCTGTTCACTCTGATGGTAGTTTCTTTTGCTGTGCAGAAGCTCTTGAGTTTAATTAGATCCCATTTGTCAATTTTGGCTTTTGTTGCCATTGCTTTTGGTGTTTTAGACATGAAGTCCTTGCCCATGCCTATGTCCTGAATGGTATTGCCTAGGTTTTCTTCTAGGGTTTTTATGGTTTTAGGTCTGACGCTTAAGTCTTTAATCCATCTTGAATTAATTTTTGTGTAAGGTGTAAGGAAGGGATCCAGTTTCAGCTTTCTCCATATGGCTAGCCAGTTTTCCCAGCACCATTTGTTAAATAGGGAATTCTTTCCCCATTTTTTGTTTTTGTCAGGTTTGTCAAAGATCAGGTGGTTGTAGATGTGTGGTATTATTTCTGAGGGCTCTGTTTTGTTCCATTGTTCTATATCTCTGTTTTGGTACCAGTACCATGCTGTTTTGGTTACTGTAGCCTTGTAGTATAGTTTGAAGTCAGGTAGCGTGATGCCTCCAGCTTTGTTCTTTTTGCTTAGGATTGTTGTGGCAATGCGGTTTAACCACTCTGAAAAGATGTATTTAAGGACTTTTATCTAGACTCTATGGTGAGGTATAACATAGTGCTGGTTGAGTCAGCTTCAAGTTTTTGTAGAGGGAGGAAGAGAGTAACAACCATGTCTGGATTTAATAAAAAGTTTAGCATAAGTAAATGTGTGCTCTTTTGCCTTAAGAAAATATTTTTCAATATATAAAAAGGATTAATGAGTGCTGCCTTTCAGATACTTGGTTTGGTGTGTTTGAAACATCATTTCCAAAGATAGGACATACACATTTCCAGGGATCATCTCTATGATATGACTCTAGAAATGATGTAGATTTTTAAAATCAATGTCAGAACTTATAGACACAAATGTATGCTTTCCTTCTAAGTAGTCACTTTGGGAGCCCATATACATAACAGTGGTGTCATTCCTGATGATATGTTGGGAACTCTCATTTTGTAACCAGTTTAGAAGTCATGCAAGTAAATAAATCTTCAGGATTACTTCAGATTTGGGCAAAAAATTAGTTTTACCCAACTTGATCATTTTGCATTTTTCACCATATTTGACTCTAAGTGAAAACTGGCTATTTCCAAAAATCATACCCATCCTGAGGATGTGAAGATATTTTTGGGCTGGGCACGGTAGCTCACTCCTGTAATCCCAGCAGTTTGGGAGGCTGAGGCAGTAGGGTTGTTTGAGGCCAGAATTTGAAGACCAGCTTGGTCAACATAGTGAGACTCCCTCTCTCCAAAGGAAAAAAAAAAGTGAAGTTTTTTTTTTCTTTTTCAAATGAGTAGGCAGCATTGTTTAGTTATCTGTTTTTTTTTCTTTTTTTTCCACTGTTGGACTTCTGTCCATTCTCTTTATTTGTTTATTTATTTATTTGAGATGGAGTTTTGCTCTGTTGTCTAGGCCGGAGTGCAGTGGCGCGATCTTGGCTCACTGCAGTCTCTCCCTCCCGGCTCAAGTGATTCTCCTGCCTCAGCCTCCCAAGTAGCTGGGATTACAGGCATGCACCACCAGGCCCGGCTAATTTTGTGTTTCTAGGGGAGACGGGGTTTCACCATGTTGGCCAGGCTGGTCTGGAACTCCTGACCTCAAGTGATCTGCCTGTCTAGCTCCCAAAGTGCCGGGGTTACAGGTGTGAGCTACCGTGCCTGGCCTGCTGATCATACTCTCTTGATTTTATTTTTGTACTGTGGTACTGCGGTTGATGGACTGCACTGATGTTATCCATATTTTTAACCTTGGTCACCCACAGTGTGAACTCATTAAATAGCTGACTTTGCAATTTGATTGCTATGATTTGGGAATGAGTGTGGCAGTCATAATTGTGCAGGTTTGCTATCGTTTCATTTCTAGAGAACTTTTCTATGGTGATCTATTGATGAGATAAGATATAGTATGACATTATTTATTCCTCTTTTTGACTTTTGGTTCTCAGGAATTTTGGGTGCTGTGAGTTGACATGTAGCATCATTTCCTCAGGTCTCATTTTCTATCTGAGCACGATTAAGGACACAGTGACCTGATGATAAATTTTTTTGTACATCTGACTCTTATCTGAAAGAATGGTTATTGGCCAAATATGGAAACCATACCCACTTGGTACCTTTATTCTAGAGGCAAAGTTTGTTTCAAAATTTTGTAAAACAACCCTCTCCACCAAAAGAAAACAAATACCCACACAAGATCTCTAGTTACGGTGTCTGTTATATCTCATTTCTTTTCCTTCCCTAAATATACTGAGCTATTCTTAACTAAATACAGGAAAATTGTGCAGAGGAACACTTACTAAGTGTTCAGTAAATGTTTTCATTTTTCTTATGTGTATATCTAGAAGTAGAATTGTTGGGTCATTGAGTAACTGTTTCTGCGTAAATATCTATACACGTGCCATGGTGGTTTGCTGCACCCATCAACCCGTCATCTACATTACGTATTTCTCCTAATGCTATCCCTCCCCCAACCCCTAACAGGCCCCAGTGTGTGATGTTCCCCTCCCTGTGTCCATGTGTTCTCATTGTTCAACTCCCACTTATGAGTGAGAACATGCAGTATTTGGTTTTCTGTTCTTGTGTTAGTTTGCTGAGAATGATGGTTTCCAGCTCCATCCATGTCCCTGCAAAGGACATAAACGCATCCTTTTTTATGGCTGCATAGTATTCCATGGGGTATATGTGCCACATTTTCTTTATCCAGTCTATCACTGATGGGCATTTGGGTTAGTTCCAAGTCTTTGCTATTGTGAATAGTGCTGCAGTAAACATGTGTGCATGTGTCTTTATAGTAGAATGATTTATAATCCTTTGGGTATATACCCAGTAATGGGATGGCTGGGTCAAATGGTATTTCTAGTTCTAGATCCTTGAGGAATCGCCACACTGTCTGCCACGATGGTTGAACTAATTTACCCTCCCATCAACAGTGTAAAATTGTTCCTATTTCTCCACATCCTCTCCAGCATGTGTTGTTCCCTGACTTTTTAATGTTCGCCATTCTAACCGGCGTGAGGTGGTATCTCATTGTGGTTTTTATTTGCATTTCTCTAATGACCAGTGATGATGAGTTTTTTTTCATATGTTTGTTGGCCACATAAATGTCTTCTTTTGAGAAATGTCTGTTCATATCCTTTGCCCACTTTTTGTTAGGGTTGTTTGCTTTTTTCTTGTAAATTTGTTTAAGTTCTTTGTAGATTCTGGATATTAGCCCTTTGTCAGATGGATAGATCACAAAAAAGTTCTCCCATTCTGTAGGTTGCCTGTTCACTCTGATGAGATATATATATATATTTTTTTTTTGCTGTGCAGAAGGTCTTTAGTTTAGTTAGATCCCATTTGTCAATTTTGGCTTTTGTTGTCATTGCTTTTGGTGTTTTAGTCATGAAGTCTTTGCCCATGCCTATGTCCTGAATGGTGGTTTGCCTAGGTTTTCTTCTAGGGTTTTTATGGTTTTAGGTCTTATGTTTAAGTCTTTAATCCATCTTGAGTTAATTTTTATATAATGTGTAAGGAAGGAGTCCAGCTTCAGTTTTCTGCATATGGCTAGCCAGTTTTCCAAACACCATTTATTAAATAGGGAGTCCTTTCTCCATTGCTTGTTTTTGTCAGGTTTGTCAAAGATCAGATGGTTGTAGATATGTGGTGTTATTTCTGAGGCCTCGGTTCTGTTCCATTGTTCTATATCTCTGTTTTGGTACCAGTACCATGCTGTTTTGGTTACTGTAGCCTTGTAGTATAGTTTGAAGTCAGGTAGCATGATGCCTCCAGCTTTGTTCTGTTTGCTTAGGATTGTCGTGGCCCTGTGGGGTATTTTTTGGTTCCATATGAAATTTAAAGTAGCTTTTTTTTCCAATTCTGTGAAGAAAGTCAGTGGTAGCTTGATGGGGATAGCATTGAATGTATACATTACTTTGGGCAGTATGGCCATTTTCATGATATTGATTCTTCCTATCCATGAGCATGGAATGTTTTTCCATTTATTTGAGTCCTCTCTTATTTCCTTGAGCAGTGGTTTGTAGTTCTCCTTGAAGAGGTCCTTCACATCCCTTGTAAGTTGTATTCCTAGGTATTTTATTGTCTTTGTAGCAGTTGTTAATAGGAATTCACTCATGATTTGGCTCTCTATCTGTTATTGTTGTATAAGAATGCTTGTGATTTTTGCACATTGATTTTGTATCCTGAGACTTCGCTGAAGTTGCTTGTCAGCTTAAGGAGATTTTGGGCTGAGATGGTGGGGTTTTCTAAATATGCAATCATTTCATCTGCAGACAGAGAATTTGACTTCCTCTTTTCCGGATTGAATACCCTTTATTTCTTTCTGTTGCCTAAATGCCCTGGCCAGAACTTACAATACTGTGTTGAATAGGAGTGGTGAGAGTGGGCATCCTTGTCTTGTACCGGGTTTCAAAGGGAATGCTTCCAGTTTTTGCCCATTCAGTATGATGTTGGCTGTGGTTTTGTCATAAATAGCTCTTATTATTTTGAGATACGTTTCATCGGTACCCAGTTTATTGAGAGTTTTTAGCGTGAAGGAGTGTTGAATTTTATTGAAGTCCTTTTCTGCATCTATTGAGATAATCATGTGGTTTTTGTCATTGGTTCTGTTTATGTGATGGATTATGTTTATTGATTTGCGTATGTTGAACCAGCTGTGTATCACAGGGATGAAGCCGACTTGATCGTGGTGGATAAGCTTTTTGATGTGCTGCTGGATTCGGCTTGCCAGTATTTTATTGAGGATTTTTGCATCGATGTTCATCAGGGATATTGGCCTGAAATTTTCTTTATTTGTTGTGTCTCTGCCAGGTTTTGGTATCAGGATGATGCTGGCCTCATAAAATGAGTTAGGGAGGATTCCCTCGTTTTCTATTTTTTGGAATAGTTTCAGAAGGAATGGTACCAGCTCCTCTTTGTACCTCTGGTAGAATTCAGCTTTGAATCTGTCTGGTCCTGGACTTATTTTGATCGGTAGGCTATTAGTTACTGCCTCAACTTCAGAACTTTTTATTGGTTTATTCAGGGATTCGACTTCTTCCTTGTTTAGTCTTCGGAGGGTGTATGTGTCCAGGCATTTATCCATTTCCTCTAGATTTTCTAGTTTGTTTGCATAGAGGTGCTTATAGTATTCTCTGATGGTAGTTTGTATTTTTGTGGGATCAGTGGTGATATCCCCTTTATCATTTTTTATTGCATCTATTTGATTCTTCTCTCTTTTGTTCTTTATTAGTCCGGATAGTGGTCTGTTTTGTTGATCTTCTCAAAAAAACACCTCCTGAATTCACTGATAGTTTGAAGGGTTTTTCCTGTCTCTATCTCTTTGAGTTCTTCTCTGATCTTAGTTATTTCTTGTCTTCTCCTAGCTTTTGAAGTTGTTTGCTCTTCCTTCTCTAGTTGTTTTAATTATGATGTTAGGGTGTTGACTTTAGATATTTCCTGCTTTCTCTTGTGGGCATTTAGTGCTATAAATTTCCCTGTACACACTGCTTTAAATTTGTCCCAGAAATTCTGGTATGTTGTCTCTTTGTTCTCATTGGTTTCAAAGAACTTCTTTATTTCTGCCTTAATTTCTTTGTTTACCTAGTAGTCATTCAGGGGCAGGTTGTTCAGTTTCCATGTAGTTGTGCGGTTTTGAATGAGTTTCTTAATCCTGAGTTCTAATTTGATTGCATTATAGTCTGAGAGACTGTTATGATTTCCGTTCTTTTTCATTTGCTTAGGAGTGTTTTACTTCTAATTATATGGTCAGTTTTAGAATAAGCACGATGAGGTGCTGAGAAGAATGTATATTCTGTTGCTTTGGGGTCAAGAGTTCTGTAGATGTCTGTTAGGTCTGCTTGGTCCAGAGCTGAGTTCAAGTGTTGTATATCCTTGTTAATTTTCCGTCTTGTCGGTCTGTCTAATATTGACAGTGGGTTATTAAAATCTCCCACTATTATTGTGTGAGAGTCTAAGTCTCTTTGTAGGTCTCTAAGAACTTGCTTTATGTTCTGGGTGCTCCCGTATTGGGTACATATATATTTAGGATAGTTAGCTCTTCTCGTTGCTTTGATCCCTTTACCATTATGTAACACCCTTCTTTGTCTGTTTTGATCTTTGTTGGTTTAAAGTCTGTTTTATCAGAGACTAGGATTGCAGCCCCTGGTTTTTTTTGCTTTCCATTTGCTTGGTAAATGTTTCTCCATCCCTTTATTTTGAACCTATGTATGTCTTTAATTTGTTTTTAAAATTATTATATCCATCCTACTTAGTATAAATTGGTTTCTTGTTGTGGTTTTGATTTGCATTTCCCTGATATGACTAATGATCTTGAGCATTTTTTCATGTGCTTATTGGCCATTGGTATATATTCTTTTGAGAAGTGTATATCTAAGTCTTTTCCCCATTTAAAAAATAGGGTTGTCTTTTTGTTGTTTAATTGTAAGAAGTCTTTATGTATTCTGGTTACCAGACCCTCATGAGATACAGGATTTGAAAATCGTTTTCTCTCATTGTGTTTGCTGTGTTTTCACTTTCTTGATGGTGCCCTTTGACATGCAAAAGTTTTGACTTTTATTAAAAATGGGGCTGGGCATGGTGGCTCACACTTGTCATCCCAGTGCTTTGGGAGGCTGAGGTGGAGGATTTCTTGAGGCCAGGAGTTTCAGACCATCCTGGGCAACATAACTGGACCCCATCTCTACAAAAAATTAAAGAAAAAATTTAGCTAAGAGTATAGTTGTGTGCTGCACTTCCTCAACTAAGAACATAGGTGTGTGCCACAGGTACTCAAGATGCTGAGGCGGGAGGATTGCTTTAGCCCAAGAGTTTTGAGACCTCAGTGAGTCAAGGTCACGCCACTGTGCTCAAGCCTGTGTGACAGAGCAAGAGGCTAACTCTAAGGAAAAAAAATGGGGTAAACTTATACTTTCCTTATTTAAAGTTTTAACTCCTTAAAACCCTGTTGAATTACAGATACATCTATTATATAACTTAAGAGTTGATGCTATAGGCTGGGCACAGTGGCTCACGCCTGTAATCCCAGCACTTTGGGAGGCCGAGATGGGTGGATCACGAGGTCAGGAGATAGAGACCATCCTGGCTAACACGGTGAAACCTCGTCTCTGCTAAAAATACAAAAAAATTAGCCGGGCGTGGTGGCGGGCGCCTGTAGTCCCAGCTACTTGGGAGGCTGAGGCCGGAGAATGGTGTGAACCCGGGAGGCAGAGCTTGCAGTGAGCCAAGATCACGCCACTGCACTCCAGCCTGGGTGACAGAGCAAGACTCCGTCTTTTAAAAAAAAAAAAAAAAAAAAAGAGTTGATGCTATAAAACTTAGTTAATGAAATATTTCCCTGGGCGATGGAGCTCTTGCAAGTCCTGTTGTATTTTTTGTTCATCTTTATGCCAGTCAGTTAGACAGTTCTTCTATGTCAAGCAGAGGATGGAATAATAAACCAAAACACTGCTTAGGGCTTTCAGAGAGTAAGTGTTCAGTAAATATATTCGATAAATTACTGAATTATTTTTTTAAATGATGGAAAGGAAAATCTTGCCCTCTCTTTTTCTGGGTGTTGGCTAGTATAAATCTTTCTTGAAGTGATAATCTACATCTATGTTTTGATTTCTAAGGATTTCCCAAATATAAGCTATATATAAGTGAGAGGAAATAATAACTTAGGTGCCTAATGATAATATGACAAGATAAGTACAAGGGTCAGCTATTTGTTGTGAAATAGCAATGGATATAATTTAAATATGAATACCTTTTTGCTGTTTAATCCCCCAAATTTTCTTTTGATTTCTTTTAAAATTCTTTTGTGGTAGGTAGGTTTATTGTTTCTTAAGAATTAACTTAAGGGTAGTATTTTCTGATACATTTTTAAGTAACATGAAGTTTAACTTCTGTTTAAACACATCATATAGAGTACATTGAAAGACCTCAGTATTTTCGAAATGTTTAGTAAGTAATATCAGCAGTTTCCTTAAATGATATTTTAATCCTAGGTAAGTGTACAGGTAGGTTGTGTTACTCATATTTTTATATTCTTAGTGAAATAGAATTCTTTTTTTTTTTTTTTTTTGAGACAGGGTCTGACTGTTGCCTTGGCTAGAGTGCAGTGGCATGATCTTGGCTCACTGCAACCTCTGCCTCACAAGGCTCAAGCCATCCTCCCACCTCAGCCTCCTGAGTAGCTGAGACCACAGGCATGAGCCACCCATGCTCTATTATGAGCCACCACACCTGGCCTAAAATTCGTTTTCTTTAATATTTTTTCTTTCTACACCCACAACTGTAACATTTCCCTTAGTTTTTACTTTGAATGTGCATACTCTTACACGACTTACAGTATGGCTATATTTTCAGTTTGCTAGAGCTTTACAATTAATTTAAAACATGAAAGGCTAATTAAGGGAATTCTTTAAATTTTGTTTTAATAGTGAAAGCAAGTTGAATACATTGGTGCAGAAGCTTCATGACTTCCTTGCACACTCATCAGAAGAATCTGAAGAAACAAGTTCTCCTCCACGACTTGCAATGAATCAAAACACAGGTAAATTGAAAAAGAATGTGCTATACCTTCTAGTCTTTTTTCTATTTTTTTTTTACACTTATGGAGGTAACCATTTATTTTATTCAGAGAGCAGCTTTTAAAAGAGATTTCAGTTTGTGGAAAATGACAGATTAGCAAGCTTTATAGAAGCCCCTATTATGTATCTTAGCTATATCTGATACAGGAGATTTTAATTTTGGTAAGTATGACTATAGAAAGCTTAGAAAAGGAAGCATTTATGGTTTTATATGTAATGGAAATGTGTTATAGAATGGCTAGTGAATGTTGACTGTGAAAAAATAGTATTAGAAGAGGCAGGAGTAGTATAGGAATGTTTTGTCCTAGCAATCATTCATGTATTAGGAGTTAAATTTTTATTTTTATTTTTGTGATGGAGTCTCGCTCTGTCACCCAGTCTGGAGTTCAATGGCATGATCTTGGCTCACTGCAACTTCCGCCTCTTGGGCTCAAGCTATTCTGCTGCCTCAGCCTCCTGAGTAGCTGGGATCACAGGCGTCTGCCACCATGTTTGGCTAATTTTGGTATTTTTAGTAGAGACTGGGTTTCACCCTGTTGGCCAAGCTGGTCTGGAACTCAAGTGATCTGCCCTCGTTGGCCTCCCGAAGTGCTAGGATAACAGGCATGAGCCATCACACCCAACATAAGAGTTAAATTTTTATGTTGTTTGATAATATCCCTGAGTAGATTTGGTGTATTTATTTTTTAAAATAAAACCACTTAACACCTCCTCTCTACCTCCCTGTCTCTCTCTTTTAAAAAGATATATATATATATATATATATATATTTTTTTTTTTTTTTTTTTTTTTAAAGAGACGAGGTCTTGCTTTGTCACCCAGACTGGAGTGTAGTGGTGTAATCATAGCTCACTGCAGCCTCAGACTTCTTGGGCTTAAGCAATCTTCTCACCTCACCCTCCCGGTAGCTGGGATTACAGGTGTGTGCCACCATGCCTGGTTAATTTCAAAAAAAAAAAAAAAAAAAAAAAAAAAAAAAAAAATTTTTAGAGACATGGTCTTGCTATGTTGTCCAGACTGGTCTTGGACTTCCTGGCCTCAAATGATTCTCCTGCCTCAGCCTCCTGAGTAGCTGAAATTATAAGCATGAGCCATTGTACCTGGTTCCCTTTTTTAAAAAACATTTTGTATCATGTGACAGTTAGCATTTTCAGGTTTTCAAGGGTAACTACAATACACATGCACACAGACACACACAATATGTACAAAAAAAGTATAAGAGAGTTATAGTGAAAAGTTCAACCATATGTGTAATTAGAGTTCTAGAAGGAATAAAGAGACTTGGTTAAAAGTCCTATTTGGAGAGATACGGGCTGAGCATTTTTTAAAAAGTGATGAAAAACATCAGACTAGAGATTCAAGAAGTTTTGTGAACCCTGAACAGGATAAATATAAAGAAAACTACAGCTAGGCATGTCATAACCAAACTCCTAAAGAACATAAACCGAGAGAAAAATATCTTAAGTAGCCAGAGGAAAAAAATACATTATTTTCAAAGGAATAACAGTAACACTGGCAGCTCACTTAACAACAGAAATGATAGAAGGCAGATGACAATGAAATTATTTCTTTAAAATGTCAAAGAAAAGTGCAGTCATGCATCACTTAACTATGGGATAGGTTTTTTTGAGAAAGCATTGTTGGGTGATTTTGTCATTGTGCAAACATTATGGAGTGTCCTTACATAGGCTACTACACACCTAGGCTATATGTTATAGCCTGTTGCTCATAGGCTACAAACCTGTGCAGCGTGTTCTTGTACTGAATACGGTAGGTAATCGGAACACAATGGTAAATATTTGTGTGTCTAAACACATGGAAACATAGAAAAGGTACAGTAAAAATACAGTATTATAATCTTATGGGACCACCGATGTATATGTGGTCAGTCATTGAGTGAAATGTCTTTATGCAGCATGTGATTGTAATTGCCAGCATAGAACTGTATATTCAGTGAAAACATCCTTCATAAATGAAGGGTGGAATAAGGCCATATCTGGGCAAACAAAAAGTGAGAACTTGATGTCAACAGACCTACACTGGAGTGAATAACTACACTAGAGGAAATTACAAGTTTTCTGAAATGAGAAAGAAAATAATTTGAAATGGCAACACCAAAATACAGGAAGTAATGAATAAGAATGGGAAAGCTAAATAGGTAGGTAAACTAAATAACATAAAGTTATTTAAGCCACAGTCCCTATTCTTATTTCATCAATTACCCCAGTAGTGTTCACAGATAAGTTTTTCCCCCTTAAATTCAGGATCCAGTTCAAGATTTAGTAGTCCTGTTTCTTTGGTTTTTTAAAAATCTGAAGCAGTTTGTCTGCCTTTTGGGACTATGACTTTTTTTGAAATGTACAGGTGTGTTACTTTGTGAAATGGCCCTCAGGATTATCTGTTTAGTTATGGTTAGATTCAGGTTATACATTTTTGGCAGGAATACTACATAAAGTGGTGTTCTGTTCTCCATGCATCCTGTTACATGGCACATGATGTGATTTGCCCCTTTACTGGTGATGTTAACTTAGGTTGTTTGGTTATGGTTGTGTTTGCTAGGTAAACCCAGTCTAAAGTTATGATTTATTCCATTGTAACTAATAACTAATTTAATGGGGGGCACTTTGAGATTACTAAGGTATTCTTTTTATTATCAAAACTTAATATGTTTTCTTTTGCAAATGACCACAAAGTTTGCAGCTTAAAACAACCCAAATTTGTTATTTTACAGTTCTGTAGGTTCGGAGTCCGGTGGGCCTTGCTGGACCCTTCTCGGGCTATCACAAGGTCAAAGTCAAGATGTTAGTAGGACTAGGTTCCTTTCTGGAGACTGTAGAAAAATCCATTCCTAAGCTCATTCAGGTTGTTGGCAGAATTCAGTTCTTTATGATAATCGGTTAGAGGTCCTTCTTTCTCACTCACTATTGGCCAAGACCCCCTCCTAGTTCTTTTCAGGTGTCTTCATTTCTTCTCACGTGATGCCCTCCATCTTCAAATCCAGCAACAGCACATCAAGTCTCTCTCAAGCTTTGAAGCTCTCTGACCTAGCTTTTTGCTTGCTAATTCTGCTGCCACCTGCTACCAGCTGGAGACATTTTTCTGTTTTTAAGGATTCATGTGATTAGATTAGGTCCCTCTCCCTCTCATCTCCTCCTGATTATCTCTTGAGTTTAAGATCAACTGTGCCATATTACATAACACAGTTATGGGAGTGATATGTCATCACATTGATAATTTCTGGGGATTTGCGGTGTAGAATCTTGTGGGCCATTCCTAGAAGGTCTGTTTATCACAGCATACATTTGTGATTCTTAGCTGAATAATTTATTCCTATGATGGGTTCAAAATGGTGATGTTCTAACTTGTCTTTCCTTCTATGTTTATTAGTTGATATTTTATTGTAAGGGAGGGGTTCATGTTCTAACCTATTCAATTATTTGTATCAGTATATACTTACAATTTTTTCCATGAATATTCTCTGTCATTATTTATTTTGATCCTGAAATTGTATCAGTTTTGGCTAGTAGGAGCCTCACCTGGATGGCTCCTGCTGACCTTTTTACAAATCCGCATCATTTCTTGAACACTTTCTTTCTGTCCCTTCAAAGTATTCAAGGCTTGCTTTCCATTCTCTGTTCCCCAGCCCTACAATCAGTTATTTTTTGCAAGAGTTCTGATTCCTTTTAGTGGGATATAGTGTTTAGAAATCAAGATCAGGGTGTGTGATGTGCTCATTGCCACCAAGATGTCTTTGTTTCCAAGCTCTTTCACAGAGAAAGCCAATAATATGTTTTATATTTTCATGAGTTGATACTGATACTTTTAATTCAATTCCAGTCTTCTTTCTAGACTTCCCCTTTTCATGTTTTTAACTTCTTTCTCCAACAGAAAGAAACCTGGTTCCTATTATCCCCAATTTATTTATTTTTATTTATTTATTCTTTTTGAGATGGAGTCTCACTCTGTTGCCAGGCTGGAGTTCAGTGGCGTGATCTCAGATCACTGCAACCTTTGCCTCCCAGGTTCAAGCGATTCTCCTGCCTCAGCCTACCAAGTAGCTGAGACTACAGTCATGCGCCACCATACCCAGCTAATTTTTGTATTTTTAGTAGAGACAGGGTTTCACCATGTTGGCCAGGATGGTCTTGATCTCTTGACTTCATGATCCGCCTGCCTCGACCTCCCAAAGTGCTGGGATTACAAGTGTGAGCCACTGTGCCCAGCCTATCCCCAGTTTATTTATTTATTTTTATTTTTATTTTTTTGAGATGGAGTCTCGCTGTGTCACACAGGCTGGAGTGCAGTGGCGCCATCTCAGCTCACTGCAACCTCCGCCTCCTGGGTTCAAGCGATTCTCCTGTCTCAGCCTCTTAAGTAGCTGGAACTACAGGTGCACACCACCGTGCCCAGCTAATTTTTGTATTTTTAGTGGAGACGGCGTTTTGCCATCTCTGGATGGCAGGCTGGTCTGGAACTCCTGACCTTAGGTGATCCACCTGCCTCAGCCTCCCAAAGTGCTCTGATTACAGGCGTGAGCCACCAAGCCCGGCCTTTCCCCAGTTTATTTGTATTCATTTTTCTAGTCCTCATTGTACCCACAGTTTCAGAGTTGTTAACCATATCATCGCATTAAAGAAACGTAACTATAGTTCAGTATTTCTTTAAAGTTCTTTTTGTCTTTAGAATGATGTTACGTTGTCGGAGTCCTGTGTTCACTAGTTGAGGAACTCCTTCAGTAGTGGTATCTCCAGTTGGACAAACAGATGTCACTCACAAATACCAATTGTAAATTCTGGGCAGCATACTGAAGGCTAGATATCAACAAAGTAGATAAACTGGAGGGGAGTCAACACATGGAAGAAGAAGTGGCAATGGCTGAATTCCCCATTGTTAATCCTTTTTGCTTCAGCCAAGGATCCTCTTAGCTCCATCTGTGGCCTTTAAGACTTGGATAAAAATCTACAGTCTTATTGGATGTGAAATCAAGGAAAAAATTTAGGGAGACCACAGCAGCTGTAACATGAGTAGAGAGATCCCATCTAGAAAAGAGCCACAGAATGGGAAAACCAGATTGCACGAAAACTCTCCCAATAGCTCTGGTCCTGTTGCCTAAGTGCACTCCAGATTCCAACCAGCCTGGTTAGGACTAAAAGAACAGAACAAAAGCTTTGAGTTGTTTGGTACTACAGGGTGGAAAGGGTTTGGAGTTTCATTTCAAGTAAGTTAACTATCTGTTTGTTTGGTTGGTTGGTTTTTTTTGAGACAGGTTCTTTTTCTGTTGCCTAGGCTGGTGTGCAGTGATGCCATCTCAGCTCACAGCAACTTCCACCTCCCGGGTTCAAGTGATTCTTGTGCCTCAGCTTTCTGAATAGCTGGGATTACAGGCACCTGCCACCACGCCCAGCTAATTTTTGTATTTTTAGTAGAGGCAGTGTTTCACCATGTTGGCCAGGCTGGTCTTGAACTCATGACTTCAGGTTATCTGCCTGCCTCGGCTTCCCAAAGTGCTGGGATTACAGGCGTGAGCCACCACACCCAGCCCAGTTGACTTTTTATGTTGGCCTTGTATCCTGTGAACTTGCTTAACGTACTTATTAGTTCTAAATAGTATTTTTCCCCCTCTTGTAGATTCTTTGGGATTTTCTACTTAGACAGTTATATCACCTGCAAATAGGGATAGTTTTATTTTTTCCTTTCCATCTGTAT
This sequence comes from Homo sapiens, assembly GCF_000001405.40. NCBI lineage: Eukaryota > Metazoa > Chordata > Mammalia > Primates > Hominidae > Homo > Homo sapiens. The sequence goes on along the minus strand of NC_000023.11, from coordinate 77,711,387 downwards.
ACCTTTTAATTTCTTTTCTTGCTTCATTATATTAGCTAGGATTTTCTGTATTTTCCAGTATTACATTGAAGAATGATGATGATAGCAGACATCCTCTTAGTGTTACCAATTTTAGTGGGAAAACATTCAGTCTTTCACAGTGAAGGATGTTTGCTTTATAGGTTTCTTGTAAATGCCCTTTATCAAGTTGAGGAAGTTCCCCTCTATTCCTAGTTTGCTGAGAATTTTTTTAAGCTTAAATTTCTATTTGATTTCTATTTGTAATTATAAATTCACATGCAGTTGTAATAACTAATATAGAGAGAGCTCTTATGCACTTTGGCAGTTTCCCTCAATGGTAACATATAAAACTAGAATACAATATCACAACCAGGAAATTGACATTGATAAAATCTATTAATCAAGATTTTGTCAGTTTTACTTTGTGTGTGTGTGTGTGTGTGTGTGTGTGTGTTAAAGTTCTATACATTTTTTTTTTACCTGGGTTGATTCATGCATCTACCACCACAGTTGAGATACAGAATAGTTCATCAACACAGGATTCCTCATCTTGGCATTTTATAATCACACCCACTTCCCTCCGCCTACCTCTGCCTATGCTTAACACCTGGCAACCACTAATCTGTCTTCCATTTTGAAAATTTTGTCATTTCAAATATGTTAAATAAATGGAGTTTATAGTAAATAATCTTTTGGGGTTGGAGTGTTTTCACTTGGCATAATTCTGTGGAGATTCATTGAGGTTGTTGTATGTATCAACAATCCTTTCCTTTTAATTGCAGGGTAATATTCCATGGTATGGATGTACAGATTGAGTATCCTTAACCCCAGAATCAGAAATCTGAAATGTTCCAAGATCGGAAACTTTTGAGTGCTGACATGACACTCAAAGGAAATGCTCATTGGAACATTTGGGATTTTCAGATTAGGGATGCTGAATCCCTAATGTGAATAAACCAGAATAGTGCAAATATGCTAGAATCTGAAAAAATCCAAAATTTGAAACACTTCTGGTCCCATGCATTTTGGATAAGGAATACGCAACCTGTACCACAGTTGTATTTGTATTGTTTTTTTTTTTTTTTTATTGAAATGGAGTCTTGTTTTGTCACCCAGGCTAGAGGGCAGTGGCATGATCTTGACTCACTGCAACCTCCGCCTCCCAGGTTCAAGTGATTCTCCTGCTTCAGCCTCCGGAGTAGCTGGGATTACAGGCAAGCGCCACCACACCCGGCTAATTTTTGTATTTATAGTAGAGACGAGGTTTCACCATGTTGGCCAGGCTGGTCTCGAACTCCTGACCTCAGGTGATCCACCCACCTCGGCCTCCCAAAGTGCTGGGATTACAGGTGTGAGCCACCGCGCCTGGCCTGTACCACAGTTTGTTTAACCATTTATTTGTTAAAGCAAATCTGGGCCGATTCCTGATTTCAGTTGTTACAATTAAAGCTGGTGGTGAATATTTATATATACGTTTTTATATGAATTTATGTTTTCATTTCTTTGCAATAAATGCCAGGAGTGCATTTTGCAGTTCATATGATGGTTACACATTTATTTTTATTAAATTAATTAAACTACATTTACATTTTATTTTATTTTGGGTAGAGACAGAGCCTCACTGTGTTGGCCAGGCTTGTTATGAACTCCTGACCTCAGGTAATCCTCCTGCCTTGTCCTCTGGAGGCCCTTGGATTACAGACATGAATCACTGCACCTGGTTTGCATTTTTTTTTTTTTTTTACTCCATTGGACTCTATCAGTGCTTTTATTTATTTATTGGTATTTATTTATTTATTTATTTTAACTTTTAGGTTCAGTGGTACCTGTGAAGGTTTGTCACATAGGTAAGGTAGCATCACTGGGGTTTATTGTTTAGATTATTTCATCACTTAGGTATTAAGCCCAGTACCTAATAGTTATCTTGTCTACTCTTACATGTTCATTTTTTTAAAAGAAACTCCTGAACTGTTATCCAGAGTGGTTGTACTGTTTTATATTCCCACAGCAATGTATGAGTGATCCAGTTTCTCCACATCCTTGCCAACACTGGGTGTTAATACTATTTTTAAATTTTAGCCATTTGATATTTATGGTATCTCATTGTGGTTTTAATTTGCATTTACTTAATGAGTAATAAATTCTTTTTAAATAGAAACAGGATATTGCTCTGTTGCCCAGGCTGGAGTGCAGTGGTGCAATTATAGCTCACTGCAGCCTCAAACTCCTAGGCTCAAGTGATCCTCCTGCCTCAGCCTCTCGAGTAGCTGAGACTGCCTCAGCCTGTCGAGTAGCCAAGACTACAGGCACATGCCACCATACCCAGCTAATTTTTTAATGTTCTGTAGAGACGGGGTCTGGCTCTGTTGCCCATGCTGGTCTCAGACTCCTGGCCTCAAGCGATCTTCCCACCATGGCCTCCCAAAGTATTTAGATTACAGGCATCAGCCACTGCATCTGGCTGGTAATAAAACATTAAACATCTTTATTGAAATATAATTTACATGCCATACAATTAACCCATTTAAAGTATAAAATTCAGTGGTTTTTAGTATATTGAATATTTACACATATGTACAACCATCACCACCATCAATTTTAAAATATTTTTATCACCTCAAAAAGAAACTCCATACCCTTTAGCTATCACCCCCTAGCTCTAAGAAATCACTAATCTAGTTTCTTGTTTTGAGTTTTTTATTTTTATTTTTATTTTTATTTTTTTTTTGAGACAGAGTCTCGTTCTGTTGCCCAGGCTGGAGTGCAGTGGCTATTTTGGCTTACTGCAACCTCTGCCTCCCAGGTTCAAATGATTTTTGTGCCTTGGCCTCCCAAGTAGCTGGGATTATAGGCGTGCGCCACCACACCTGGCTAATTTTTGTATTTTTTAGTAGAGACAGGGTTTTGCCATGTTGGCCGGGCTGGTCTCAAACTCCTGGCCTCAAGTCATCTGCCCACCTCAGGTTCCCAAAGTCCTGGGATTGCAGGCGTGAGCCACTGCGCCTGGCCTATTTCCCTATTTTGGACTTTCATATGAATGGCATCATATAATACGTGTTTTTGTGGCTGATTTCTTTCATTTAGCGTAATGTATTCAAGATATCTGTTGTAACATGTCTTAGTACTCCATTCCTTTTTATGGCCACATAATATTCCATTATATGTGTATACCATATTTGTTTATCCATTTATCCATTGATGGACATTTGTCTTGTTCCCATGTTTTGGCTGTTAGGAATAATGCGGCTGTAAATATTGGTGTACAGTTTTTTGTGTGTAGCCATATATTTTTGTTTATCTTGTGTATATACCTAGGAATCTAATTGCTGGATTTATATGGTAACTATGTTAAATTGTTTGAGGAAATGTCAAACTGTTTTCCAAAGTAGAGATACTATTTTACTTTTCCACCAGGAGTATATAAAGATTGTGAGTTCTTCACGTCCATGCCAACCATTGTTAATAACAGACTTTTTGATTCTAGCCATTCTAGTGCATGTGAAGTAGTATCTCATTGTGATTTTAGTTTTCAACTGCCTGAAGGGTAATGATGTTGAACATCATTTCATGTGCTTATTTGTAGTTTGTATATATTCCTTGGAGAAACTTCTATTCAAACCCTCTGTCCAGTCTTTTTCTTTTTGACAGGGTCCTGCTCTGTTTCCCAGGCTGGAGTGCAGTGGCATGATCTCAGCTCACAGCACCCTCAACCTCCCTGGCTCAAATGATCTTCCCACCTCAGCCTCCCGAGTAGCTAAGACTATGGGTGTGTGCCACAGTGCCCAGCTAATTTTTGTTTATTTTTTATAGAGATGGGGTCTTAATTTGTTGACCAAGCTGGTCTTGAACTCTTGTGCTTAAGCAATTCACCCGCCTCGGCCTCCCAAAGTGCTGGGATTACAGGCGTGAGCCACCGTGCCCAGCCCCTTTGCCCATTTTTAAAATGGGTATTTATGCTTTCATTGTTGATTTGTAAGAATTCTTTATATATTCTAAATTTTTTATTGTAAAATATGCATAACATAAAAATTGCCATTTTAACTAATTTTAAATGTACAGTCCTGTAACGTTAAGTAAAATTGTTGTGCATTCACCACCACCATCCATGTCTAGTACTTTTTCATCTTCCCCAAGTGAAACTCTGTACCCATCACATACTAACTCCCCAATCTTCCCTCTCCTTAGCCTTGCAAACACCATTCTACATTCTCTTCCTAGGAATTTGACTACTCTAGGAACTTCATATACGTATAATCCTACAATATTTGTCCTTCTGACATATTTTACTTAGCACAATGTGTTGAAGGTTATCCATGTTGTAGTATATCTCAAAATTTCATTTCTTTTGAAGTCTGAATACCATTCCATTGTATGTATATACCACATTTTGTTTATCTATTCATATTTCAATGGACACTTGGATAAGATATATAATTTGGAAATATTTTCCCCTATTCTTTGAGTTGTCTTTATTTATTTTTAGAGACAGGGTTTTGCTCTGTTGCTCAGGCTGGGGTGCAGTGGCAAGATCATAGTTCACTGCAGCCTTGAACTCCTGGGTACAAGCAATCCTTCCATCTCAGCCTCCCAAGTAGATGAGACTATAGTTGTGTGCCACCATGTCTGGCTAGTATTTTTTTTTTTTTATTTTTTAGAGATGAGGTCTTACCATGTAGCCCAGGCTGAGCTTGAACTCCTGGCCTCAGGCGATCCACCTTGGCCTCACAAGTAGCTGGGATTACAGGCGTGAGACACTGCACCCAGTTGGGTTGTCTTTAATTGAAGCACAAGTTACTAATTTTGATGAACTTTTATTTATCTGTTTTTCCTTTTGTTGCTCATTCTTTTGGTGTCTTTAAGAATCCATTACCAAATTGAAGGTAATGAAGATTTACCCCCATGTTTTCTTCTAAAAGTTTTATAGATTTAGTTCTTAAATTTAGGTCTTTGATCTACTTTGAGTTAATGTTTTGTATATGTTGCGAAGTAGGGGTCCAGCTTCATTTTTTGTAGGTTTCTAACCAGTTGTCTCAGCACCATTTATTGAAAGACAATTCTTTCTTCATTGAATGGTCTTGCCACCCTTGTCAGAAATCAGTGGGACTGTTGGGCATGGTGGCTCATGTCTGTAATCCCAGCACTTTGGGAGGCCGAGGTGGGAGGGGTACTCGGGCCCAGGAGTTCCAGACCAGCCTGGACAACACAGTGAGACTCCATCTCTATTAAAAAAAAAAAAAGCCAGGCGTAGTGGTGTGTGCCTGTAGTCCCAGCTACTTAGGAGGCTGAGGCAGAAGGATCACTTGAGCCCAGGAGACTGAGGCTGCAGTGAGCCATGATTGTACCACTGCACCCTAGCCTGGGTGACAGAGTGAGATCCTGTCTCCAAAAAAAAAATTAAAAAAAAAATCAGCTGGTCATAGATATATGGGTTTATTTCTGGACTCTTAATTCTGTTTGTCCTTTTACCAGTACTCCACGGTCTTGATTGCATTGTTTTACAGTTTTGTGCAAAGTTGCACCAAAGTTGTTGTGTAGTTTTGCAAAACTGGCAATCAAGTCTGTGCAGTACTGGCAAAATTAGGAAGTGTGAGTCTTCATACTTTTCATTTTTCAAAATTATCTGCCTATTCTGAATGTTTTCAATTCCCTATGAATTTTAACTCTTTGTTTTTTCTTGGTAGAGATGAGGTTTCACTATGTTTCTGAGGCTGTTCTTAAACTTCTGTCCTCAAGTGATCCTTCCACCTTGGCCTCCCAAAGTGCTGGGATTATAGGTCTGAGCCACCATGCCTGGTCCATATGAATTTTGGAATGAGCTTGTCAATTTTTACAAAGAAGTCAGCTGGGATTCTGACAGAGATTGCAGCGTGTCTGTAGATTAGTTTGTGGAGTATTGGTGATGGCAGCGGTGGGCCGTCTGGAGTGGCTGCTGCCATCACACTGGCTGCAGCAGGGAGACGTGGCCAGGGCTGCACGGTCTATAGAGTTGGTGGGAGCCAGGGGCAAGCAGGAGCCCTGCCCCTTCCAAGTTGGAGCTCCCTGGGTCCTGCTGCAGCTGCCTAAGCATGGCTGTAGACCTGGGCATCCCTGTGCTCTTGAGTCTTGGGAGCAGGCTGGAGCCCCACCCTCCCAGGTGCAACTGCAGCTGGCCAAACCGTGGCTGCAGTCCCAGGCCTCTCATTCCATGGAGCAGGCAGGAGACCCACCCTCCCGGGTGCAGCTGCAGTCTCCCAAACTGCGGCTACAGAACCTTGCCTTCTGCTCCACGAGCAGGCAGGAGCCCTGGGTGCAGCAGGAGCCCCGGGTGCAGCCGCAGCCACCCAAACCATGGCTGCAGATCTGGTCCTCCTGCTTTATGGAGCAGGCTGGAGTCCCACCCTCCTGGGCACAGCTATAGCTGCCCAAATTGTGGGTATAGACCTGGGCCTCCTGCTTTATGGGGCAGGCAGGAGCCCTGCCCCACTGGGTGCAGCTGCAGCCACCCAAATCATGGGGGGGCTGCAGACCCAGGTGTCTCTGCACTCTTGGGGCCTGGGAAGGCCCCCCTTGCTCTCATAGGCTTGGGAGTGCCTGCTCCTGCTGCCTGGCTTCACCCTGCTATTGGCACCTGCTCTGATCTTGTGGCAAAGTTGGGGCCGAGCCTGGGTGCTGTCGTAGCCTGGCCAGGTATCCACATGCTTGGGGAACTGCTGACATGCCAGCCTTCTGCTGCCTTGACCCCCTCTGGACTTTGGGTACTGACAAACATAGGGAAGCTGAGGCAGGGCTGAGGGCAGTTCAGCACTGGCCTGCAGGTGCCCCCTTGCATCTACAGCCTGGGCACCATGAATGGCAGCAGGAGGTAGACAGGTTCCTCAGTGGAAGGTGGCAGGTCCCTGGTGAGGACCCACCTTCAGGCCAGGGAAAGCCTGAAGGCTGGAGGTTGGGCTGCCAGTTGCATGGATCAGAGTGGGAACTTGTGGTGCCTTTTCTGGGCCTGCCTGTGGACCAATTGGCATGCACATCCTCCCCTCTGAGGCCCATAAAAACCCCAGGCTCAGCCAGAGCTGAACAGATGTCAGGATGACCAGCTGCAGAGAGGAGCAACCCACTCTAGGGCCTCCTCTCTGCTGTGAGCTGCAGAGGTGACAAGATGACCTTCCTGCAAAGAGGTGCCACACATTCTAGGGCCTCCTCTTTGCTGAGAGCTGCAGAGACGATGGGTCGACTTTCCTGCAGAGAGGTACTACTCATACTAGGGCCTCCTCTCTACTGAGAGCTGCAGAGACGAAGGAGAGATGATGGGGAGATGATGGGATGACCTGCCTGCAAAGAGAAGCCACCCACTCTCAGGCCTCCTCTCTCCTGAGAGCTGTGCAGATGACGGGATAATCAGCTGCTGAGAGGAGCTACCCTCTCTGCTGATAGCTGAACACTTGTAGTAACGACTTGCCTAGCAGAGAAGAACCACCCTCTCTGCTAGGAGCTGAACACTTGTAGTAATGACTTGCCTAGCAGAGAAGAACCACCCTCTCTGCTAGGAGCTGAACACTTGTTGGGATACCTTGACTGTGGAAAGGAGCTGCCCCCTTTGGGTTTCCTCTGAGCTGTTCTATTGCTCAATAAAGCCCCTCTTTATCTTGCTTACTCTCCACTTTTCTATGCACCTCATTCTTCTTGGGTGCAGGACAAGAACTTGGGACCTGCCAGATGAGGCTAAAATAGCTGTAACACAAACAGGGCTGAGACATGCCCCTTGCTCACCTTGTTGCAGGTGAAGAGAAGGAAAGAAGAGCTGCAGCCCTCTGGGGAGCCCAGACCTGGGAGCTCCCCAAGCCAGGGCTGTGACTCCCTCTTTGGGGCCCTGCCTGCGGTTCCTGGTGTCTCCAAACTTCTGGGTGCCACCGTGTTCCCTGGTGCCAGCTGTGGATGCTGCTTGTGGTGTTCATGGTCCAGCTGCAGCCTCACAGAGAAAGAGCTGATGCCCATGCTGGCACCTGGAGCTGCGTGCCCTGCTGCAGCTGCCAGGATGTCTGATTGCGCAGTGACCGGACCCCACACTTGCTCACATACCCCTTGCTGCTTCATCCAGTCTTCCTTGGCTATCATAGGACACAGGCCAGTAGCATGAGCCGAGTGTAGCCGGCCAGGCCAAATAGGCGGGACAAGCCCAGCAGGCCTGAGCAAAACTCTGGCACAGGTGCCACCAGCCGCAGATGTTTCTGGCCAGAAAAGTGACACCCCAAAGATTCTGTAACACTGGCATCATAAGAATGATAAATCTTATGGCTTGGCCTGGTGGCTGAAGGAATTGTGTACTTTAAATGGGTAAATTATATGGTGTGTAAATTGTATCTCAAGGATGTTTAATGTTTTATCACTGGCGAGGTGCGGTGACTTATGCCTGTAATTCCAGCACTTTGGGAGGCTGAGGTGGGAGGATTACTTGAGGACAGGAATTTGAGACCAGCCTGGGAAACATAGCCAGAACCCATCTCTACAAAACATTTAAAAATCAGCCAGGCATGGTGGCATGTGCCTGTAGTGCCAGCTAATCAGGATACTGAGGCAGGAGGATCACTTGAGCCCAGGAATTTGAGGCGGCAGTGAGCTATAATTGCACCACTGCACTCCAGCCTGGGCAATAGGGTGAGACTCTGTCCCTAGTAAAAAAAAAATGTTATCTTCTAATTCATGAACATGAAGTGTTTTTCCATTGATTTAGGTCTTTAATTTCTTTCAATAGCGTTTTATAATTTTCAGAGTATGTTTTGTACTTCTTTTTTTTTCAAATTATTTCCTTCTAATTCTGTTATAAATGGAATTCTTTTCTTAATTTCATTTTGAGATTATTCATTGCAAGTGTATAGACATAACATTGATTTTTGTTTATTGTCCTTGTACCCATCAATCTTCCTGAACTAATTTTATTCCCATAGTTCTTTTATTATTATTATTATTATTTTTTGAGATAGTCTTGCTCTGTTCCCCAGGCTGGGGTGCAGTGGTGCGATCTTGGCTCACTGCAACCTCTGCCTCCCAGGTTCAAGCAATTCTCTTGCCTCGGCTTACCGAGTAGCTGGGATTACAGGCACCTGCCACCACGCCCAGCTAATTTTTGTATTTTTAGTAGAGACAGGGTTTTGCCATGTTGGCCAGGCTGGTCTTGAACTCCTGACCTCTGGTGATCCGCCTGCCTCGGCCTCCCAAAGTTTTGGGATTACAGGCGTGAGCCACTGCGCCCAGCCTATTCCAATAATTCTTTAGTGGATTCCTTAGGATCTTCTATGTATGAGATAATGTCACATTCTAATAAGGATAGTTTTATTTTTTATTTTTTTTTGAGACAGAGTCTCGCTTTGTTGACCAGGGTGGAGTGCAGTGGCATGACCTCAGCTCACTGCAACCTCTACCCCCTGGGTTCAAGTGACTTTCCTACCTCAGCATCCCTAGGAGCTGGGATTACAGGGATGCGCCACCACACCCGGCAAATTTCTGTACTTTTAGTAGAGATGGGGTTTTGCCATGTTGGCTAGGCTGGTCTTGAACTCCGGACCTCGGGTGATCCACCCGCCTCAGCCTCCCAAAGTGCTGGGATTACAGGCATCAGCCACCGCGCCTGGCCCTCTAATAGGAATAGTTTCATACCTTCATTTTAAATACTGATGACTTTCAATTTTTTTTTTTAACATGCATGCTCTGAGTAGAATCCGTAGTGCAAAGTTGAATAGAAATGGTGAGAGCAGATTTCCTTGCCTTGTTCCTGATCTTAAGGGTTTCGGAAAGCATTCAGTCTGTCGCCATTAAGTATGATATTACCTACCTGTGGGTTTTTGTAGATTTTAAAATTTCCTTTCTTCCTTAATTTATTAGAAAAAAGATTTTTTTTTTTTTTTGAGACGGAGTTTTGCTCTTGTTGCCCAGGCTGGAGTGCAATGGCACAATCTCGGCTCACTGCAGCCTCCACCTCCTGGATTCAAGTGATTTTCCTGTCTCAGCCTCCCGAGTAGCTAGGATTGCAGGTGCATGCCACCACGCCCAGCTAATTTTTGTATTTTTAGTAGCAACAGGGTTTCATCATATTGGTCAAGCTGGTCTCGAACTCCTGACCTCAGGTGATCTGCCCACCTCAGCCTCCCAAAGTGCTAGGATTACAGGTGTGAGCCACCACACCTGGCCAGAAAAAAAAGATATTTTTAAAGAGCTGTTTTAGGTTCATAGCAAAATTGAGCAAAAAGTACAGTGAGTTCCCATATGTCCCTGCTTCCACACATGCACAGCATCTCCCACTATCAGCATTCCGTAAGAGAGTTGTACATTTGTTATATAACGTTGATGAACCTACATTGACATGTCATTATTACCCCAAATGCATAGTTTATGTTAAGGTTCACTCTTGGTGTTATACATTTTAAAGATTTTTGACAAATATATAATGACCTGCATTCACCATTGTGGTATCATACAGAATAGTTTCACTGCCCTAAAAAGATTCCTGTGCTGTGCCTGTTTCTTCATCCCTTTCTCCCCTGTGAGCACTGGCAGCCACTGATCTTTTTACTTTCTCCATAGTTTTGCCTTTTTCAGATTGTCATAGTTGTAATCATATGTATGTAACCTTTCCAGACTGGCTTCTTTCACATAGTAATCTGCATTTGTTTCCTCCATGTCTCTTTGTAGCTTGATAGCTAATTTATTTCTAGTGCTGAATAATATTCCATTGTCTGGATGTACTACAGTTTGTTTATCCATTCATCTTCTAAAGGACATCTTGGTTGCTTCTAAGTTTTGGCAGTTATGAATAAAGCTGCTTATAAAGATATTTATATAAGTAAATGAAGATGTTTACATAAAATAAAGACATTTATAAATATCTCCATGCAGGTTATTTTGTGGATGTATGTTTTCAGCTTCTTTGGATAAATACCAAGGAGTGTGATTGCTGCTTTATATATGGTATGCTTAGTTTTGTAAGAAATTGCTGAACTGTTTTCCTGAGTGGCTGTATCATTTTGCATTCCCACCAGCAATAAATGATAGTTTCTTTTGCTCCATATGCTTCTCAGCAGTTTTGATGTAGTCAGTGTTCTGGATTTTGGCTATTCTAATAGGCATGCAGGGGTATATTGTTTTAATTTGCAATTCCCTAATGACATGTTGAGCATTTTTTCATGTGCTTATTTGCGTCTGTATATCTTTTTTGGTGAGGTGTCTGTTCACATATTTCTTTTTTTTTCCTTGCTTTAAAATCATGTTGTTTGTTTTATTGTTGAGTTTTAAGCATTCTTTGTATAGTTTGGATAATTGTCTTTTATCAGATGTGTACTTTGTGAAGATTTTCTCCCAGTCTCTAGCCTGTCTTCTGATTTGAAGTTTTCTAATATTTTTGTGGACTTTTGCATCTATATTCATAAGTGATACTTGCCTGTAGTTTTCTCTATTTGTGATATATTTTTTATATCAGGGCAATACTGTTTTCATAAAATGAGTTGGGAAATGTTGCCTCCTTTTCTGTTTTTTAGAAGAGTTTGTGAAGGATTGGTATTAGTCCTTTTTTAAATGTTTGTTATAATTAAGTGGTGAGAACATTTGGGCCTTTTCTTTATGGGTAGCTTTTTTTATTGCTAATTTAATCTCATCAATTGTTACAGGTCTGTTCACACCTGTTTCTTCTTGAGTCAGTTTTAGTAGTTTGTGTTTTGGAATTTGTTCATTTCATGTAAGTTATTTAGTTTTTTGGCACACAGTTGTTCATAGTATTCCTTTATAATCCGTTTATTTCAGTAAGATTAGTAGTAATGTCCTCTTTTTCATTTCTGATTCTAGTAACTTGAGTCTTGTTTCTTTTTTTTCTTGGTCAGTCTACCCTAAAGTTTGTTCATCTTTTCTTCCCCCACAGGTAAGTTGTTACACAATCCCTAGCAGATTCCAACTTTCATGGCCAAGGTCCTCTTTGATCATCTTTTTAAAAAATTAGTTTTTGGCCAGGTGCCTGTGGCTCACGCCTGCAATCTCAGCACTTTGGGAGGCCAAGGTGGGCAGACCACTTGAACCCAGGAGTTAGAGACCAGGCTGGGCAACATGACAAAACCCCATCTCCACAAAAAATTAGCCAGGTGTGGTGGTGCGCGCCTGTAGTCCCAGCTACCTGGGAGGCTTAGAGGGGAGGATCACCTGAACCCGGGAGGTTGAGGCTAAAGTGAACCATGATAGCACCTCTGCACTCCAGTATGGACAATGGAGTGAGACCCTATCTCTAAAAAAAAAGGAGGAAAAGGAAAAGAACTACTCTTTGGTTTTATTGATTTTTTTTTTCTATTGCTTTTCTATTTCCTATTTCATTAGTTTCATGAATTTCTGCCATAATCTTTATTATTTCCTTCTCCTTGATTTTGGTTTAGTTTGCTCTTATTTTCCCAGTATTTTATGGTAAAATGAAATATACTTTATTGGTAGTATGTTTTTTATTTTTAGTGTAATAGTTTAAATTTTCTTCTGCTGGGAAATGTCTTGCAATATTTATAAACTACAACAGGAAATGTTTTTATACCAAAGTAATCTTTACAGAGATTTCATGCTTTATAAGGAGGGGTTAGTATGCAAAAGGAGAGTGATTCTAGTGAAAGAACACTTCTAGGAATATTTTAATGTGAGTAGTATGTTAACAATACTGCCAGACTTCATAGTGTGAGAATGGGTTTGTGGAGTTATAGGTATTGATGTTCTGTTTGATAATGCATCGAAGAGATAAATAATGTTCTTTATTTCTTCTTTTTTAGATAAAATCAGTGGTTCTGGAAGTAACTCTGATATGATGGAAAACAGCAAGGAAGAGGTAAGGATAATTATTTAGAGATATTTGTTAGTTACGATTAACCAAGTAGAGCATATGTCTTTAGATTGCTTCTGGACACATGTATGTGTCGAAGGCTACTGATACCCAGTTGTCATTATACTTCAGTTTCGTTGTTTTCCAGTTTGAGAACAGGTGTTCATTGTTTCTGTTATTGTTGTGGTTCACTTCAGTGGTTTACCTAAAGTCAGACAACTGAAGACTTCCAACAGATAGATATTAAACTGTCTTTATATTGCCCCAAAGGTGTTTGAGGTGGATGTTAAGGGCATGAACTCCATGGTTGTGAAATCTCTCAAAACTTGGTATCTAGAGTCTGCTAAGCATTATTATAGCAACTCATAACAAGGTCCTTTGCCTGATACACAGGTCCACAACTGTGGTTTTGGGAATTTTTTGACCTACTGTAAAAAAAAACTGAATCCAGTAAAATATATTGATTATACTGGCAAAATGAGGGTAAGTTTAGTATCTCAAAGCAAGTTGTAGAAGTTACTTCATGCCATATGTTAGCTTAGAGAAGAATGAAACATATTTAGATCCTTGAAACTCCCTACTTCTCTTGAGATCTGATTACTTCTGCATCTTTGTTTTGTCTTTGTTGACTGGGGCCATGATCATTTTGCAGCAGTGTATTCCCCGCAGCATGCCACAGCAACCATGTAAAAAACGAGAAATTTAATCTTCAGCCAAGGAAACCTGGCAGTAAATGAGAATTAGTTTTAATTTTTATTTTTTTGCATCTGTGTTCCTTATGTGGTAGAGAATTAGTTTTTGAAGTTCCTTTTAGAAAAATATTCTAGGCACATAAATAGCATCTCATTATATCACTGTATTGAAGTTGCTATAGGGAAATAGCTAATTGTAGGGATGCCGTTTCGAGAATTTTATTCACTTTTATATTTATGTCTCACATCTAGGGAACTAGCTCTTCAGAAAAATCCAAGTCTTCAGGATCGTCACGATCAAAGAGGTTGGTTGATGTTGAAGGGACAAAAAGTTATTTTCTTTTTCAGGTTATTTTCTGTTTCTAAAACCATGTTTTTTTCTGAACTCATGTCAACCACTATTCTGAGTTAACTATTCTATACAAATATACATATTTGAAAATGATTAGCATAATATAATGAATCCCTTTGTATCTATCACCTGATTTCAACAATTATTATTCATTCTAACTTTGAATTCTAAAGGGTTTTTAAGGATTTATTATATATTAGTGGCCCTTGCAATATGTAGTTTATTTCATTAGACAATATATGTCCTTGAAAAAGGACAAAATAATTGTTGAATGCCTATGAGGCAGTGGGTTTTTTGGGTTATATGAAATTGTCTAGGATGGGAAGTTAGTCATCATAGTTGTAAGTTATAAGGAGAAAAAAGAGTGGTAAAAAACACTTTTTTCTGCTAAATTGTCAACTCAAGTCATACATAAAAACTGAAACTTTTCTAACATAATGTAGTACCCAATATACTATGCAGTATAATTGTTATTAGAAGTTTGCCGCTTAGTCTATTGGACTTTCATTGTTTCTAACCAGTGGGAATGTCTCTTAAAAACCAAGCTTGTTTGATATTAATTTATTCTCTGAAGTAGTGATTCTTAAAGAAGAGTGTCCTCCAGGGTCTCCCTGGTAGCTTTTTCAGAATGCGTATGCCTTGGTCCTGCTCCAGACCTACTGAATCATAATCTTCAGTGATATGGTATAGACATACATGCTTCCCTAGGTGATTCTGATGTGCTTCCTTGTTGAGACCCACTGCTCAATCTCAACATGTTATTTATGTTCTTTGGGTATTGTTCCAGTTGTCAGAAACATTCATAATTCTATGAACTTAATTCTTTCATAGGAAACCTTCAATTGTAACAAAGTATGTAGAATCAGATGATGAAAAACCTTTGGATGATGAAACTGTAAATGAAGATGCGTCTAATGAAAATTCAGAAAATGATATTACTATGCAGAGCTTGCCAAAAGGTAATGTGTGTTAATTTTTCATGAAGTTAAAGTTGAAATGAATTTTTAAACATCATTTTTATAAAATTGGAACTTGATTACTGTTAACTATGTACAAACGACCAAACATGGCATTTTCCTAGTGGTTGTCTAGAAATATATTTGTATGCCAATGATAATATGTGTTATTGAAGTTAAAAATTTGGAATATTCAGTTGGTTTTGTAAAGAATGAAATCTATTTTTTTCTTTCCTTTGAGTTTTAGACAAGGGGCTTTAGTTTCCAAATTATACTTCAGTGTGTAAGCAGGTTTAAAAATTTAATATATTAGGTTTTGGTTCAGTCAATGTTAATGTGCTTGCTTTATACAAAAATGTAATGACTGTTCCTGAAAACTTAAAAATCATGTACAGTCTAGTTTAGTCTTATTGCATTCTTAAATTCCCTAAGGCTAAAAGCTGAAGTTAACTATCATAGATAGATTTAGTTGTATTTCTTGCTGTTATCTTTTTTAAAAAACTTTGTCACATACCTCTCAAC
Source organism: Homo sapiens (assembly GCF_000001405.40). NCBI lineage: Eukaryota > Metazoa > Chordata > Mammalia > Primates > Hominidae > Homo > Homo sapiens. Next base: position 77,696,057 of record NC_000023.11, on the reverse strand, counting down.
TGTTGAAGTTCTAACCATAAAACCTTGTTAATAAGAATAGGGAACAATAGCCAAATGAATATCTTGGACTCTTCATAGCTCAAGTCTGAGAGCAATATAATTGGATGATGAGAATGACAGGGAACTTGGTTCAAAGAGTCAAATTTTAGATTTTTTTTCTTTGTTAAATAATATGTTGTAGTCTCTTGGCACATTTTTCAAATTCATTCTCATAGATCTTTTACAGCAGTGCTTATTAAACCTTGTTCCCTGTCTATGTTTTTATGACATATTTTCAAATTATGGAAGTTTAAAAAATACAGTAGGTAGGAGGGATGGGACTTTCCTTGACTAGGATAAATTAGAAGTTACAAAAGGTGATAAATGAAATGAGGAAAGGAAATTAATGAAAGAAGAGAGATAGGGGCCTACCGCTTACTTAGTTTTGCAAATCATTTATGACAATTTTATGTAATGGTTTTGGTGGCCAAGGGCAGAAACAACTAACATGGGAGTCTAAGTCCCATAGGTGGTGACTTACTTTGGATTTTTACATTCTCAGTGGTTGTCACTGGGAGTGTTTATGATGTAAGAAATAGGAATTCAAACTTTTGTTTTAATTGTACTGTGGAAGAAAGTCAGCATATGATGTTACTAACCTGAACTATGCCTAATTCTGTCAGACCAAAACAAAAACAGACCCGTTTCATAAGGTTAAATTTGGGTGTTTATATTATTGTTGTAATATTTATTGAGTATGTATAAGTACCAGGCTCTTACAGAATTAACTCCTTTAATCCTCAAAACAACACTGTAAGGTAGTTATTATTTTGCTTGTAGAGATAAAGGAACAAATTCAGAACCCAAGGAACTTTTTCAGCTTTAAATTGAGAAGCTAAGATTTCAACCCAGGTCTGCTTGAATCCAAAGCCTAGTGAGTGCTCTTTTCACTCTGCTGCTTTGCTTCCAATTCTCCCTAGAAGAAATCTAGGGAGAATTCAGTTTTTTTTTTTTTTTGTCGTTGTTGTTAATTTAAAATCTTTAGTTCTTTTCAAATGCTGGGGCTTCTCTGAGTGTCTACATGCAATGATTGCTGTGAATAACTTTTTTTTGGTGGGGATTATTTAATTTTACTACAATCTGTAAAATCTCAATCATCTGTGTCCTCCCCCCCCCCACCCTTTCAGAGACTCAGAAACTCATTTAACAACTAGATGCTATAACTTGTCAAAATTTGCTTGTTGAATAACATAGAGCCATATTTCAGAGAAAGCCCCTGGTGACTACCTGCTTTTTTTTCCTTAATTGTTGCCAATGATAGCCAGTTACTAAGCCCAGCAATGTAGGTAAACATTGAAACCTAAACCCTTTTTACTATGCCTGTCTTATTTGCTCTTGAGAGAACTAATGAAAACTTAAATTGACAGCCTCTCTCTTCAATTCACATGTTTTATAGTTAAGGAAGGACATTCTTTCTAAAATATTAACATAGGGATCAACAAATGATCTCATTCTACAATTTATTGTTAGGGTACTTCAGCTAAAGTATCTTAATCTGTTAAAACTCTTTAAGGACTTTACAGAGTAGTGAAACTTTGACATACCAGTTGGGAAATGCTGCAGTATAGATACAGGAGTAATAGAATGAACTTCATTTCCCCCACCAATACCCCTCCCTTGCAATATAAAACTACCCTTAAAAATCTTTCTGAGTTTATGATTTGGATTATGAAAATAGGATGTCTTTAAAAATTTTTTCCCTCTGAACCACACATATTTTATGAATTCTTTATGGAACTTAGCATAGATGTTCATATTCATAACAGCTTTTGTGATAGGCACTATAAAAATTCAGAACTGGGTTGAGGCTTTCTGTTTGATTCACACATTTGTTTTGTAATCACTCCATAATACCTCCCTTTCCTGTTTTTATGAACTATATTTCAACAAATAAACTGTTGACACCTGGCCCTTTTACTATTTCCCTGTTTTATTTACTTTTGTGAGGTCCTTACACCAATATCTAAAGCTTGAAAGAAACAAACTATGTACCAGCAATGTTGGCTTTATCTGAACTGAAGTCTTGTACTTCACTTGCACATTTAATATGTGTAATGGTTTTTTAAATGAAATCATTCTAGGTACAGTGATTGTACAGCCAGAGCCAGTGCTGAATGAAGACAAAGATGATTTTAAAGGGCCTGAATTTAGAAGCAGAAGTAAAATGAAAACTGAAAATCTCAAAAAACGCGGAGGTAAATACAAGTGAAAATGAAACATGAATTTAAATTGCTGTTTATGACCATATTGGAAAATCGGATGTGCTTACTAAAAATACCTCCACTTTTCTGCCTTTTGTTTATTAAAAGCACTACTTAAATATAACTTCTGTTTCTCTCTGAGCTCTGAAGCAGAAAAGGTTAAGCACCATTTATCGAAACACCTTTGCCTTCAGTGGCTATTAAGTTATCTCAAGAAGCGTAGCATTTCCTTCTTCCACATGTTCTATAATACATATATGCCATAATACTATGTTTTCCCCCCAACCCTAAAATAATTTTAGATTCATGCAAAATCTTGTCTGTGGCCTACAGGTAACTTTATATATATTTAGAGTTGGATAGAGTGACGTACATCTGCATTAGTATTAGTTGGGGTATTATAAATGCAAGTCCCTTGACTCCACTCCTCACAAATTAGAATTTCTGTTGATGAGGTCAAGAATGTACTCCAGTTTGTTCTTGTGTACACTGAAGTTTCAAATCCACTAATCTAAGAATGGCAACATGGACATAAGTAGGAAGGAGTAGGGAGCTAGAGCTGATAACCCTCCCTCTGTCTTCCAGAGGCACCTCTCCCTTTGTCTGTCTATCTTCCCTTAAACACACAAACGGTGGGGAGTGGTGGCTCACACCTGTAATACCAGCACTTTAGGAAGCCAAGGCAGGAGAATTACTTGAGTCCTGGAGTTCGAGACCAGCTTGGGCAATATGGTGAGACCCCATATCTACAAAAAATAAAAATATCAGCTGGACATAGCGGCGCATGCCTGTAGTCCTAGCTATTCTGGAGGCTGAGGTGGGAGGATCACTTGAGCCCAGGTGATCGAGGCTGCAGTGAGCCGTGATTGCACCACTGCACTGCAGCCTGGATGACAGAGTGAGACCCTGTCTCAAAAAAATTAAAACACACACACACACACACACACACACACACACACACACACACACACTCTAATATTGGCTAACCATCTATAAAAAGTTTGCATCAGAAGGATTCATTTAGAAATAATAGTGGACTATGTGTCCCACTTGTTTGTGTGTGATTCTTAAATGGTGCCTATATATATTTTGGGGCAGCTTAATAAAGCCAGAATTCATAACTATAAAAGGAATGAATCTCCAAATGATAGAACATGACACTAAATTTCTAAGTAGAAGTGTAGTGAAAGCATATCCATTTAATATTGATCAGATTATATAATTGTGAAATTATAGTGAAGTTCTTATATTGGTGAAATTTTGTGTGGATTTTTATTTTAATGCTATGATTATCTTGCTGGAACCAGTAAAATATATCTATTTTTATAACATATTTTATATATTCATTTTCCGATTAAATAATTTGTAAGGTTGTTGGCAAAAATAAAGGAAATATTATATAGTCTTTTGTCCACAAAGGGGTAGTCAACTCCTTTTGAGCATAAGGAATCTTTCTGAGAATCTAGTTCATGGTAGGGAAACTGCCATTGCAGCAACAGAGCTCATTAAAGCTAAGGTAGTAGTCTTAAAATTTAAGAGAATCCTCAATTATAAAGTGATGGTAAAGATCAGTAGTAAGAGTTTCTTTCCTCTGATCATAGGTTCTCTAGAGAAGACAAATAACTAAGTGTTCTGCATTGTGTACACTTAGTGTACAGAGTGTCTAAATGGTGTTATTTTTGGGAAGGGACCCTGTAGCAGTCAGTGTCTGAAATGTGGATAAGGGCTGAAAGAATAAAAGAACCACTGTTGTTGACGAGGGTATTCCTAGTGCCACTTTGGTATGCTGCTGACATTTGGTCTCAGCTGATAAGTTTCAGGAACATTTTATTGAATGATCTGTGTAGGAATGTTTTGGTATCACGCTTAAGGGAATACATGCATTTATAGCCATCAGTAGCACTTAAATCTTTCACATCTATTTTCATCTTAATGATTTGTTACATTTTTAAGCTGTCAGAAATCACACAGGAAATTTAACACTAGGTTTACTTTATATACACATATATAGATAAATTGGTGATCTGAAATACTGAATTGGTGTAGTTAATATTTAAACTTTTTAAGAAAGCTGGTTCCAAATTGAAGCCTAACTTAGGAAACTGTCAAGAATGTAAACTTTCTTGTATTACAAGAAATGTAAGACATTACAAGAATGTAAGACAATATATAAAGTCTTATATTGATTTGGAATAATATTATAACACAAAGATACGGTTAAAGTTAACATTTCAGGAGCTGATTTTTTAAAAAATTTTCAGTATCATACCCTATTTTGACATTCTCTTCCCAGTTTAATTGTTAGAAAGTATATTTTACACCTAACTTTTTTACATGACACAATAATTTTGTTCTATTTAAAACCATTAAAATCTATTGAGCTCAGAAATGAAAATGCCTCTTTTCCATTTATACCCTGTGTTACAATTTTAAATATATTTCATAATTAAAAATAAAAAATTTAAACATGTATACAGCAACAAGTACATAAAGTAACATTTCAACATTTTACCATATTTGCTTCAGATCTCACTTAAGTAAAATATTGGTTCAGTCCTACTCTCATCCATTTCCCCTTCTTCCCACCCCACAGGTAATGATTATATTGAAGTTTTATGCATGTGCATGTGTGTGCATGTTTTTCTATGTTTTTTATATATGTATTCATAAAACATTTTTCATTTAAAAGTATAACAAAATAATATGCTGTATATATCATTTGGGAACGTTTTTCATTTAACATTGTTTTTGAATTGTATTCATGTCAGTAAATGTACATCTAGTTTGTTTATTTTTCACTGCTCTATAGAATTATGTTATATCAATAAGCCACTATTCATTTCCCACATAGGAAGTTATTCCCAATTTTTCATTTTCTAATTTTCTAATTAGTGCTGTGGTGAATATCCTTATATTTGATTCCTTGTGCACATGTGGGAGAAAATCTCCAAAGAATTACCTAGTTTTGTTTAATTCTTGAGCGATGTATGCACCAAAGCACATAGAAGATACTTAGTAAGTATTACTTAACACTGGATGAACATTCAGATTCTACATTTTATTTATCTTGTTAGTTTATCTGAATGAAATCATTGTTTGAAATGAAAAAGTATGGTGTGGTGTATTTGTTTCTGTTAAAACAAATACAGAATATATGAATACCCAAGATCAAACTGGTGTTTGTAAATAATGTGATTATAATACATTAGGCTTGTAATGCCTGCTATTAGGTAGGTTGAGATAGGAGGATTGCTTGAACTCAGGCGTTTGAGGCTACAGTGATTTATAATTGTGCCATTGTACTCCAGTCTGGGTGATGGATTGAGACCCCATCTTTAAAATTAAAAAAATAAATAAATAAAAATATTAGCAACATAAATAGTAAACCTTCAAGTTTACTTTTCTAAAAAAGTATGATGGTGTTCTTATACATTAACGTTTTTAGCTTCTGGCTAGGTGTGGTGGCTCACACCTGTAATCCCAGCATTTTGGGAGGCTGATGCCAGAAGATTGCTTGAGCCCAGGAGTTGGAGACCAGCCTGGGCAACACAGTGAGACCCAGTCTTTAAAAAGAATTAGCTGGGTGTAGTGGTGTATGCCTATAGTCCCAGCTACTCAGGAGGCTGAGGTAGGAGGATTGCTTGAGCCTGGGAGGTAGAGGCTGCAGTGAGCTGAATTTGCACCATTGCATTCCAGCCTAGGTGACAGAGTGAGACTCTAGCTCTTAAAAATTTTTTTAAAGTTTCTACAAATAAAAATATTCATGATAATATTTGGGTCCATGGCGCTTTGGACCTTAAACCTAACAGAAACCCAAAAGAGAAAATTAAAAGGGTGAAAAATATATGTGATGTTTTGTTTTTTATTTAAGGATGGAGCCAATTTGTTTTTTAGTTGTCTCCTTTTTATTTGTGAATGTAAGCATTTTGAGTGACTTCTGAATTATAATCTACCATCTTATTTTGATCAAGGTCTTGGTTGCACATCAGGATCATCTTTGAAACTTTAAGAAAATGCCTGAGAGATTTTAATTCAGTGGTTTAGGGGTGGGAATGGCTGTTTTTAAAAAGATTCTTCAGATGACTCTAATGTTTAGCTCAGGGTGTGAAACACTGCCTTAGCAGAACTAGGGACAAGAGGGAGGCTGGAGAGGTTTCTGTAGGTTTTCTTCAGTCTGTTTATCAGGAGACAGTACAGAATGGGACTCTGCCTTTTTCCCCCAGTCGTTCTGATGTTTTGCTGCCAAAATAGATATACCTGCAATGTCTTGTTTGTCTTTATTTGGAAATAGTAGACAGTATTGATATGGAGTGGATAGTGGAGTACACATAGAAAAAAGGCAGTTTAATGACAATTTATGTATAGTGTTGAAGTAAATATTAGCAAGGAAATTGGTAATATCATAAAATTACCAAGTTTTTACATACCATATTGATAGGATCTGTGCAGACAATTCCAATGAGAATAAAAACCTTTATGGCATACTTAAGTGTAGGATTGCAAAAGAATCTGTTCCGTATATGTTACTTACTTCCCCATTCTTTAAGGACTGATACTGAATTTATTTGCAAAGCAATAACAAAATAAGAGCTCTTGGCCCCTAGTTTTAGAACTTTTTATGGGTTCTCTTAATGTTATTTCAAGTTGTAAAAAATGGCATTTGCATCTGTAAAAGGAAACAATTAGGATTTGTAACTTGGAATTTGCCAAGGTTGTCATGTGCTTAGTAAGTCGATAAAATATTAACCTTTTTTACTTGTGTCCAATATGCCATTTTTCTAAGGATTATGAGGTATTTCATGTCTAATACAAAAGTTACAAAATGCTGACTAAAGTAAGTATCTTTTTCTGTGTATAAATGTGTGAATAATAGCCACTCCTTTCTCCTAGAAGATGGGCTTCATGGGATTGTGAGCTGCACTGCTTGTGGACAACAGGTCAATCATTTTCAAAAAGATTCCATTTATAGACACCCTTCATTGCAAGTTCTTATTTGTAAGGTATGTAATGATCTGTTGATATTTCATACCGTAAATATTTGAATGCTTACCATATACCAGGCCTTTGAGGGCACAGTCTTGAAGAAAGATGAAAATGGTATCTGCCCTTGGAAGACTTCTACTATAGTGGGGAAAATAGACGTACAAAGCCTAAGTGTCATGATAGGGGAGATACTGTGATTATGGGAGCACACCGGAAGCCTGTGTAAATAGGATTTGGATGGCTTTCTAGTGGAAAGCTGTATGTGAAATATGAATAAGAATCAGCCTGGTAAGTGAGATTGGTTCATCATGTTCTGGGAAGAGGCAACATAGTATTCAGATACTGGTAGTTGAGGGAGAGCTTGGTGTGTTTGAAAATCTCAAGAGTGGATGTGTGTAATGTTTGTGTTTTATAATCTTTCCCCTTATATATCCTACTTCCCCAAATGTAAACTATCTATGTGGAGCAGGGTTTTGACATAACTTGGAGATGATAGAATTAAAAATGTTTTTTATGTGTTGATTATAATTTTAACAGTCTGTGCCACTTTTTTGTTAGTAATACCTTGGAGTTAATTTTAAATATCTATAAATGTGGGCCTGGCATGGTGGCTCATGCTTGTAATCCTAGCACTTTGGGATGCTGAGGCAGGTGGATCTCCTGAGGTCAGGAGTTCGAGACCAGCCTGGCTAACATGGTGAAACCCCGTGTCTACTAAAAATACAAAAAATTAGCCGGGCATGGTGGCGGGTCCCTGTAATCCCAGCTACTTGGGAGACTGAGGCAGGAGAATCGCTTGAACCCGGGAGGTGGAGGTTGCAGCGAGTCGAGATCGCGCCATTGTACTCCAGCCTGGACAACAAGAGGGAAATTTCGTCTCAGTAACTACCTACCTACCTATAAATGTCAAGGTTATGGTTTTCTTAACTCATATTCCTGCTAAGATTAATCCTATGTTAGTTTGTTTCCCAATAAAAAGCTGCCTTTGAAATGCAGTGGCAGGCCATGTTTTCCTTGGAATTCTAGCTCTAGATCTTTTCTTGCATGAATTTTTGATAGATTCAGACATGCTTAAATGAACTGTACTTTGTTCTTTAGCAATTTGTATCCCTCCTTTCCTTGAATTCAGTTCAGCCAGGGGCCTATCTAGGGTATGTATTAGAGAGTTTCATTTTAAATTGTGACAGTAGAATCTAATATTGCTGGATTTGTGACATGTATTTGCCTTTCTGTTTTCTTATCTATGTGATTGTCTTTTTTCAAGAACCAGTCTGTTGAGCCTAGGCCATTTCACTAATCGGTAGTTTGTATCAGTGAGCACCTTTTCCCTTTCTGCAGTCCCACTGGAAAGACTTTGAAGTCAGTCAAACTTGGATTTGAATAACAGCTTTGCCTCTTACTAGTTGTATGACTTTAGATTTATTTACATATTAATGAAAGTTAGCCTTTTCTCTCATAATATGTCCTACCTTGCATGGTAGGTATTTGGTATTTAAAGATAATATAGATTAATTGTTTAGCTGTATACATAGTAGCTGTTTGTATATGGTGGCTATTAAAATTGTTAAGTACCCAAATCTAATACATTTTTATGTAGAGCTTTAGTAGCTAGATGTATGAGACCAGAAATTAGCTTTACTAAAATCTTTTGTAAACTTTTTTTTTTTTTTTTTTTTTTTTTTGAGACGGAGTCTTGCTCTGTCGCCCAGGCTGGAGTACAGTGGCGCGATCTTGGCTCACGACAACGTCCACCTCCTGGGTCAAGTGATTCTCCTGCCTCAGCCTCTCGAGTAGCTGGGATTACAGGTGTCCACTACCACACCTGGCTAATTTTTGTATTTTTAGTAGAGACGGGGTTTTACCCTGTTGGCCAGGCTGGTCTTGAACTCCTGACCTCAAGTGATCCACCCATCTCAGCCTCCCAAAGTGCTGGGATTACAGGCATGAGCCACCAAACACCCAGCCAAAAATCTTTTATACACTTTTAAATAAGGAATAGTGGTACTTGAGTGTATGGAAATCTGTTTCAAGGCATTAATTCTTGAGATAGTTAGATGTCTGGAAAATACAGACATTGGGTAGTGGGTAGCAGTGTTTATTTTATTTATTTATTTATTTTTGAGGCGGAGTGTCACTCTGTTGCCCAGGCTGGAGTGCAATGGCGTGATCTTGGCTCACTGCAACCTCCGCCTCAGGGTTCAAGTGAGTCTCCTGCCTCAACCTTTAGAATAGCTGGGATTACAGGCGCTTGCCACCACGCCCGGCTAATTTTTGTATTTTTAGTAGAGACTGGGTTTCGCCATGTTGGCCAGGCTGGTCTTGAACTCCTGACCTCAGGTGATCCACCCTCCTCGTCCTCCCAGAGTGCTGGGATTATAGGCATGAGCCACTGTACCCGGCTGCAGTAGTGCAGTGTTTTTGCTTTGAGTCTCTGAAACATGCACACATACTCCCTTTTTTAAAAAAAAATTGTTTGTATTTTTAAAATTTTTGTGGGTTCATGGTAGGTGTATATATTTATGGCATACATGAGATGTTTTAATACTGGCGTGCAATGTAAAATAAGCACATTGTGGAAAATGGGGTATCCATCCCCTCAAGCATTTATCCTTTGAGTTACAAGCAATCTAATTACATTCTTTAAGTTATTTAAAAATGTACAATTAAGTTGCTATTGACTGTAGTCACCCTATTGTGCTATTAAATAGTAGGTCTTATTCTTTGTATTTTTTTGTACTCATTAACCATCCCCACCTCCTCCCTATCCCCTCACTACCTTTCCCAGCTTCTTGTAACTGTCCTTCATGACATCCTTCATTAGTTCATCCATGAGTTCAATTGTTTTGATTTTTAGATCCCACTTATAAGTGACAACATGCAGTGTTTGTCTTTCTGTGCCTGGCTTATTTCACTTAACATAATGATCTCCAGTTCCTTCCATGTTGTTGCAAATGACAGGATCTCATTCTTTTTTATGGCTGAATAGTACTCCATTGTGTATATGTACCGCATTTTATTTATTTACTTATCTGTTGATGGGCACTTAGGTTGCTTCCAAATCTTTGCTATTGTAAACAGTGGCCCAACAATCATAGGAGTGCCAGTATCTCTTTGATATACTCATTTCCTTTCTTTTGTGTATATACTCAGCAGGTGGATTGCTGGATCATACGGTATCTCAATTTTTAGTTTTTTTGAGGAATCTCCCAACTGTTTTCTATAGTGATTGTACTCATTTACATTCCTACCAACAGTATACAAGGGTTCCCTTTTCTCCACATCCTTGCCAGCATTTGTTATTGCCTGTCTTTTGGATATAAGCCATTTTAACTGGGGTGAGATGATATCTTATTATAGTTTTGATTAACATTTCTCTGATAATCAATGATGGTGAGCAGCTTTTCATATGCCTGTTTGTCATTTGTATGTCTTCTTTGGAGAAATGTCCAGTCTAATCTTTTGCCCATTTTTTGATTGGATTATTTGATTTTTTCCTATAGAATTGTTGGAGCTCTTTATATATTGTGGTTATTAATCCATTGTCAGATGGGCACTTTGCAAAATGTTCTCCCATTCTGTGGGTTGTCTTTTCATTTTGTTGATTGTATCCTTTGCTGTGCAGAAGCTTTTTAACTTGATGTGATCTCATTTGCCAATTTTTGCTTTGGTTGCCTGAGCTTGTGTAATATGCTCAATAAATCTTTGCCCACACCAGTGTCCTGGAGATTTTCCCCAGTGTTTTTAATTACTTAAAAAAATAAAGTTTTTGTCCTTTATGAATGTTATCAATTTCGAATTAAATTTCCCCTTCCTCTTTTCTTTTAATAGAATTGCTTTAAGTATTACATGAGTGATGATATTAGCCGTGACTCAGATGGAATGGATGAACAATGTAGGTAGGTAATATAGATGAGCTAACATTCAGTGTTTCCTACTTTTGGGAGGAATTGTTACATAATCATTTATGAGGTTTGTCTTTCATAGTATCGTCATTGATGTCTTTAATGAAAGGTTGTTCTTTTCCATAAAACCCTGGATTTATGTCTAGTTTAAGTTTCTAATAAAGAGTAAGCAGATGACCTAAATTACCACTAAAATTACTGGCAGTAAAATTTAAATTGCATTATAACAAAGAGATTAAAATGAGTTTTGTTGGGAATAATGTTTATTTTTATTTTTTTACATATCTTTTCAGTTTCCTGAAAGAAGGGAATAATGTTTTAATCTTTAAAACATTTCAGGTGGTGTGCGGAAGGTGGAAACTTGATTTGTTGTGACTTTTGCCATAATGCTTTCTGCAAGAAATGCATTCTACGCAACCTTGGTCGAAAGGAGTTGTCCACAATAATGGATGAAAACAACCAATGGTATTGCTACATTTGTCACCCAGAGCCTTTGTTGGACTTGGTCACTGCATGTAACAGCGTATTTGAGAATTTAGAACAGTTGTTGCAGCAAAATAAGAAGAAGATAAAAGTTGACAGTGAAAAGAGTAATAAAGTATATGAACATACATCCAGATTTTCTCCAAAGAAGACTAGTTCAAATTGTAATGGAGAAGAAAAGAAATTAGATGATTCCTGTTCTGGCTCTGTAACCTACTCTTATTCCGCACTAATTGTGCCCAAAGAGATGATTAAGAAGGCAAAAAAACTGATTGAGACCACAGCCAACATGAACTCCAGTTATGTTAAATTTTTAAAGCAGGCAACAGATAATTCAGAAATCAGTTCTGCTACAAAATTACGTCAGCTTAAGGCTTTTAAGTCTGTGTTGGCTGATATTAAGAAGGCTCATCTTGCATTGGAAGAAGACTTAAATTCCGAGTTTCGAGCGATGGATGCTGTAAACAAAGAGAAAAATACCAAAGAGCATAAAGTCATAGATGCTAAGTTTGAAACAAAAGCACGAAAAGGAGAAAAACCTTGTGCTTTGGAAAAGAAGGATATTTCAAAGTCAGAAGCTAAACTTTCAAGAAAACAGGTAGATAGTGAGCACATGCATCAGAATGTTCCAACAGAGGAACAAAGAACAAATAAAAGTACCGGTGGTGAACATAAGAAATCTGATAGAAAAGAAGAACCTCAATATGAACCTGCCAACACTTCTGAAGATTTAGACATGGATATTGTGTCTGTTCCTTCCTCAGTTCCAGAAGACATTTTTGAGAATCTTGAGACTGCTATGGAAGTTCAGAGTTCAGTTGATCATCAAGGGGATGGCAGCAGTGGAACTGAACAAGAAGTGGAGAGTTCATCTGTAAAATTAAATATTTCTTCAAAAGACAACAGAGGAGGTATTAAATCAAAAACTACAGCTAAAGTAACAAAAGAATTATATGTTAAACTCACTCCTGTTTCCCTTTCTAATTCCCCAATTAAAGGTGCTGATTGTCAGGAAGTTCCACAAGATAAAGATGGCTATAAAAGTTGTGGTCTGAACCCCAAGTTAGAGAAATGTGGACTTGGACAGGAAAACAGTGATAATGAGCATTTGGTTGAAAATGAAGTTTCATTACTTTTAGAGGAATCTGATCTTCGAAGATCCCCACGTGTAAAGACTACACCCTTGAGGCGACCGACAGAAACTAACCCTGTAACATCTAATTCAGATGAAGAATGTAATGAAACAGTTAAGGAGAAACAAAAACTATCAGTTCCAGTGAGAAAAAAGGATAAGCGTAATTCTTCTGACAGTGCTATAGATAATCCTAAGCCTAATAAATTGCCAAAATCTAAGCAATCAGAGACTGTGGATCAAAATTCAGATTCTGATGAAATGCTAGCAATCCTCAAAGAGGTGAGCAGGATGAGTCACAGTTCTTCTTCAGATACTGATATTAATGAAATTCATACAAACCATAAGACTTTGTATGATTTAAAGACTCAGGCGGGGAAAGATGATAAAGGAAAAAGGAAACGAAAAAGTTCTACATCTGGCTCAGATTTTGATACTAAAAAGGGCAAATCAGCTAAGAGCTCTATAATTTCTAAAAAGAAACGACAAACCCAGTCTGAGTCTTCTAATTATGACTCAGAATTAGAAAAAGAGATAAAGAGCATGAGTAAAATTGGTGCTGCCAGAACCACCAAAAAAAGAATTCCAAATACAAAAGATTTTGACTCTTCTGAAGATGAGAAACACAGCAAAAAAGGAATGGATAATCAAGGGCACAAAAATTTGAAGACCTCACAAGAAGGATCATCTGATGATGCTGAAAGAAAACAAGAGAGAGAGACTTTCTCTTCAGCAGAAGGCACAGTTGATAAAGACACGACCATCATGGAATTAAGAGATCGACTTCCTAAGAAGCAGCAAGCAAGTGCTTCCACTGATGGTGTCGATAAGCTTTCTGGGAAAGAGGAGAGTTTTACTTCTTTGGAAGTTAGAAAAGTTGCTGAAACTAAAGAAAAGAGCAAGCATCTCAAAACCAAAACATGTAAAAAAGTACAGGATGGCTTATCTGATATTGCAGAGAAATTCCTAAAGAAAGACCAGAGCGATGAAACTTCTGAAGATGATAAAAAGCAGAGCAAAAAGGGAACTGAAGAAAAAAAGAAACCTTCAGACTTTAAGAAAAAAGTAATTAAAATGGAACAACAGTATGAATCTTCATCTGATGGCACTGAAAAGTTACCTGAGCGAGAAGAAATTTGTCATTTTCCTAAGGGCATAAAACAAATTAAGAATGGAACAACTGATGGAGAAAAGAAAAGTAAAAAAATAAGAGATAAAACTTCTAAAAAGAAGGATGAATTATCTGATTATGCTGAGAAGTCAACAGGGAAAGGAGATAGTTGTGACTCTTCAGAGGATAAAAAGAGTAAGAATGGAGCATATGGTAGAGAGAAGAAAAGGTGCAAGTTGCTTGGAAAGAGTTCAAGGAAGAGACAAGATTGTTCATCATCTGATACTGAGAAATATTCCATGAAAGAAGATGGTTGTAACTCTTCTGATAAGAGACTGAAAAGAATAGAATTGAGGGAAAGAAGAAATTTAAGTTCAAAGAGAAATACTAAGGAAATACAAAGTGGCTCATCATCATCTGATGCTGAGGAAAGTTCTGAAGATAATAAAAAGAAGAAGCAAAGAACTTCATCTAAAAAGAAGGCAGTCATTGTCAAGGAGAAAAAGAGAAACTCCCTAAGAACAAGCACTAAAAGGAAGCAAGCTGACATTACATCCTCATCTTCTTCTGATATAGAAGATGATGATCAGAATTCTATAGGTGAGGGAAGCAGCGATGAACAGAAAATTAAGCCTGTGACTGAAAATTTAGTGCTGTCTTCACATACTGGATTTTGCCAATCTTCAGGTATGCAAAAATAAATAAAAAATTCATAATTTGTACTTCCCCCTCTTGAGTTACTACATTGTTTAATTTCCTCTGAAGCTAATCAAATTTAGGGTTACTACTTAGGAGAATACCACTTAAAAATTATTTAGGAGTTTATTAAAAAAAGTTTCCCTATTTATTTTTATGCTGCCATTGGAAGATATTTTGAACATTGCTAGTATTCAGTATCAGGGATCTCAAATTTGTTGAGTAAATGACAAAATTTCTTTATCAATGTTTAGTGCTTTTCTCTGGAGTAATGAGCAGAAGGAAAAGCGGACTGGTGCCAGTGGTTCAGTAGCTATTTAGTTATATAATGGAAGTGAGTGCTTGGTACTGGTATGACATGGTGTGTCAAAATTTTAACTGCCATGCATATGGCTTTTTAAGTTTGAACAGATAACTTTGTGTCTCATGAAATCCCCTTTAATTATTTTTAATTTACCTCATTAAAACCCTTTGTTGATGCTTATTAACTAGTTTCTAATGACATGAACAGATGTTTTTCTTTTAAAAACACTGTCAAAATGAAGGAAGAAAATCCAAACATTAGCTGGATTAGCCTACCCTGATGAGGTAGAGTACTAGGAACATTAAAGTTTGGGTCAGCTGGTGAATGAAAATATTTTTATGAATTAATTAAAATCTTTAAAATTTATGAAAAATAATTTTAAAAATAAGTTTTTATTATTGAAGTTATTTTAAAAATCAGTTGTATAATAAATGTGTATTGGTCATTTGTCTTTTTTTTTAGTCAGTAAGACCTGTCAGTTCTATGGATACTCAGAATTTATTTAAAAATGTTTATAAAGTGGGTTTTACATAAAATTGTATTTCCAACATAGGTAGAATTTAAAAATTTTTCCTTCCAGTTCTTATGTTACAGTTTTCAATTTATCCCAATTGGATTTTAATGGAATTAATTTGAATCTTGGCTATTTTTTAAATTTTAATTTTTAATTTTGTAGAGATGAGGTCTTGCTATGTTACCCAGGCTGATCTTGAACTCCTGGCATCAAGCAATCCTTCCACCTCGGCCTTCCAAAGTGTTGGAATTACAGGCATGAGCTACTGTGCCCAGCAAAATCTTGTTTTTTAATAAAACTTTACATTTCTTTTATGGAGTACTTATGACTTGACTTGAAAACCACATGTGATATGCAGTGTGTGTGTTTCAATTGAATGCTCTGCTATATCAGATGACTAGATGGAGCTCTGTTTGTGTGGCTATTGTAACTTCAAGTTCACAGTTTCTTACCTGAAATTCTTGGGGTCTGTTGTGTTTCAGAATTTGCAACTTTTTGGTTTTTAGAAAAATAATAGAGAGAAGTTACTATATATTTTATAAAAGCTCCAGTGGGGCCTGATGCAGCACCAGATAATCAAACACATAGTATTTCTGCAGCAAAACATTTGAAGATTCACATTTAAAGGAATAAGCAGTTTAGACCAGGTTTTGCTGCCAGATTGTCTTTGGTACCCTCTTACAGAAACTTTCCATTTTGAGAGTGTTTTAGATTTCAAAATTATATATAAGGGATTGTGGACTTATATTAAAAATACAGAATCTAATATTTACTTTGATGTCAAATCAATGTTTTAGTTGTTAGGTTAGCTGTGAAAATCCTTATTAAGGATTAGAGTTTAAGAATAATAAATTGTGTTTAAAAATTAGTTAAAATCCATTAAAAATTATATGTCACTGAGCTAATTTTATTTCTGGTTTTATTTATTTGGATCTTCTCTCTTTTTTTCTTAGTCTGGCTATTTTTAAACTTTGGAAAATTGGTTTCTGTGATTAAACAGTTTCACTGGTGAAATCAGTATGTTTGATTTCAAGTATTTTACTACTTTTCTTAAGATCTCACTTGATTTATTGATACCTATGAAAGTTTCTGTTATGCACCTCTCATGTTGAGAATTATTAATATTTAGTGTAATAATTAATATGAATTCATTAGGCCTTAAGAAGGGATGGTGATATATGGCAAATACTCAATTGATGCATCTCTTGATAATTACTTATCTCAGCACTGATCTAGATCACTGTGTTCCATTTTGATTTATTTAACTTTGATCTGAAGGACAAATAGGCTGATGGGGAGTAAACTTTTTCTCAGGTGTGTATCAAGAGAAACTTTGAGAATTCGTCACTTCAGCAAATTCCAATCCTTCAACTGCTTGGTGAAATAAGCCTTGTTGAGATTTTCTTTACCCTGGATATTTTTGGGGGCTAAGCTGATTATTTGGGATGAAATAAGAAAGAAGATAAATTTGTTAGGGAATTTAACCTGTGAAAAATTGGGCCTTGTCAATAGAAACAAGTAGAATAGAATATGAGTGCCTTGAAAATAAGCGCTGTAAAAAGTTCTGTTTTTAAAGATAAGTTTGCGTGTGAGCCAGTGTTATGATATTCCTTCAGAATTTACTTACATGCTTATGTAAGCATGCTGAATTTATGTACTCCTCTGTCTAACTTAATTTTAGGTCACAGTTTTAGAAGGTTAAAAGAAAAACCCTGCCCCCTATTGAGTTTAGAGGATTCCAGTTTATTCGCAGTATTTGGGTATCATATTACAGCTACAGTATTTTCCTAGAAATTGGGGCTTGGTAATGGCATGAATAACCAAGATGAAGAACATGGTCCTAGGAGATTGCAGTTTAATGCAAGACAGACATAGAGAAATCATTAAAAAAAGTAACAGAAGAAAGATATAAAACTAGAATGGGGCCTGTAATCCCAGCACTTTGGGAGGCCAAGGTGGGTGGATTATCTGAGGTCAGTAGTTCAAAACCAGCCTGGCCAACATGGTGAAACCCCATCTCTACTAAAAATACAAAAAAATTAGCCAGGTGTAGTGGCGCACACCTGTAATCCCAGCTACTTGGGAGGCTGAGGCAGGAGAATCGCTTGAACCCAGGAGATGGAGATTGCAGTGAGCCACGATCGCGCCACTGCACTTGAGCCTGGGCGACAGAGCGAGACTCCGTCTCAAAACAGAAACAGCAACAAACACAACAAACTATAATGGGGCTACACAATAAATGGCAAGTGAACTACTTAAATATTTGGGGAAATATTTAGAAGAATAGTTGGCATTTGAACTTCAAAGGATAGGTCAAATTTTGAAAGGTGTAGTAAAGAGGGAGTGACAGTACTGTTACTAATTATATTTCATTTGAAGATTGGTCTGTTTGAATGAGATATTTATTGTGAGTTTGCTGGGATATTATGAAATCTCTTCTCTCTCTCTGTCTGTCTCTTTTTTTTTTTTTTGAGTTGAAGTCTCACTCTGCCACCCAGGCTGGAGTGCAGTGGTGCAATCTCGGCTCACTGCAATCCCTGCTCACTGCAACCTCTGCCTTCCGGGTTCAAGCGATTCTCATGCCTCAGGCTCCTGGGTAGCTGAGATTACAGGTGCATGCCACCACATTGGCTAATTTTTGTATTTTCAGTAGAGACAGGGTTTCTCCATGTTGGCCAGGCTGGCCTCGAGCTCCTGACCTCAAGTGATCCGCCTGCCTCAGCCTCTCAAAATGCTGGCATTACAAGCTTGAGCCACCACGCCTGGCCTTATTTAGTGTATTTCTATCCTGAGCCTGTAGGTGTCTGTTTCCTTTATAGATTTTTTCCTCCATTTCCCTTCAACATTTTATTGTGAAAAACATTTAAGTATACACCAAAGCATCTACCATTAATATTATACTGTATTTTCTTGATAACATATCTATATATCCTTCTGTCTATCCATCAGTATATCTTTTTTTTGCCTTTTTAGCTTTTTATTTTGCATAATTATAAATCCACAGAAATTTGTAAAAAAAAAAAAAAATACAGGGAGGTCTCAGATAACCTTTACTTAGTTTCCCTCAAGGGTAATATCTTGTAACTCTAGTACAGTGTCAAAACCAGAAAACTGAAGATTTATTCAGATTTCACCAGTTTCACATGCACTCATTTGTGTGTGTATAAGTATAGTTCAGTGCAGTTGTACCACGTGTGTATCTTTGTATAATCACCACCACAACCGATATATCAAACCAGTTCCATTATCACAAGGCTCCCTTGTGATACTGCTGTCCTTACCTCCATTCCTGACATCTGGCAACTAGTAATCTGTTCTTTATCACTGTAATTTTGCTATTTTGAAATGGAATCATGAAGTATATAACCTTTTGAGATTGGCTTTTTTCACTTAGTATAATACCCTTAAAATCTTTGATGCATTTCAGATTAAACGGTAGACATCAGCATACTTCTCCTGAAACACTTAAGCATGCATAGTATTAACCTACAGTTTAATATTTCAGTTTTTCTTTTGAAGTAAAATTTATATAGAATGAAATGCCCAAATCTTAACCTCTTTAGATTTTTTTTTTTTTTTTGAGAGAGTTGTTACCCAGGCTGGAGTGCCGTGGTGCGATCTTGGCTTACTGAAACCTCCGCCTCCCAGGTTCAAGTGATTCTCCTGCCTCAGCCTCCCTAGTAGCTGGGATTACAGGCACACACCACCATGGCTGGTTAATTTTTGTGTTTTTAGTAGAGACGGGATTTTGCCATGTTGGCCAGGCTGGTCTGGAACTCCTGACCTCAGGTGATCCGCTTGCCTTGGCTTCCCAAAGTGCTGGGATTACAGGCGTGCGCCACCTCACCCGGCCCTCTTTAGATTTTTAATCAAAATATAGAAATGCAGCTTTTTATAAGAAAATAAGTTTTACTGTACTGAACTGTATCTCTGGGTAACTCAGGTCACAAATACCATACACATTCAACTGCATTTTAAAATTACTTGCTACTACCAAAATATTAATACTGTTTTTGCTATTCCTCGAAGATACAGCACCAGTTAACGTCAAAATTAAAATGGACCAGTACGAAGGTTATTGTGGCAAGAAACTTATGCTAATATGATGGCTGTTGATACAGAATTGTTACTGAGAAGGGTGGACTTTAAAAGCCTTGTGCCCTGGGAAGGAACTCTGAAATATATAAGGTCCAGCTATTTATCATTTTACTGCTGGCACTTCACAAATAACCTGTTATGTTTTCTATAAGAATGCTTTTTACTCATATTTTGGAGTCCAGAGTTTAGACCCCACTTAGTTTGCTTTAAAGTTTTTGGCTTTCAGTTTTATTTTACATGGTTTTAATTATATAGCTTATTTAAAGCTAATTTTAAGTACACTTTTTTCCCTCAAGGAGATGAAGCCTTATCTAAATCAGTGCCTGTCACAGTGGATGATGATGATGACGACAATGATCCTGAGAATAGGTATGATTCCATCTGTAAGGACTTTAAAAAGATTATAACACACCCTAGGCATGGGCACAAACAGCAGCAACGGAACAGCAAGCAGGTTGTAAAAACCAGGAGTGCCTGCCTTAGAAAGACTCGCTCACAGTCTTCCTGCAAGTTTGAAAGAAAGGCCAGAAAATGGGCTAAAACTCAGAAACCTTAAGAGAAAGTAATATCATTATTTACACACCTAGCATAGGGTGTGTTATAAATACAGAACTGTCAATTTTATGTTGCTATGTAAACTGCAGTAATTTTTTTGGAATAATTTATTTTGACAGATTATTGATGAAAGTAAATCATATCTCAGTAAATTGGTAACAACAGACATCTCCTCTATATTTGACTATTGTTAATTGCCATCCAATATGGTGGTCCTATTTATTAAGGCCTGTTGAGAAGAAACAAAAAGAGAGATTACTCAGATATTTAAGATTAAGAAATTGCTTTCAAAATAAGTGTCAGTTTACAAGGTATCTAGACTGAGTTAGAGTTTAACCAGTTTTCAAATAAAATAGAAATACACGGTATGAGAGCATTTACTTTAATAAGACTTAATAGGTTTAAATGTCAACAGTGTAGCCTATACAGATATACTTAAGTAAGGGGTGGCTGGGTGAAGAAAAAAAAAGACACTATCAGTGTAGTGAAGAATAAGGAAAACAACAGTATTAAAGACTATAGCTATAATGTTTCAACATAACTTTTAAACACTTCCTGGACAATAGCATACCCCATGCTCATAATCTTCAACAAGAAGACAGCATGGTATAGTGCATGGAATTTTGGAATAATGGGCATAAGGGTATCTGATTTCTAACATTTTTAACAACTGTCTGTGTCATCATGGGCAAGTGACTTTACTTTTTGTCAAAAATTTACTATATTTAAGAAGAAAAAGTTGGGCGAAATTTTCTGTAATTCTAGTACCAAAAAATCCATGATAGATTTGAGATGATTTCATTAAAGAGCACTACATTAACCATTCATTTATTCCTAATAGTAAGTTCTAACATTAAGAAAACATAAAAATATACATGTAATTTTCTGTCATAATTTTGTAAGAAATTAACTGACTTAGTAAATGCCCTGGGTTCAGCTGTTAGTTTCGCTCTTTTGTATCTTGCTGATGCTGTTAGGTTTCTCTGTTTCAAAGGTCAGCATTCTGCTAATTAACAGAAGAATGTTTTTATTAAGGTGAATGAACAGTTTTATTTTACAGTTTTGAATAGAGCTTAATTGTGGACACAAATATTCAGATTCTGCTTGCCTACTTTTTTAAATTAAAAAATGTATATCCATTTATTTTATGGGATAGGTGGTAGGTTCCAGAATGGAGTGATAAGGGCATACAATTTATTCATCAGGGATTTTACATTATATCATCACAGCCAGATACTGAAAGCATTTAAAATTTTACTCTTTTTTAAGATGCTTTAATTTTTCTTCATTTATATTTGCTATTTGATTTTCTATACATCATGAGGCCTCAGATGTTACTCAAAGGCTAATAATGTTTTAAACATTCTATATCTTAATTTAACTGTGAATGATTTACTTTAATTTCATATTTAACCACCAAATAAGAGTGTTGTTAAGGTATAATTTTTTTGTGTGTGTTAGAGCTTGTCAAAATATAAATATCATTTTCAACTTTTAAGTTACCTGATCGTATCTCTCTGTAACTGGCAAGTATTTTATTGGAAAGTATCTTTAATTCCACCTTGAATTTGTGATTAAAAAATACAACCCTGTTGAGTACTTTTGAGAAGAATTGAATTTTATCTTGAGCATGTCTTTCTATACTCAGTTTAATTTGTTTTTATAAAATATACAATTTATTAACTTGTTTAATATTCACTATACCAAAGAGGTATCTAATACCCATGGGTTATGTAGTCATGATGGGGATACAAATACTTTCTTGCACTATTTTAGTATAGATTATATATTTGAGCATATTTGAATATGCACTAAGCAACTTAAAAAATTCATTTGCAGATCACGATTAAGTCTTAGAATTATTTTTCTAACTTCCTAATTTTTGAGTAGGTTGTATTTTGGTAGACAGCATATTGTAATTGTATGTAAATTTGTACACAATTGTGTGTAAATTGTGTATAAATCTTATATGCTTTGTCTTTTTAGCAGTATTGTAATACATTTTCAGTGTTGGTGTTTATGAAGCGATAGTGTATTATTGCAAATGGTTAACTATTTGGATGCAATAAATTTTTGTAAACCTTTTTTCTTGTTCAAGCATTTAATTTTAATAATAATGTTACTTTTTTATATCATGAGAGTTGACATAATTTGTTATTAAAATATAGAGGCTAGTTTGTAGCCAAAGAAGTTTTGAAATTTTGAAATTTAGGACGTAAATACTTTTAATTCCCCTAACATATATACTTATATATATTTGTGTGAAAGTTTTACAACAGATTTAACTACTATTTACTTTTTCTGTTTTAAAGCTATGATGGCTTTTGGGGGCATTTAAAAAACTTAGTCATATCCTGAATATTTTAGTAAATGTGAATACATTTCTGTTTTAGCATGCTATTATGTAGCGTCACTCATATTTGAAAGTAAATGTATAATATTATGAGACAGTGGTCTAACCTATAAATTAATTTCTATTTAATTGGATTTACTTAATGAACAAGGACAGAATATTATAGATTGATCAACACTTGTATGTTTCTGGTTTAGCTTTTTATAAAAAAAAGTAGACTAATCATATATTTTGAATTTTATATAACTGAAAATTTAGAGCTTAGGCTTTATGTAGTTTCTCAATGGCAGAATAATAATACCAAATAGGTTGTCAGGTTTTCACATTTATACACGTAATTTTAAAGTAATATACTTGAAAGTGCCATTAGGGTAGGGTTTCATTGGCCTTTCAAATACCTGTTAGTTGGATTTTAAATTGGTTCTTTCTCTGAAAAGACATCTATTCATATAATTTATTTCAATTCAATAATTAGCCTGGCATTGAAAATACACCATAATTCCTTTATATGTTCAATATAACTGGGGATATTTTGACCAAACATTTTCTAATAATATCATATATTTTAATTTAATATCTGTACTGGGAATGAGCCTCAAGTAATACGATAGTAGTGTGTTCAAGTTTTAACAGTATTAGTTTTGAGGATCATTAAACTAGGCTTGTCTTTAGAGATTGCATACTGAACAATCACTGAAGAGACCATTTATCCCAAAAAAGAATTATCTTTTGAAATTTCTTTATTCGCTTATTTTGCAGGATGTGAGAAATATTTACAATTGAGCTTTTGAGAGCAAAAGACCAAAGTGCTAGGTTTTTCTAAATAAGCATTCTTTCTCCCTGACAACTTTGACTAAGAGCTGAGATTTCTACATGGATGTCTGCTCCCCTAACAAACACATTTACTTTATTGTTGAAATGTGCTTAATTGGGTCTAGTAATACTCCACATTTTTTCTCATAATTTCTCTGTGGGTGCGACTAAATGCTTTTTTTTTCATAGAAGCGAAATTTGATGTGGAGATTGCTAAAAAAAATTGTCCCATTGTTATATTTAATTATATTGGGACTAGACCATAGCATTTTAAATTTCCAACTGTTGTTGTATCATTTGATGATAATTTTGTGTTTCAAACTAGAAAATATGCTAATGATTTTTTTTTTTCCTACTGGCTTGGTGTGGGTATGCTGTTGATGACGGCTCTGTATTGTTAATCCAGCATATTTTCGGAGGAAACTAATGATTTCTGGATGTTATTTATGCCTAAGAAGATATTTAATGATTGTTTACCTGATTTCAGCACAATTAATGGCATGGATGTATCACAAGTCCCTTAATCGTTTGATGTTCACTTTGCTTTCATTTTAAACACTTTTTCAAATGTCTGTCTCCTACACATGTTGTCTATTCTCTATGCAAATTTGCTAAATTTGGAATAATTTTTTTCTGTGATTTTTTTTTTGTGGTAGTTCTGTTTCGTTAGCAAAACTGCTTTGATTCTCCTTTATTGTACTTGAAAAACAAAGGTGGCGTTTTAAATTAAGTATTTTACTTGTTTTTCCATTTGAGTAAGGGTTTTAAATATCTAGCAATTTTACGGTAATTTTTTTTTCAATTTCCTTTGTCTGTATAGCACAGGTAAGTATTGCAAGTCATTTAAGTATAACACAGGTGTCCAGCCAGTAGATAGGATCTACTTGTAGATATCTGAACTGGCTGTAGTTGTTACTGGCTTTCTTTTTTCTACTAGAATTCCCAGTCAGGAAAGACATATGATGTGTAGTGGTGACCTTTGTCCTTCTATGGTCAAGATTTAAACATTATAACCAGTGTTTCTTTCTTGTTCTCTGTTCTTTGGTGATATTGGGACTTTCAGAAAATAAGAAATAGGTCTTCCTCAAAAAAGAAAAAAAAGAAAAAGAGAAAAAGGAAGAGTTTGGATTTCTAGTGTTAGGAAAAGTGATTCATTTTTCTGACTTAATATCCTTTGTCTTTAACTTTGAAATTTCAAAATAAAATTTTGAAATTTGAGATGAGTAAATTCTGTGTTTTCATTTTTCAAGTATAAAAATATTGAACTAGTTATTTAATATGATCAAATTTCCCATATTAATTTGAATATATTTTTTCTTGTTAAAATGCCTCTAAAACTGGTTTAGATTTTTGTATAAAATTAGGGAATACACATGTAATAATTCAGGCCTATTGAAACATAAGTCTGTATGAATTATTAATAACTGTGGGTTCTTAATTTCATAGTTTTTATTGTTCTACCTCCAAGATTTTTTTAAAAAGTCATTTGATATTAATTTTCCTGGTACCCTCACCAAAAAGGATACAGAGCTACTTTTCATTAACTACCCACATTGTAGGATTTGCGACTAAAAAAAAATATTTCAAACCATTGTTTAGCTTTTTGATTATTTGGTGACTTCATTATTATCTCGTGAATTCCACCATTTTGGGGTACAGATCATTATGCCTTAGTTTTATATATATATATATATATATATATATATTTTTTTTTTTTTTTTTTTTTGAGACAGAGTCTCACTCTGTCACCCAGGCTGGAGTGCAGAGGCATGATCTCGGCTCACTGCAGCCTCCACTTCCCTGTTTCAAGCAATTCTCCTGCCTCAGCCTCCTGAGTAGCTGAGATTACAGGCACCCGCCAGCACACCTGGCTAATTTTTGAATTTTTAGTAGAGATGAGATTTCACCATGTTGGCCAGGCTGCTCTCGAACTCCTGACCTCAAGTGATCCACCCGCCTCAGCCTCCCAAAGTGCTGGGATTACAGGCATGAGCCACCGTGCCTGGCCAGTCATATTTTTTAATAGAAAACTTAAGATACTAATTTTGAACCTGAGTTGAAATATATACTAATATGAATTTTGAAGAATTCCATATTCCATAACTTTTTTTTTTTTTTTGAGACAGAGTCTCGCGTTGTCACCCAGGCTGGAGTGCAGTGGCATGATCTCCGCTCACTGCAACCTCCGCCTCCTGGGTACAGGTGATTCACTTGCCTCAGCCTCCCAAGTAGCTGGGACTACAGGTGCCTGCCACCATGCCCGGCTAATTTTTGTATTTTTAGTAGAGATGGGGTTTTGCAATGTTGGCCAGGCTGGTCTCAAACTCCTGACCTCAGGTTATTTGCCTGCCTTGGCCTCCCAAATTGCTGGGATTACAGGCGTGAGCCATCGTGCCCGGCCACATGTTTTGTTTTTTAATTCCTATCCTTTAAATATATGACATTTATTAAAACAAAGCCTCACACCCTACTAAAATATTTAACATTCCTTGGCTATACTCCTTTGAATTATTTTATATATCAAACTTTAAAATATGGTGTGATGCTTTAGTACTACATATACTTAGGTACCTCTAAAGAGCATGCATTTAAACCCATTATCTTATTTATAATTCTGTAAATTAAGTACTCTATTATGATATTGTACACAAAAACCAATTTTTAAGCAAATTTTATCACCTTGTTTATGGATGCCCAGTATTTTGGCCTTCTAAAAATATATTTTTTTCCAGCAATTTTCTTCAAACCTGTTCTCAGAACCTCTTAAAAGATAAAATGGTCATTGTAGAATGTATCTCAGATGACCTATCGTGCATTTTAGAGTGCATACTGGATTAAATATGTTTAAAACTCCTTTTATCATCTTTAAAAACTCAAGCTGGTTGCAGTGGCTCACACTTGCAATCCCAATGCTTTGGGAGGCTGAGGTGGGAGGATCACTTGAGGCCAGGAGTTTAAGACCAGCCTGGGCAACGTAGTGATACCTTGTCTCTACTAAAAAGAAAAAATTAGCCGGGCATGGTGGTACATGCCTGTAGTTCCAGCTACTCAGGATACCGAGGCAGAATGATTGCTTTAGCCCGGGAGTTCAAGGTTACAAGGATATGTGTTTGTGCCACTACATTCTAGCCTGGGCAACAGAGCAAGACTGTCTCTAAAATAAAATTAAAAAAAAAATTAAAGCTTGAGTTCTTGCATTTCTAAATACATAAATTTAAAATATGCGAAATACACTTATTTTTAAAAATGGGGGTCAGCGCGGTGGCTCATGCCTGTAATCCCAGCACTTTGGGAGGCTGAGGTGGATGGATCACCTGAGGTCAGGAGTTTGAGACCATCCTGGTCAACATGGTGAAAGCCTGTTTCTAATAAAACTACAACAATTAGCTGGGTGTGGTGGCACACACCTGTAGTCCTACGTACTCGGGAGGCTGAGGCAGGAGAATTGCTTGAACCTGGGAAGCAGAGGTTGCAGTGAGCCTCCCTCACTCCAGGTTGAGATTGTGCTACTGCACTTCAGCCTGGGTGACAGAACAAGACTTTGTCTGGAAAAAAAAAAAAAAGGCATCATCTGTATTTGCCCAGGCACTCATTAGCATACAAGTATTAACAAGTAGAGGGTATAGTGCTGGCACAGTAAAATTAATAGCAGATTGGGATTTAGGATCTTAGGTTCTACTCCTGACTTTGCCACTAGTTAGCTTTGTTTCTTTGGCTGAGTCATTTCCTATATCTAAGCCTGTTTCCTCATCTGTAGAATGACAAAGCTGTACTCTGAGGTTTGTCCTTCTGGCTCTAACATTTTGTATTGCTTTTGTTAATGGCTCGAAAGCTCCCTGGTGCAGGAGGTCCTTCTCTTGATTGCATTTTAAGAAACTCAACATTTCGAATTATTGATTTACCTATCAGCAAGAGGTGGTTTACTTTCCTTTCCTGTTTGAGCGTTTAAACAAGCGACATTACTCATTTCCTTTCTAGATAGGATTGGAGTTAATAAAGGCTTTCTTGGCTTTCTCCTATGTTTTTTTTTTTTTTTCCCCGATTGCTTGTTTGTCATTGTGTTGTTGGGCTCACTTCTTATTATTTTATTTGTGCTTTCTTTTAGTAATGGTGTTATCTTGGTGTTCATTATGTACTTTGGAAGACTTAGTATATGTGGGTTTTGGGGTCCTATTTATTTTCTCATGCGCCAGTTCCGATCATTGTTTGTTTGTGGGTTTTTACCCTTCCTCCCATATTGTTTTGCTTTCTCCCCCTCTCCCTTCCCTCCCTTTCAGGAAAATGGAGGAGTGGCTCCATTACTTCTGGCTCTGCCCAGGTTTTCTGCCACAAGAGTGGCACGGCCTGTGCCTCTAATGCTTCTGATAGAGTCGTGACTGCTTTGGATGCTACACCTGCCCCAAGATGTAATATTGAGCATTGAGATTCCAGGGGCAGTACATCGTCCTGGAAAGCCTCAAGAAAGGAAACTTCAGAGCAAACAGAATCAACTAGGGATCATGACTATACATCCAGCATGATCCAGCATGGGTCCAGCCGAGGCCTCCAAAATGATGCTTTGCCAGCCTCAGCTGGTTCTCAAGTGATGATATCCTTGAAGTCTCTGTGGCCCGTGACTCCAGAGTTAAGGTAGTGGAGTTTCCCTTTAAAGCATCTCACAGCAGGCTTTGTAGATGGGACACATCTCACTTCAACATGCTTGCTGGCTACTCAGGTTGAAGGTCAGCCTCAGCCCTTAGGTCCGTTAAATTAAGTTCTAATTTTGAAATGTAGGTTATTATGTTATAGGCTAGGTTTATGGTAGACTGGGTCTTTGACATATTGGACTTCAGTAATAACTTATGCAAAATGATTCAACTTATTCTTTTTAGGGCTTAATTTACATAGCTATAAATTAGGTTTTCCTTTGGACAAAAGGTGTTAGAGGGCAAAAATAAAACCTTTAGCCAGGTAGTCTCCATCACTCTGTATATAATTTGTGATTTGGAGAAAAATGACCTGAAGTTTGTAATTTTTTGGCTTCTGAATGTACTATGATTGTTCTATATGTTATGATCTTACTGAAAGTTGTCGCTAAGTTGTACTTCTACAGTATGTGGATCTGATTTCACTTTATATGATTTATTAATAGGTATACAATTGTATTTTATCTCATGTACATCATATTTCTTAGTCTAATGACAATCCAGAACTTGAGAATGCATTAAGTAGGTTTATGTATTGTGACTTTCCGTTTTTTAGTAGACATATTCTTTGGAGACTGGGATTTGAAAGAAGAAAAATTGTGTGATTTCCTACAATTAACAACCAAATCTTTATAGTTAATAGGAATTTTTTAAAGACTTTTTTTGAACTTGTAAACACAAACTGAAATCAGGTTGTTGAACTAGGCTTTCAAGTAACTAGATTAGGAATTGTATTTTTGTTGGCTGTTTAGTGTTCAACCCAAATGATGGTATGAGATCTTGTACTTGCAAGTAAACTGTGTTTTTCCATTTCTAATCCAGTATTCAATGCTTCACATATTTTATACACACACACACACACACACACACACACACACACACACACACACACATATTTATTCGTCCCAAAATTCATTATTCAGATTAGTTTGAGGAAGTTTTTCTGGTCCATGAGAAATGACAGTGTAGTATTACTAAAGATGGTTTTAATATATACCAACAGAAAAAAAAAGTGCTGTGCCAGACATAGAAATTTGCTGCTAACATTTTATTTTAGTATCTTCTAGTCTTTTTTAGGGACATACAAATTTTAGAAGTTTTTTTTTTTTAAATAGAACTATATTGTGGTTTATAAATTACTTTTTCACTGAATATTAATAAATATTTTCTATCTTAATCTTATTTAGAATATCATTTTAATTTCTATCTCTTATGGATAATCATGTGAAAATACTATTTAATCAGTTTCTGATATTGAATGTTTAAACGTTTTCTCACCCTTTGCTATTGCAGACAACATTATAATAAACATACATGAATTTTTTTTTTCTTTTGAGACAGAGTTTTGTTGCTCAGGTTGGAGTGCAATGGCATGATCTCAGCTCACTGCAACCTCCGCCTCCCGGGTTCAAGCAATTCTCCTGCCTCAGCCTCCTGAGTAGCTGGGATTACAGGCATGCGCCACCACACCCAGCTAATTTTCGTACTTTTAGTAGAGACAGGGTTTCGCCATGTTGGCCAGGCTAGTCTCGTACACCTGACCTCAGGTGATCTGCCTGCCTCTGCTTTCCAAAGTGCAGGGATTACAGGCATGAGCCACCACACCTGGCTGAAATTTTTTTTAAAAAGATGATTTTAGAGAATTTTTCCAGAAAGATGTATATCTTCAATTTAAAGGGTTTCCCTTTATTCTGAAACTGTTTCCTAATTTGGGGAGGGTATGTTGTAAATAGTCTTTATTTTATAAATGATGAAAGTAAATGGAATTTGGGTTTAAATTTCTTTTTTTGGCAAAATGAAAAGTTGGCAACCCTGTATTTGTCCCATTTTAAGAAAGCTTACAGTGTGCAAACCATTGATCTAGAAATGTAAGAGCAAAACTTTATAGCTCAACTTTAGTAAGATTTAAATTGGTGTGATCTAATCTTCACTTTATTGAAATACAAATCAGGGCAGAAATCCTCAGAAAAGCAAACCCATCTGTGGCTTCCTTTAGCAATTGATGATTCTGTGTGTTGTCTAAATATTCCTGATCCATCTGTTTGAGGGAGAAAGCACCAAAAGGCATATAATAAACATTTATGGAAGTGATTGCCTATTTTGCTTCAGTCTATTTAGATGCCTTTGCTATGCATCTTTGAATATGAATAGTAATGAACAATCTGTCAAATAAAATTTAGGAGGCAGCTAACATGCATTAATATCTCCTGCCATTGAATGAATTCTTCATTGAAATGTGGGTGCGTGCTAAGAAGTGTAAAGAGGGGTTTCAAATCCAGAAATAACAAATGTTCCATCATCTCAGCTACAAGTTTTTGACTTAGAGAGTCAGTCTTGATTGCAGAGAACATGTTTATCCCATACAGATTAGCTCATGGCAGACTGTCAGGATCATGCCATCTTCTTTTTGAACTTTTCTATAAGCTATTTTCTTGTTACCGTGATTTGTGAATTTATATTGAAAGGATACCCAGACTTATCAAAACATCTTGTCTTGCACAAAAGCTGTATGATTGCTTTAATCTTACATTTTCAGTTATTTTTCTTGAGTATAAACATGGAGATTTCCTAGGAATATATTTTATTTTAACATATGATGGTAGGAGTAAAAGTAGTGTTTTCTTATGCTTTTAGTAATTGATTTTTCCATTAGCAAATTGGTCTTTGAGGAGCATCTTGAGAAATTTTGTTGTGAGTGAAGCAACTGCACTATTTTTTTTAAAGTAACCCATTTATGGTAATTCGTGTTCTTTTTACCATGTATGTAATTAATAGCACTCATGTCCCTTCTTTCCCCTGTCTTGAATATTATTAGAGATTATTTATTGCTGTAATACTTAACATTTGTGTATGCTTTCATCTGGTTCACAGCATTTATGTAGTACATTGAAATTAAGGTCCAAAACTATCATCCTCTAGTTTGAAGCAAGGTGTCATTATATAGTGGTTTATTACACATTGGTTTTCCAAGAATATATTTTGCTGTTGAATAAAACCTCTCGTGGAGTTTTATCTTGGAATGCCATTTATCTGAACAAGTTCATTTACTGTTGTTGACCTGTCTGACTTTGTAGTTGTAGGATGGTGTCAGCAAAGCAAATAGAGGATTGGAAGGTTATGCAGCATCAAATTGCAATTGGTAAAAATAGTCAATAGAATATGTCCTTCAGAGTTTTCAATATATTGCAGAATTGTATAGAATTGAGAAATAATAAGTGTAAAGAACATTTTTAAAAGTTTTTGTTTATAGCTTAGGTTAAAACATGGTTTTGCTAGTTGTTTATTTACAATATAAAATCTATTGGCACATTTATTTCTATTTTGATTCAAAGAAGTCTGTTTTTATTTTTAATTTGGTGTATTTCACCCCCAGATATATAGTTCTTTTTTTATTGTTTTTTACTCTCAAGAATTGCCAAGAAGATGCTTTTAGAAGAAATTAAAGCCAATCTTTCCTCTGATGAGGATGGATCTTCAGATGATGAGCCAGAAGAAGGGAAAAAAAGAACTGGAAAACAAAATGAAGAAAACCCAGGAGATGAGGGTGAGCTCCCCAGAGAGAAGTTTATAATGTCATAATTTGATTCCTTGACTAATTCAGTCTTTGAAGAATATCTGACCAAGAAATATCTTAATATGGCCCGGCGTGGTGGCTCACGCCTATAATCTCAGGACTTTGGGAGGCCGAAGCAGGTGGATCACTTGAGGTTAAGAGTTTGAGACCAGCCTGACCAACATGGTGAAACCCTGTCTCTACTAAAAGTAGCTGGGCGTGATAGTGCGTGCCTGTAGTCCCAGCTACTCAGGAGGCTGAGGCAGGAGAATCACTTGAACCTGGGAGGCAGAGGTTGCAGTGAGCCGAGATCACGCTGCTGCACTCCAGCCTGGGTGACAAAGCGAGACTCCATCTCAAAAAGAAGAAGAAGAAGAAGAAGAAAAAAAATCTCTTAATACTTGTATTTAGAGTTCATGGAAATGTTTAAAACTTTATTACCATGACTTCTCTTGAATATCTTGTAATAATTATGGAAGTTACTCTAATTTTGTCAGTTACTGCCAATAAACAGATGATTTTTTTTTTTTTTTTGAGACAGAGTTTTGCTCTTGTTGCCCAGGCAGGGGTGCAATAGCGCAATTTTGGCTCACTGCAACCTCTGCCTCCCGGGTTCAAGCGATTCTCCTGCCTCAGCCTCCCGAGTAGCTGGAATTATAGGCATGCGCCACCACACCCTGCTAATTTTGTATTTTTAGTAGAGACGGGGTTTCTCCATGTTGATCAGGCTGGTCTTGAACTCCCGAACTCAGGTGATCTGCCCACCTCGGCCTCCCAAAGAGCTGGGATTACAGGTGTGAGCCACTGCACCCGGCCCTAAACAGATGATTTTCAAAGCAAAATATTTTATACCTTACAAAGGGTTCTATAAATATATAGGTGATATTTAGTCAATATTTAATAATAGTAATATGTCAAGTCTGATGTGTGAGATTACCTGATAACACCAATGATACCAAAGTATGTGTCTAACTCTGATTTTTTTCATAAGTTGCAGTAGTTGTCAACAGGCAAAATAGATATACGAGGCATTTTAAAGGCTGAAGAAGGTTTTATTGATTTATTTCCTTCATTTAGAAGCAAAAAATCAAGTCAATTCTGAATCAGATTCAGATTCTGAAGAATCTAAGAAGCCAAGATACAGACATAGGCTTTTGCGGCACAAATTGACTGTGAGTGACGGAGAATCTGGAGAAGAAAAAAAGACAAAGCCTAAAGAGCATAAAGAAGTCAAAGGCAGAAACAGAAGAAAGGGTAAGATGTTTTAATTCTGAATGTAAAGAACATATTGGACCAGACAGTGGCTTATGCCTGTAATCCTAGCACTTTGGGAAGCTGAGGTGGGCAGATTGCTTGAGCCCAGGAGTTTAAGACCAGCCTGGGCAACATAGGGAAACCTCATCTTTATGAAAAATAGAAGAAATAGCTGGGTGTGGTGGTGTGCACCTGTAGTCCCAGCTACTTGGGAGGCTGAGGTGGGAGGATCACCTGAGCCCCGGAGGTCAAGGCTGTAGTGAGCAGCGATTGCACCACTGCATTGCAGCCTGGGCGACAGAGTGAGACCCTGTCTCAAAAACAAAAGCAAAAACAAAAAAAATACTGGTTTTGTAAACTAATTATAGTAATGAAATTTAAGTGTATGGCCAGGCACGGTGGCTCATACCTGTAATCCCAGCACTTTGGGAGGCCAAGTCGGGTGGATCACAAGGTCAGGAGATTGAGACCATCCTGGCTAACACGGTGAAACCCCGTCTCTACTAAAAATATAAGAAATTAGCTGGGTTTGGTGGCACGCACCTGTAGTCCCAGCTACTCTGGAGGCTGAGGCAGGAGAATCGCTTGAACCCAGGAGGCGGAGGTTGCAGCAGTGAGCTGAGATTGCGCCATTGCAGTCCAACTTGAGCGGCAGAGCGAGACTCTTTCTCCAAGAAAAATAAAAAAAAAAAAATTTAAGCATATCTGCTCAAACAGTTGACCACTTATATTAAGCAAATGTCAGTACACTGGCAACAAGTATACTATCACATGAGATTAAAATTAATAATTTAGAGTGGGAAGATAACCCAGAAACTTTAGATGACACAAAGAATATTTTTAACCTTTAGATTATAAAGAGAAATAAATATGATTTAATAAATAAAACATTATGTAGAAAGTATAAGATTGCATACAACTGCAGAATTAGTGCTTTCCTGTAGAAGGGTAGAAAATGAAATTAATTTGGGTAAATTTATGCAAGCTTATATGCAGAACTTGACTGGCATATAGTCAGAGTAGATTTCCATTTCATTAAAAGCCTGAGTCCTTTTGCATTGAGGGCTTACATGTTTCCAGCAGTATGGTGGGCATTGAGGATACAAAAATGAATAAAAATGTATCTCAGTGATTCTGATAGGTAACTAGGTTTGGCAGTCACTGGTTTAGTAAGAATTATTGACCTTTGTATTATAAAAAAATTATAGCACCATGAGGGACATTTTGTGTAACGTAATTATATAATGTGGCACAAAGAAGGGCTTCTTTAGCTTCTTGAGGGGTAGGAGTTACCCCAGAGAAGGCTTCACAAAGAAGGCTTTTACCCAACAGATTAAATTCAAAATGTGGGAGCACGTAGATTGTTGTGAAGATTTACAACACAAGCAGGGAAAAAAATTTTAAAACCTGTGTAAAATGTTGGCACATGATGGATGGGATACAATTAATATAGTATAAGCTGCTCTATAGATAGGAGTAGGGAAAGGAACAACAGGGGATGAAGCTGGGCCTGTAAAACAGAGACCAGATACTGGAGATCTTTGTAAGCCTGTGTTTTTCACACTGGAGTACTGGGTGGTATACCAAGGTGTACATCTCTTTGGTGTCTCTATTTATAATTTGAGGTTTGGGGAAGGTCATTTTATGTTAAATAATATATATTGGGTAATTAAATGTGATATTTGCCTGCGAATTTTGGGTAACAAAAAGTTCAAAGAATTTTTTTGTTGTTGCTGTGGTGGGCTTTTTGATGACTAGGGGTAAATTTTGAAGACTGTTGTTAGTACCCAACCCATGGATGGCAGATGAACTCTTCTTTGCCAACTGGGAATAGGAACGCATTTTTGCAAGTGTTTGGGAAATATAATAGGCTCTAAAGGATGCAGAGCCATTGAAAAGTTTTTTTTTTTTTTTCAATTACTGTATTTATTTTTGAACTCTGGACCTCTGGTTATCCACCTACCTCGGCCTCCCAAAGTGCTGGGATTATAGGCGTGAGCCACCGTACCGGCCTTATTTTTAAATTTTTTGTATAACAGCTATATTGAGATATAACTCACAAACCACACAGTTCACCATTTACAGTATACAATTTAGCAGTTTTTAGTATAATCATAGAGGATTACCACCACTTTAAAAAATGTTTTATTTGAAATGTATGTACAAAGAAGTGCACATTATCAATAAGTAGACATCTTGATGAAAACGTAGGGCACCCAGATCAAGGAACAAGATGTTGATTACTAACACCCAAGAATCACAATCTCAGCATGACCACTTTTTTCCCTATTGAAAGATTTTAATCAAAGATATCATATGATCAGATTAGTTCCTTACTATTCAGTGAGAATGAAGGCACTGAATGTTTGGAAGGTATTGCTGTAGTTGATGACAAATGGGGTTGTTGGAGAAGAGGAAGATTGACTTGAGTCTTATAGGAGGTTGAATTGTTAGGTCTTCTTAATTGGTATGAAAGGGAAAAGTCTACAATGAGTGTCAGGTTTTTAGAGTTGTCATGGTGTATGTACAATATCACAGAAATAGTTGAGGTTATTCAGTGGAGTTGTAATGTTTTACAAATGGAAAGCTAAGGACATAGTCTTGGAATCCTAAACATTTATAGGGCTTTTGGGCAAGAGTTATTCACTAAAGATGAGGGGGAGAAGTTCTTGCCACACACATATACAATTAATATGTCATGGACATTTTAATGTTAATAAATAATAGTACATCATTTTGTGACTACTTGTCTTATAAATTTCTTTTTTATTATTATTATTTTTTTATTTTTATTATTTATTTATTTATTTATTTTGAGTCGGAGTCTTGCTTTGTCGCCCAGGCCGGAGTGCAGTGGCGCGATCTCGGCTCACACTGCAAGCTCTGCCTCCCGGGTTCATGCCATTCTCCTGCCTCAGCTTCCCTAGTAGCTGGGACTACAGGCGCCCACCACCATGCCCGGCTAATTTTTTATATTTTTAGTAGAAACAGGGTTTCACCGTGTTAGCCAGGATGGTCTCGATCTCCTGACCTCGTGATCCACCCGCCTCGGCCTCCCAAAAGTGCTGGGATTACAGGCGTGAGCCACTGCGCCCAGCTTGTCTTATAAATTTCTTTGCAATATGGCTGCAAGCTCTTACAGATTCTATAAAGGAACTGTGTGATTTAGCATGTTATATATCACAACATGGATTCCTGTGCCTCTTCAACAAAAGGGGCAATATTGATTTTGCTTCTGAAGCTTAGTTCAATATATAGACCCTTTTAATATATATGATTACATTTGAGATTTGCTTTATTAAAACCTGAGTTTTCTGTGATCTGTGTTTCTACAGCCTGATTCTGTGGGTAATTTATTACCCAAGTGGTTTTGTTGTTGTTGTTTTTTGTTTGTGTAGGAGAGAGTAAACTTCTAAAATCTCATCATATTTGTGTTTCTAATATGGATTGTGATCATAGTGGTTGATATATAGTTGAAGTTGCATGATTTTCTGAGTTTTGTAAATTCTAATGTTCCTATATTATTTGGAAATTTGAATTGAGAGATGGGAAAAAATCAGTAGTGAATAGTCTGCTTATTAAATCTAGTTGAATTAAATTGAAATGCATTGAAGAGGTATAAGAACAAAGTGCAACATGTGAACTCTAATTTTCTCCTAAATTAGAAAAATGTTACAAAATTATTTTAGTGACAATTTGAAATTGTAAATATTGCCTTCATATTAGATGATAGTAATTTTTTTTTCAGATGTGATAATGGTATTTAGTTATGTAGGGCAGTATCCTTATGCTTAGGGGTAAAGTGTCATCCGCGCTTAATATCACATGGTTCAGTGTAAGAAAAGTTGTGTCTGCCTGTGTGTGTGTGTGTGTGTGTGTGTGTGTGTGTGTGTGTGTGTAGAGAGAGAAAGAAAAAAAGCAAATGTGGTAAACTGCTAACAATAAGTGAATTTAGGAGAAGGGATACAAGTGTTCATTCAATAATTCTTTCAAATTTTTGGTAGATTTCAAAAATTTTAAAATGCTGGGTGAACAATTAATACTAGGCTTAAAATTATACTTAATTACAGGATTTTTTTGTGTCAGTGTGTGTGTTTTTGGTATTCTCCCAGCTTTCCAGTTGCTTAGCTATTCTTTTTTTTTATTATTGTGGTAAAATATATGTAACATAAAATTTACCATTTTACCCATTTTTAAGTGTATGATTCAGTGACATTAAGTACATTCACATTTTTATACAACCATAACTTCTGTCTGTCCCTAAAACGTGTCGTCATTCCAAATGGAATCTCTTTAACCATTAAACAATAACTCTTTGTTCCCCTCTCCCCCGACATTTCTTTATAGCATTTATGTTCTCCCATTTATAGCATTTCTGTTAGCATTTATGTTCTCTCATTTTTTAAAAAGCTGGAATAGATCTTTGATTCTGATCTCAGGTTATGATAGATTTTTTTAAAAAATTATTTTGAAACAATTCTTGATTTACAGAAATGTTACACAAATAGTGCAGAGTTCTGTGTATCTTTCACCTAGCTTCCCTGATTTAATACCCTATCATAGTACCATGATCAAAACCAGGAAATTAATATTGGTACAATACTATCAACTAAGCCGGGGGTTTACAAACTGCACCTGTGGGCCAAATCTGATCCTCTGCCTGTTTTTATAAATAAGCTTTTATTGAAACACAGCCATATTCATTAATTTACTGTTTTCACATATGTACAATGGCAAAGTTGAGTAGAGATGAGTAGTTGCAACAGAGACCATACGGTCCACAAGTCAAAAATATTTACTATCAAACTTTTTACATAAAATGTTTTATGACCTCTGAAGTAAACTATAGATCTTATTCAGAGATTAGTTTTCCCACTAATGTTTTCTTTCTGCTCTATGATTCAATCCAGGATCTCACATTGCATCGAGTTATAATGTCTCCTTAATCTACTTCAGCCTGTGACAATTCCTCAGTCTTTACTTTGATGACCTTGACACTTGTGGAGTGTTGATTCCTTATTTTCTCAACTGTTCCTTGATATATATTTGTCTAATGTTTTCTCATGATCGAATTGAGATTATTATGCATTTTGACAGAATACCACAGAAGTGATGTTGTGTCTTCAGTGCATGATATCAAGAATAGATGATGTCAGTATGTCTTTTTTTTTGAGAGAAGACCTCGCTCTGTTGCCCAGGCTGGAGTACAGTGGTGCGATCATGGCTCACTGCAGACTCAACCTCCTGGGCTCAAGTGATCCTCTCGTCTCAGCCTCCCAAGTAGCTGGGACCACAGGTGTGTACCATCATGCCTGGCTAATTTTTAAATTTTTTTTGTAGAGACAGAATCTCCCTATGTTGCCCAGGCTGGTCTCAAATTCGTGGGCTCAAGTGATCCTCTCAACTTGGCCTCCCAAAGGGCTGGGATTACAGGGGTGAGCCACCATGCCCAGCCGTCAATATGTCTTATTACTCTCACGGTTAACTTTTGTTACTTGCTTAAGTTGGTGTCTGCTGGTATTTTTCCACTGTAAAGAAGAAAATATTATTTTTCTATCTATATTTAGTATTTTGTTGGGAGATACTTTGTGACCATGCATATATCCTGTTTCTTATCATACTTAAGCCCACTAATTTTAGTATGCATCTTGGGTGAAGCAGTTAGTACTGTGGTATTTGCCTAGTTGTAATTTTCTATTTATTTCATTACTTCCACATTTAGTAATTGTAAGGGAGATTTGTTTTCCCCTATTTATTTATTGCATTATTTATATCAATATGACTTATAGATTTTTATTTTACCAGTTATAATCAAATAGTATCATTTATTTTATTGCTCAAATTGTTCTAGCTTTGGTTGTTGGGAGCTCCTTCAAGTTGAATCTTGTGTCCTTTCAACATGTGCCTGCCCATGTTTGAACACTGCTTTGTTTTCTGGCACTATAAGATGTTGTAAGCTTATCTTGTATTTTTTTCTGCCCTGCTTCCTCTGGCCAGAAAGAGGTTTTCTCCTGGAATTTTATATGCTTCCATTACTGTGTTAATTGTGAGAAAAAGAAAATTGAGGATTCCACATGTAGAGCCTGATTTTCCTGGTGTTGTGGCTAGAAATAGGGATTTTTCTTCACAGTCTTGTTGTCAGTACCGTCTGCATACCTTTGGAATTTAGCCTGCCTTCTGGTCAAAACCAGGAAACAAAGAAAGAAAATAACCATACGCCCTCACAGCTCTCTCCCCTCCACCAATTGTAGAGGGGTCATTATTCAAGTTTTGATTTCAGTCTCCAATCTGCCTATTATTGTTTCCCTTTCCGAGTTCTTCGGTTGTGTCATCATTGGTGGAGACAATCTGTAATCTTACTCCATCTTGGCCAGCCTACCTTGCTTGTTTTGAATAGCCAAACTTCTTTTTCATTAATTTACCTTTGGTAATTACATATATTTTATTGACAGGTAATTTATTCTTATTCTGTCAATTCATATACAATTGAATACTTATATTTTAATGTACAACCACAGTTTTATAATTACATTAGAAATACATCTGAATTTTATGTATATCATGTAAAGCATTAACTGGTATATTCTATATTATGTATTATCCATTCACATATATACCTCTGATGTTCTTACAATGCTCTGTTTTAATGTCGAGTCAGTGGTAAATTAAGTGAATTAGGTTTCTATTGAAAAATAATTAATAATTTTATGTATTTTTTAAAATTCAAGTGAGCAGTGAAGATTCAGAAGATTCTGATTTTCAGGAATCAGGAGTTAGTGAAGAAGTTAGTGAATCCGAAGATGAACAGCGGCCCAGAACAAGGTATTATAATTGGTTTTTAAAAAATTTTAGGAATTAATCTGAATGACCATGCCTTCAAATGATTTATATGGTTACTGTTACCAATAAAGTTAAGTTAGTGTGATATATAATATTTTGATTTGAAACTAATTGTTATACTTAATAGTTTAAAAAGAATCTAAGCATATTTTATGTGTAGTTGAATTATGTATTCTAACCTGGGTAGATTTTCAGTCTGCAAAACCACTCGTGTCTGCAGTGTTTTATTGTTACGGGGGAAATTGTAGGATAATAGTAAAGAGGCTTTATAGAAAAACTGCCTCAGTCTAACTTTGGGCTTTTCTACTTTCTGTTTGTATAAATAATCTATGCTTCAGTTTCCTCATCTGTAAAGTGGGGGATTACAATATACTTGACTGACTATTGTGGGCATTAAATGAGACAATACGTGTACAAGGTTTATAATAGTACCTACCTGGCAAATAGTAAGTGCTCAATATATAAATTATTGGTCTCAGTAGTACTACAGTAATAATGATATGCTTGTTCTTGTAACACGAACAGTCACTGATCTAGATTACCTGTAATTTAAAATTTGGCTTCCTTCTTAGTATGGTATGTTAGATAATACTACTACTACAATTTTCTTATTTCCCCCAGAATAACATAATCTTTCTACAGTTTATCAAATGAACAATCTGTGTGTGTTTGTGTATGTATGTCTACAAAGGTGTCTATCTGCATTTGTAAGTTTTAGAACATTCGAGGTTTTTTTAGGTTAATACTTACCAGGTTGTGCTTAGAATATAGCAATATATTATACTTTAAGTCAATATAAAATGAAAATGATAAGATATGATGAGAGGTTTTTTTTTTTTTTAAACCAAGATACAATTCAGCATGTTATACTGTGGAATACAGTGGTCTTCAGAATATTTGCAAAGTTGTGCAACAAACACCACTCTATAATTTCTGAACATTTCCATCATCCAAGAAAACAACCCTGTACTTACTAGCAGTCATTTTCCATTCCCCATGCCCTCGTACTCTAATAAACACTAAAATCTACTTTCTGTCTCTATGGATTTGCCTGTTCTGGATATTTTGCATGAGTTGATTCATATAATGTATATCCTTTTATGAATGGATTTTTTTTTCACTTAGCATAATGTTTTCATGGTTCATCCATGTTGTAGCCTGTATCAGTACTTCATTCTTTCTTTAATGATTATTTTTAATAGTGGTAAAATGCACATAACATTTACCATCTTAACCATTTTTTTTCTTTCATGGTATTACTGGGAATTTTTATTTTCATCTTAACGATTTTTAAGTGTATGGCTTAGTAGTGTTAAGTACATTCACTTTTTTTGAACCAATCTCCAAAACCTTTTCCCCTTGCAAAATTGAAATGTTACTCATTAAACCACTCTCTTTTTCCTCTTCCCTGAAGCCCCTGGCAACCACCATTCTATTTTCTGTCTCTATGAATTTTACTACTCTAGGAACCTCATATAAGTGGAATCATACAGTATTTGTCTTTTTTGACTGGCTTATTTCACTTAGCATCATGTGCTCCAGCTTCATGTATGTTGAGGCATGTTTCAGAATTTTCTTCCTTTTAAAGACTTAATGTTCCATTGTATACCACGTTTTGTTTATCAATTTATTTGTTGATGGACATTTGATTTGTAACCTTTTGGCTATCATGAATAATGCTGCTTTGAACATGGGTGTAGAAATATCTCTTCAAGTCCTTGCTTTCATTTCTTTTGGGTATATACCCAGAAAAGGAATTGCATGGTAATTCTATTTTTAATTTTTTGACGAACTGCCATAATGTTTCCATAGCAGCTGCACCATTTTACATTTCCATTAATAGTGAACAGGGTTTCACTTTCTCCACATCCTTACTGACAGTGGTTATTTTGTCTGGATTAATGTAGCTTTGTGTACCAATTTCTAAGCCCAGAAATATTTTTCTCACCAAAAGTTGTTACTTTTTTTTTTAAATCTCTGTGACCTGTTATGAAGAAAACAGTATTCAAATTTGTAATCTGCTTTTTTTTAGTGATGATGAATGTTTTTTAGTATGTCTATTGGCTGTTTGTATTTTATACTAGAAGAATAGTCTTAATGTCCTTTTATGCATCTTCTTACTCATATAACAAACCTCCCCTCAGGATACTGTAAAATGTTGATCATTGGATTAAAATGAAGGGTTAGGCTGCTGCTGGAATATCCATTTTGAACCTATTGATTTTTTTTCTGTTTGTTTTTAGGAATGCATACAGAGGTAGAACAGTTTTAAAATAGTACATAACTTATTGATGGAAGTTTATCATGAAATATTTTATTTTGTGTTTTAAATTTTCGTCAGGTCTGCAAAGAAAGCAGAGTTGGAAGAAAATCAGCGGAGCTATAAACAGAAAAAGAAAAGGCGACGTATTAAGGTTCAAGAAGATTCATCCAGTGAAAACAAGGTAATAATGACATTTACCACATGCTTGAATTATAACCAGTACAGTAGACTATGGTAATTATGCTGTTACCTCTCTGTTCCATTCATTCATTGTATTGTACTGGCTTATTTACATTTTACACTTGTGGAAGGATTGGTTATTGAATATATATATGTAAAAGTATTGATTTGACATTATCATTTTTTTCTATTCCTTAATTTCTAATGGAATTTTATTTAAGCCATTCTAATTCATTATTTTACATTTGTAGTGATGTGAGTGTTCTATTTTCTGAAGACAAAATACTATCCTGAATGATGACTCATATATGAATAAATTTCTTCTCATAGTGAAATCAGCCAATTTGAATTTTTGTATTTAAGCAGGCTTACATAAAGTAAAAGGTGTCTGTAATATGTTTGATTCTGTCAACACAATGCTCTTCAGAGGGATATTTGTCTTTTGAAAATTAACTTTTAAAATATTTTAAAATGTACAGTTCAGTGGCCTTAATTATATTCACAAGCAGAAACTCTTCACTCATTAAACATTAACACCATTTCCTTCTATCCCCCATCCCCTGGTAACCTCTATTTTCATTTATGTCTCCAAGAATTTGTGTATTTTAAGTACCTCATATATATAAGTTGAATCATGCAATATTTGTCCTTTTGTGTCTGGCTTATTTCATTGACATAATATTTTCTAGGTTCATCCATGTTTTAGCATATATCAGAATTTCATTCCCTTTTTAAGGTGAATAATATTCCATTGTAAGTGTGTGCCACATTTTGTTAGCCCAGTCATC
Source organism: Homo sapiens (assembly GCF_000001405.40). Taxonomy (NCBI): domain Eukaryota; kingdom Metazoa; phylum Chordata; class Mammalia; order Primates; family Hominidae; genus Homo; species Homo sapiens. The sequence goes on along the minus strand of NC_000023.11, from coordinate 77,653,310 downwards.
TGTTGATGGACATTTGGGTTGTTTCTACCTTTCGGCTATTTTGAATAATACTGCTATGAATATGGGTGTTTACATATCTGAGTCCCTGTTTTTAATTATTCTAGGTATATATGGAAAAATGGAATTGCTACATCATATAGTAGTTGTATGTTTAACTTTTGGAAAACTCCACACTGTTTTTCTCTGGTATCTGTAACATTTGACGTTCCCGTTAGCAATGTACCAAGATTCCAATTTGTCTGCATCTTTGCCAACACTTCCTTTGTTTCTTTCTTTTTTTCTTTTTTTCTTTTTTTTTTTTTTTTTAACAAGAAACATCCTAATGAGTGGGAAGTGGCATTTCTTTGTGGTTTTGTTTTGTATTTTCCTAATGACTGGTGATATTCAACATCTTTTCATATGCTTATATCTTCTTTTGAGAAATGTTTATTCTAGTTGGTAGCCCATTTTTAATTGAGTTGTTTGTTTTTTTTAATAGGTGTTGAAGAGTTGTTTTTTTTTTTTGAGACAGAGTCTCGCTCTGTCGCCCAGGCTGGAGTCTGATGGCACGATCTCGGCTCCCTGCGAGCTCCGCCTCCTGGGTTCACACCATCTTCCTGCCTCAGCCTCCTGAGTAGCTGGGACTACAGGCGCACACTGCCATGCCCGGCTAATTTTTTTTTTTTGTATTTTTAGTAGAGACGGGGTTTCACCGTGTTAGCCAGGATGGTCTCTATCTCCTGACCTTGTGATCCACCCGCCTCGGCCTCCCAAAGTGCTGGGATTATAGGTGTGAGCCACCGTGCCCGGCCGAAGAGTTGTTTTTTTTTTTTTAATACTACTCTATTGCTGAATATAATTCTAAAGGTTTTCAGCATGTTTTCTTCCACCTTTTCCTGCTGTGTTAATTAATGGAATATGAAATGGATAAATTAAATGACTTTGTACTGTTTACCTCTAATTGTTTAAATTCTGTAGAGTAATTCTGAGGAAGAAGAGGAGGAAAAAGAAGAGGAGGAGGAAGAGGAGGAGGAGGAGGAAGAGGAGGAGGAAGATGAAAATGATGATTCCAAGTCTCCTGGAAAAGGCAGAAAGAAAATTCGGAAGATTCTTAAAGATGATAAACTGAGAACAGAAACACAAAATGCTCTTAAGGAAGAGGAAGAGAGACGAAAACGTATTGCTGAGAGGGAGCGTGAGCGAGAAAAATTGAGAGAGGTAACTAATTTCTTTCTTCTTCTTTTTCTTTTGTAGCTACAGGGTCTTGCTCTGTTGCCCAGGCTGGCCTCGAACTCTTGGGCTCAAGTGATCCTCCTACCTTGGCCTCCTAAACTTCTGGGATTACAGGCGTGAGTCAACACACCCAGCCTTAATTTATTTCTATTAATGATTTATTTTATTTGGTATATGACTTCAATATATTTCAGCATTTTAAGAGTAGAATGTTGTAATCTACCACAGATTTCTTTTTTTTAGACGGAGTCTGGCTCTGTTACCCAGGCTGGATTGCAGTGGCATGATCTCAGCTCACTGCAACCTTTGCCTCCTGGGTTCATGTGATTCTTGTGCCTCAGCCTCCCAAGTGGCCGGGACTACAGGCATGCACTACCACACCCAGCTAATTTTTGTATTTTTTAGTAGAGTTGGGGTTTCACCATGTTGGCCAGGCTGGTCTTGTGCTCCTGACCTCAAGTGATCCACCTGCCTCAGCCTCCCAAAGTACTGGGATTACATGTGTGAGCCACCTTGCCCAGCCTCAACCACAGGATTTCTAGTTGCAATTGATTTTTCCTACTGTCACTATTTCATGCAACTTAAAATAGTCATTAAGCTTTATTAATTTAATTAAGTGCATGGAAAGCATTGAGATTCTTGAATGATCACCAAAATGGTTATGTTGTATTTTGGGTAGAGAAATGTTTCAAAATTACTTCTTAAATCCATAAAAGATTTCAGTTTTTTAAATGGACTTTATGTTACAAAAGTTTTCAAATTCACAGGTGGAGAGAATAATATAATAATTCTCCCTGGATCTATTAACTCAGTTTCAGCAGTTACTAACACAGGACGAGTCTTGTTTCATCTTTTTTTTTTTTTTTTTTTTTTTTTTTTTTGAGATGGAGTTTCACTCTTGTCACCCAGGCTGGAGTGCAGTGGCCCAATCTCGGCTCACTGCAACCTCCACCTCCTGGGTTCAAGTGATTCTCCTGTCTCAGCCTCCTGAGTATCTGAGATTACAGGTGCACGCCACCATGCCTGGCCGTTTCATCTATTCTTTTTCCTTCAGATTATTTCAGAGCAAATCTCAGAAATCATATTCTGTTTATAAATAGTTGGGAATGTATTGTTAAAAGATAATGGTATTTTAAACATTACTGCAGTGCCATTATTAAACTGAATTCTCTCATTGCCTCACATAGTAGTTTTAAAAAATAGTTGGTATGGGCCTGGCGCGGTGGCTCACGCCTGTAATCCCAACACTTTGGGAGGCTGAGGCGGGTGGATCACCTGAGGTCAGGTGTTGGAGACCAGCCTGGCCAACATGGTGAAACCCCGTCTCTACTAAAAATACAAAAAAAATTAGCCAGGTATGGTGGTGCACGCCTGTGATCTCAGCCTCTTGGGAGGCTGAGACAGGAGAATTGCTTGAACCTGGGAGGCAGAGCTTGCAGTGAGCCAGGGTTGCACCATTGCACTTTAGTCTGGGTGACAAGAGCAAAACTCTGTCTCAAAAAAAAAAAATAGTTGGTTTGAATCAGGGTCTTAACAAGGGCCATCTGCATATTCTGTTGTATTTGGATGTTACATCTCTTACCTAATTTTAACCTAGTTTCTCTTTGGTTCTTTCTTTTTCTTTACCCATTCTTACAGTTCATTTGCTTAAGAAACCAGATTATTTTTGTAAAATTTTCTATATTCTGAGTTTTGTTATTTGCATCCCTGTGGTACAGTTTCACTGGCTTCTATATTTCGTATAAATTGGTAATAAGATCTAGAGTCCTGATCAGATTTAGATTCAGTTCTCTTTTTGGTAGAAATACTCATGGGCAGTAATATGTACTTCCTTTTGGATCTCATTAAGAGGTACTTTAAAACTGCTTGTCCCTTTTTTTGTGGTACAGCTCCTCTAACTTTGTTCCACTTTTTCAGAATCTTTTTGGATATTCTCAGTTCTTTGCATTTCCACATAGTATTACGTTGTTGGTTTTTACAAAAATCCCTGTGGAATTTCTGTTGGAATTTTGTTGAATCTTTCTTGTAATGTGGCCAGAAGACATCTTAACAGTGTTTTGTCTCCTGTTACATGAATATAGTGTACTTCTCTATTTATTTACCTTCTCTTTAATTTCTCTTAGGAATGTTTTGTAGTTTTCTCTGTACAGGTCTAGTACATATTTTAAAAAATTTATCCCCAAGTAATTCCTGATTTTTGATGTTACATTGTATTAGTCCATTTTCACGCTGCTAATAAAGACATACCCAAGACTGGGCAATTTATAAAAGAAAGAGTTTTATTGGACTTATAGTTCCATGTGGCTTGGGGAGGCCTCACAATCATGGTGGAAGGTAAAAGGCACATTTCACATTGTGGCAGACGAGAAGAACTTGTGCAGGGAAACTCCTCTTTTTAAAACTATAGATCTTGTGAGACTTATTCACTATCACAAGAACAGCACAGGAAAGACCTGCCCCCGTGATTCAATTACCTCCCACTGGGTCCGTCCCACAACATGTGGGAATTCAAGATGAGATTTGGGTGGGGACACAGCCAAGCCATATCATATAGTAAATGTAGTTTCACGTAATGTTGGCATAATGACCTTGTGTCCTAAGCTCTAAATTTACTTACTCGTTATAGTAGCTTTTTTGATAAATTCTTTGTGACTTTCATGTATACGTTTGTGTTGTCTGTAAAGAAAAACTATTTTGCTAATTCCATTCCAATCTGTCATTTATTTTTTTAAAATTATAAATGGTGAATTTCTTCAAATGCTTTTCATTGCATCTGTTGGAGTGACCTAGAAAATGTCTTGTATTCCTTGAATAAACCTTGCTTAGTCACGTTATATTACTCCTTTTATATATTGTATTGCATTTGCTGATCCTTCCTTCCTTCCTTCCTCCCTTCCTTCCTTCCTTCCTTTCTTTCTTTCTTTTTCTTTCTTTCAAGATAGGGTCTTGCTCTGTCTCTCAGGCTAGAGTGCTATAGTGTGATCATAGCTCACTGCAGCCTCAAACTCCTGGGCTCAAGCAATCCTCTTGCCTCAGCTTTCCAAGTAGCTGGGACAACAGGCATGTACCACCATACCTGGTTAATTTTTTATTTTAGAGATTGGGTCTCATTATGCTACCCAGGCTGGTCTTGACCCCCTGGCCTCAAGTGGTCCTCTCCCATCAGCCTCCCAAAGTGCTGTGACTATAGTAGGGAGCCTCCACACCTGGCATATTCCATTTCTTTAATACATGTAGAACTATTTAGATCTTTTCTTTTTCTTTAGGTCTGTTTTGGTAAATTTCAAACTTAAGGAATTTTTCCATTTCATTTAAGTAGTCAAATTATTTATGTAAATTTGTTTATAGTCTTTCATTATACTTTGTAGGTTCTGTCATTTATTGTTTCTGTTAGGAATTTGTGTTTTATCATTTTTTCCTTGATTAATCTGTGCAAAAAGTTCACAATTTTACTATCTCAAAAAAAAAAAAAAACGCAGCTTTGGATTTCATTAATTTTTTTTCTATTGTTTGACCCTTTTCTATTTCATTGATTTTCATTCTTCTTTTTACTGTGTTTATCCTTCTTTGGACTTATTTTCTGTTCTTTTTCTAGCTACTTAAGGTGGATTTTGGATCTTCTTTAACGTATGCATTTTTAAAGGTATAAAATTTGCCACTGTGCATACTGTTTAAACACTGCATCTTACAGATTTTGGTATTTTGTGTTCATTTTTACTCTGCTCTGAATCTTTTCTAATTTCTGTGAGCCAGAATATGATCTGTCTTGGTGGATGTTCAATGTTTATATTCTGCTGTTGTTGGGTGACATATTCTATAAATTTTGATCAGATTATATTGATGGCTGATTATATTCACATCTTCTGTAGTTTTAATGGTATTCTCTCCAATCAGAGGAGTGTTGATGTCTCCAACTATAATTGTTAATTCATCTCTTTCTCCTTGTAGGTCTCTCAGATTTTGCTTCATGTTTGCTGGAAGTTGTTTTGTTAGGTACATATACATTTAGGATTACATCTTTCTGGTTAATTCCCCCTTTAACAACATGTAATGTGACTCTGTATTATCTGGTAATTTTCTTTCACCTGAAGTCTGCTGTATTTGATAATAATGGTAACGACATCATCATCTTTCTTTTCCAACATCTTAGGAAAAGTTTCATTTATACAGCCAGGTTGAAAGTATTTCATTGATTTCCTGTAAACTTACTTCCTAGATTTTTTTCATTGTCATATTTTTCATTTTCATGTTTCCTTTATTACATTCCTATTTATGTACTAATCTTTATCTATCAGTACATCTTTTTATGCATTTCATAGTAAATTGCATACATCATTTCATTTATCTCAAATGCTTTAGCAGGTGTATCATTAGCTAAAGTTCAATATTTATGTGTTTTCCTTTTTATGTAAAAGGAAATTTACTTAAAATGAAAGGCAAAAATCTTGTGTACATTTGTTTTTGAATAATATGTGGTGTATATTTTCTCATTATTTTTTTCTAGTAATTTTGTTCCCCCACAATTTTATCGTGAAATTTGTAAATATATGGAGAGAATTGTAAACATGAACACGAATGTACCTACCATGTAGCTTCTTCATTTCTTAACATGTTGCTGTATTTGCTTTATTACATATCTGTCTTATCTATGCATCCATCAACCATTTTATTCGTCCCTGCTCTAATCTGTATTATTTCCTTTTATTCTCTAGCTAGGGTTTAGTTTGTGCTTCCTTTTCTGGTTCCTTAAGGTGTAAAGTTAGGTTCTTGATTGTGATCTTTCTTCTTTTCTACTGTATGCCTTTATCGCTGTAAATCCTCTTCTTAGTACTGTTTTCTCTACGTCCCATATGTTTTGTATTTTGTGTTTTAACTTTCATTTGTCTCAAAGTGTTTTCTAATTTTCCTTGTGATCTTTTACTTGATCCTTTAGTTACTTATTTAATTTCCACATATTTGTGTTCTTTCCAGTTGTCTTCTGTTATGGATTTTTTGTTGCATTCCCTTGTGACTGGAAAAGATACTTCAGTCTCTTTATATTTATTAAGGCTTTTTTGTGCCTGATTATATGGTCTGTCCTTGAGAATGTGCACTTGAGAGAAAATGTATAGTCTACCATTGTTGAGTGGAGTGTTCTTTATATGTCTGTTAGGTCTATTTTTTTTTTTTTTTTAAAGACACAGTGTCTTGCTCTGTTGCTCAGGCTGGAGTGCAGTGACGTGATCATAGCTCACTGTAGCCTCGAACTCCTGGGCTCAAGTGATCCTCCTGCCTCCGCCCCTTGAGTAGCTGGGACCATAGGTGCATGCCACCACCCCAGCTAATTTTTTTAAACTGTTTTACAGAGGCAGGGTCTTACAGTGTTGCCCAGGTTGGTCTCCAACTCCTGGCCTCAAGTGATCCTCCTGCCTTGGCTTCCTAAAGTGGTGGAATTAAGGCATGAAACACTGTGGCCAGCTCCAATTGGTTTATAGTGTTATTCGAGTCCTATATTTCCTTAATTATCTTTGTCTACTTGTTTTACGCTTTTATTGATATTGGGCTATTTATGTCTCCAACTGTTTCTCTCTTTTTTTGTTTTAGTTTTCCCCTACTACACTGATGTATATTTCTCCTTTTAGTTCTTTCAGTGCTTTCTTCATATGTCTTGGTGCTCTGTTGTTTGTTGTATTTATGTTTATAATTACATTTTTTGAGAACCTGGCTTTATTATCAATACATAATATCCTATTTGTCTCTTGTAACAGTTTCTGACTTAAAGTCTATTTTGTCTGATGTCTATATAGTCATCTCAGCTCTCTTTTGGTTGTTATTTGCATGGAATGTCTTTTACTATTCTTTCACTTTCAGTTTATTTGTGTCTTTAGATCTAAAGCGAACCTTTTTTAGATAACCAGTATTTGGATCATTTTTTAAAAATTATTATGTCCATCTATGTCTTTTTGATCCAGGAGTTTAATCCATTTACACTTGAGGTAAGTAGTGATAAATAAGGATTTACTTCTGCCATTTTGTGTTTTCCTTTTTCATTTTGTTCATTATTTTGTTCATTATTTCCTCCATTACTGCTTTCTTTTGTGTTTGGTTAATTTTTTGCAGTGACATATTTTGATTCCCATCTCACTTTCATTTTTGTATATTCTATATTTTCTTTGTGGTTATCATGGAGATTACATATAACATCCTAAAGTTATGAGAGTCTTACTTGAATTGATGTGAACTTAACTTCAGTTGCATACAAAAATTCTACTCTTCCACAGCTCCATTCCCCTGTATATTATGTGGTGACTCTGTTACAATTATTGATATCACAAATTACATTTTTATACATGTCGTGAATGGTAACATATATTCATAATTGTATTTTATGCTTTTGTCTTTTAAATCCTAAAGAAAGTAAAAAGTGAGGTTATGAAACAAAATTTTGTGATACTAGGTTTTATATTTGCCCCTGTATGTATCTCTTCTAGGAGATCTTTATTTCTTTATATGGCTTTGAGTTACTTCTAGCATCCTTTCATTTCAACCCAAAGACTTCCCTGTAGGAAGCATTTTTTATAGGGCAGGTCTAGTTTTAACAAATTCATTTGGCTTAGGAGTGTCTTAACTTGTTCCTCTATTTTGAAGGATAATTTTGCTGGGTATAGAATCCTCAGCTGATGCCTGGCACAGTAGCTCACCCCTGTAATCCCAGCACTTTGGGAGACCGAGGCGGGAGGATCACTTGAGGCCAGGAGCTTAAGACCAGACTGGGCAACATAGTGAGACCTTGTCTTTACAAAAAATTAAAAAATTATCTGGATGTGGTGGCACACACTTGTGGTCTAAGCTACTTGAGAGGTTGGAGGATTGCTTTAGCCAGGGGTTCGAGGATACAGTAAGCTATGATTATGCCATTGTACTATAGCCTGGATGACAGAGTGAGATGCTGTGTCTATTTTTTAAAAAAGAAAAAAGAATCCTCAGCTAACTTTTTTTTTCATTCATCACTTTGAAATATATTGTCACACTGCCTTCTGGCCTCTAAAGTTTTTGATGAGAAATTAGGTGATGATCTTATTGAAGTTTTTTTGTATGTGTTGACTTGCTTCTCTCTTGCTGCTTTCAATATTCTCTTTGTCTTTGGCCTTCGACAGTTTGTGTGTAATGTGTTTTGATCTATACGTATTTGAGTTTATCCCAGTTTGAGTTCATTCCTGTATTTGTAGATTTAAGTCTCTCTCCTTCAATTTGGGAAGTTTTCCACAATTATTTCATCAAATAATTGTTGCTTCTTTCTTTTTCTTTTCTCCTTCTGTGACTCTCGTAATACATAAGATGTTCTTCATGATGGTTTCCCTCCCATCCCTTTTTGTTTCTTCACTTTAGTTTTTTTTTTTCCCTTTTTGATCTTCGGACTTGAGGATTTCAGTTAATATCTTCATATTCACTGATTCTTCTGCCTGCTCAAATCTGCTATTCATCCTCTTTTGATTGGGCCATATTTTCCTATTTGGCTGTATCTTTGTGATTTTTTTTAATACTTTAAGTTCTAGGGTACATGTGCACAATGTGCAGGTTTGTTACATAGGTATACATGTGCCATGTTGGTTTGCTGCACCCATCAACTCGTGTGATTTTTTAAAATTGCATATTGTGTATTTGACTGTTGTAACTTGGCAACTCTGCATATGAGGTTCTCTCCCTTTTCAAGGGTTTGCTGGGATTTTAAAATATATATAAATTGTAGTAGACCTATTGTTTTAAGACTCCCCCACATTATTTTTTCAAAGAGTGTTCTTGTTGTGTGTCATCAGTAAAGTCTCTGTCCCTTTCATTCATGTTCAACTAATGTTTTGAAAGATTTTTTTGAACGTCTGCTGGGTGTGGTGGCTCACGCCCATAATCCCAGCACTTTGGGAGGCCAAGGCAGGCGGATCACCTGGATTCAGGAGTTCGAGACCAGCCTAGCCAACATGGTGAAATCCTATTTCTACTAAAAATACAAAAAATTTAGCCAGACATGGTGGCACGTGCCTGCAATCCCAGCTACTCGGGAGGCTGAGGCACAAGAATTGCTTGAACCCGGGAGGCAGAGGTTGCAGTGAGCCAAGATTGCGCCATTGCATTCCAGCCTGGGCGACAGAGCAAGACTCCATCTCAAAAAATAAAAGAAGGCTTTTTTTTTTTAATGCCTGCTCTCTCTGTTTGTAGATTGATTGTGCTGGTGCACTCCTTTAATCCATAACTAGGCTTCCACTAAACCTAAAGATAAGCCTGAGGGGAAAACTTAAGATTTTAATAAAGATCTTTTCTGAGCATGTATTTTACCTGGACACACATATGGCTTTCTGAATTATCCTATATACCTGGTTGCTTTTGAGTGTCCCAAATTTAAAAGTAGCTGCGTGTGGTGGCTCATACCTGTAGTCCCAGCAACTCTGGAGGCTGAGGTAGGAGGATAGCTTGAGCCCAGTTGTGTGAGGCCAGCCTGGGCAACATTGTGAGACCCTGTTTCTACAAAAATAAAGACTAGTTGGGCGTGGTGGTGCACACCTATAGTCCCAGCTACTTGGGCGGTTGAGGTGGCTAGATCGGTTGAGGTGGCTAGATCGGTTGAGGTGGCTGGATCAATTCAACCCAGGAGTTCAGTGCTGCAGTGAGCTATAATTACACCACAGCACTCCAGCCTTGGTGACAAAGCAAGACCCTGTATCTTGAAAAAAAAAATTCCAAAAGTGTCCTATCTCTAGCTATTTGGGCCTTAGGTGGTGTTTTGGGAGTGTTCCCCTGTAATGCCTTGCCCCAGGCCTGTAGTCACGTTGCAGTTGTTTTGTGTGTGTGTGTGTGTGTGTGTTTTAAAGCTGTTCTTGTTGTCCTTCTCACCAGAGCTCTGAGTTAGGTGAAGAAATGATGAGAGCCTTATGTCAGTCCTTCAAGTATCCTTCAGACAGGTTAGATAAAATTTACACAATAATTTGTAAATAACATCTGCTTTGCTCCCTCTGGTTTGTGGGAGGATACTGGGAAACAGGGTGCTGCTGCTTTGAGACTAAAACCTTCACCTTCTGGTAGGTGGTGGGGCAAGGACAAGTAAAAATGCTGTAAAACGTTCCTATTGTATTGAAGGTGACTTTTTTTCTTTTTCGTTATTTTAGAGACAGGGTCTTGCTATGTTGCCTGGGTTAGCCTCAAATTCTTGGGTTCAAGCGATTCTCCTGTCTAGGCCTAGTTGTTTGTACTACAGGCGGTCACCACCATGCCTGGCTAAGATGTTGTTTTCTTGATTGGGTATTTGCTTGGTTGCTGTAAACCTTTGACTGTGTTCCAGAGCTCTGACAAAGTTGGTTCAGAAAGTTTCTACTTGTTTACAAAATAGTTCTGTGTGGGAACTGGAGTTTGGAGCTTCCTAATCTATTGTTTTGTTGATATCTACATTTTCCCTTCTTTTTTTTTTTTGTTTTTTTTTTGGAGACAGTCTTACTCTGTCACCCAGCTTGGAATGATGCAGTAGCATGATCACTGTAGCCTGGAATTCCTGGGCTCAAGCAATTCTCCCACTTCAGCCTTCTGAGTAGCTAGAAGTACAGGAGCAAGCTAATCTCTTCATTTTTGAAAGTTGTTTTCCCTGGGTATAGAATTCTAAATTGATACTTTAAAAAAATCTCTTTAAAGATGTTACTTCTTTGTGACATTTTGTTTGTTATCTTTCTCCTTTTTCCTTCATCTTTGCTCCTCTGCATGTGCCTTTTATTTCTTGGAAAGATAGTCTTAAAAGATTTTTCAGTATTTTAAGATTTTCTGTTAATGTCTGGCTTTCGGAAATTGAAGATTTTTATTTTCTTTGTTTATCCTGCTCTGGGTTCCTTGAACTTGTTGGATCTGTGAGTTTATAGTTTCATCAAATTTTTGTTGGTTTGTTTTAGAGACAGGGTCTTACTCTGTTGCCCATGCTAGAGTGCAGTGGTACGATAATTGGTCACTGTAACCTCAAACTCCTGGGCTCAAGAGATACTCTTGCCTCAGCTTCTGGAGTGGCTAGGACTAGAGGCATGCCCTATTGCTAATTTTTAAACTTTTCGTAGAAACAAGGTCTTGCTATGTTGCCCAAGCTGGCCTCAAACTTGTGACCTCAAGTGATCCTCACACCTTGGCCTCCCAAAGATCTTGGATTACAGGTGTGAGCTACCATATCCAGCTTCCATCAAATTTTTGGAAAGTTCACATCATTATTTTTTGAAATAATTTTTTTCTGTTCTATTTTTCTTTGGGACTTATATATTATGCTCTTTAATATTGTTCCATAGGTTTCTTATTTTCCCCCCTCTGTTTCATTTTGGATAGTTTTTCTTGCTTTGTCTTCAATTTTGTTGATCTTTTCTTCTGCACTATTATGATATTAATCCACTTAGTGAATTACAGTGTACTATAATTTTCATCACTAGGAATTCCATTTAGTTTTTTGAAATATCTTCTATTTTTGTTTTCATTGTGTTCATGTTTTCAGTGTTTGGGCATTTTTTTTTTTTTTTTTTCTGAGATGGAGGCTCGCTCTATCACCCAGGCTGGAGTGCAGTGGTGCGATCTCTCTGCTCACTGGAACCTCCGCCTCCTGGGTTCAAGCGATTCTCCTGCCTCAGCCTCCTGAGTAGCTGGGACTACAGGCGTGTGCCACCATGCCCAGCTAATTTTTTATATATTTTTAGTAGAGACGAGGTTTCACCACGTTGCCCAGGCTGGTCTGAAACTCCTGAGCTCAAGCGATTCACCTACCTCTGCCTCCCAAAGTGCTGGGATTACAGGTGTGAGCCACCACACCCGGCCTATTTGGGCATTTTTAATCAGCTGTCTCACTTTACTTGTCTGCCTATTTCATTATTTCTGTTACTTCTTGTCCCATTTTTGTTGACTCTTTTTTCCCCTGGTTATTCTTCATATTTTTTTTCTTCTTGACAAACCTAGTAATGTTTTATTAAAAAGTTCAGTTTAATTTTGAAGCTTTTAAAAAAGCCTGGTTAATGCGTTTCTTCAATACTCTTTAATTTATGAATTGCTTTGACCCACTGCTAAGATTTGGTCTCTTCGTGGTCTCTACTGAATGCCCTGGGTTATAAACGAAGAGGCTACTGTGCCTCCTCTGAAATCGAATGCCTCCCAGCACCATGTGATCACTGGGAGCTGTTTAGCTCACAGCTTCTTGGTCATGCTCTGCCTGGCCTCACAAAGTTTCACTCCTCATGTGTGCATTTTAATGTTCAGCTATGACTCAAAGTGAATCCTGTCTTGATTTTGAGTTCTTTTTGTGTAGCTCTTTTTTCTTTGTAGTTCTGCCCCACAACTTCAGTCATCTCAGCCTGACCTTTGTTTCTTCAACTTGATATATCTCCAGTGCTCTCCTTGGGAATCCCTTTTCCCTGATCCTTCAGGCACCAATTCAAGGGGAATATAGGGGTCTTGTTGGTTTTCCTACTCTGAGGGATCAGGGTCCCGTGGTGTCTTTATTTAATGACTGAAAAAAATTTTTTTCATATATTTTGCCTACTTTTCTACTTGATTACAGCAGGAAGGTAAACCTGGTTCCTAATAAACCATCATGACTGGAAGCAGAAGTTTGGCTCAACCTTTTAATATTTTGGTCATATGATTTTTTTTCCTTTATTTTCCCTTCAATTCAGATATGGGAGATATTTCATGTCTGTATTTATTTTTACTACACCTTAAGTGATTATTTGTCCTAAGTTTTTCTCCTATTTCATTGCTGTGTATTTATCATTTTTTAAAATTTCAGCTTTTAGTTTAGATACGGGGTGGGGGGGTACATGTACAGGTTTGTTACTAGGTATATTGTGTGATGCTCAGGTTTGGGATGTGGATCCCATCACCGTGGTAGTGAACATAGTACCCAATAGTTGTTCAGCCTATGCCCTCTTCCTTCCCTCCCCCTCCAGTAGTTCATAGTGTCTATTGTTCCCATGTTGATGTCCATGTGTGCTCAGTGTTTAGTTCCCACTTGGGAGAACATGTGGTATTTGGTTTTCTGTTCCTATGTGAATTTGCTTAGATTTATAGCCTCCAGCTGCCTCCAAGTTGCTGTAGAGGACATGATTTTCTTCTTTATGGCTGCATAGTATTCCGTGGTGTATATGTACCACATTTTGTTTACCTAATCCACCATTCATGGTCACCTAGGCTGATTACATGTCTTTGCTATTGTGAATAGCATGGCAATGAACTTATGAGTACTTGTGTCTTTTTTGGAAGAATTATTTATTTTCCTTTGGGTATATACCCAGTATTATTAGTTAAATAAAGTTTCCTTATATTATAGCTTGAGTGCATAAACACATCTACTTAGTCACTAATAGGCAGATGATTTCTTTTTAACTTATCTCCTCCTACATTTAGGATGAAGATACACTAATCCTCAATCCTGAAGACAACACTTAATAACAAAAGTATCATCAAGTCACTGATGAACATATGGTTCAGAAATCTTAATTAAAGCCTTGTATATTAGTTTTTTTTATTGTGGCATTAAAATGTACCACACACTTAACCTCTTAAGACAAACTTATTTGTCTCACGGGTCAGGAAGTTGGGAATAGCTTAGTGAGCGTGGCTCTACTGGGTTTTCTGCTTAGTTTCCCACCAAGCCGAAATTAAGATGTTAACTAGAGTTTTGCTTTCATCTAAGACTTTGTATCCTTTTCCAACTCACTTGTTGGTAGAATTTAGTTCCTTTCAGTTATTACACTTAGGTCCTTAGCTACTAGAGTTCTCTCTCCACAACATGGCAGATTGTTTCATCTTTGAGATCAATAGAAAAGCATTTCAGTCATTTAAAGGGCTCACTTTAATTAGGTCAGGCTCACCTAGAATATCTCCCTTTTGATTAAATCAGAGTCAGCTTATTAGTGGGCCAATTATGCGAATGATAGCCCAATCATATTTACAGGTCTCAACCATACTCAGAAGGTGAGGGGATTATGCAGGGTGTTTATATCAGATGACGGTAATTCTGGGGCCATTTTAGGATTCTGTGTACCACACCTTGTAAACAGGACAAGACATTTAGGGAATTTTCCATTTTTATATAATGGCTTTACCCCAGTGATATGAAGCTACTACATATCCAGGCTAGGACACAGTAATAATTTAGTGAATACTTAGCCTATGCCAGATACTTTGCATACATTGCCTTATTCAGTCTCCAGAACAACCTTGTGGAAACTATTGATAATCATTCCCAGTTTGCAGATTCAGACACAGAAGCTAAGAGGGTTTAGGTAGCTTGATGAAATGGAATTTGGGTCTGAATGGCCTATGCTATTTTTACTTCACCACACTGTTTCTCAGCGTTAATCTTGGTTTGTATATCACAATTTTATGTAAGTACAATATCTATTCAGATAATTTACTGCAAATCTGTGACTTATTTGTAGTTTTTTGGATGTGACAATGATCGTATGGTTTTACAAAGAGGAAGTGTCCTTTTAAAGAGACATTTACAAACATTTTATAGATGACATTGCATATTTTCTTGTGTTCGCTTCAAAATGATTTGTGGGATCTGGGGAACTGGACAATGGGTAAAATGCTGTCAGTGAAACAAAACTGGCCTTAAGTTGATAATTTTCTTTTTCTTTTGAGACGGAGTCTCACTCTGTCGCCCAGGCTAGAGTGCAGTGGCGCAATCACGGCTCTCCGCAACCTCCACCTCTCAGGTTCAAGCGATTCTCCTGCCTCAGCCTCCTGAGTAGCTGGGACTATAGGCGCGCGCCACTGCGCTTGGCTAATTTTGTTGTTGTTATTGTATTTTTAGTAGAGATGGGATTTCACCATATTGACCAGGTTGGTCTCAAACTCCTGACCTCATGATCCACCCACCTTGGCCTCCCAAAGTGCTGGGATTACAGGCATGAGTGACCGTGCCCGGCCTTAAGTTGATAATTTTTGAAGCTGAGTGATGGGTAATAGGATTTATTATTCTCTTCCATCTACTTTTGTGTATGTTTGAAAATTTCTATATTGAACATTAACAAATTCATTTGTTAACTAGTTTTAATTGTAAATAAGAAAAAAGTGCCTAAAATTTTATTTCTTCACCATTGTAATTTTTGTTTTTTAATTTTTTTTTAAAGTTTTTTTTGTTTGTTTGTGTTTTTTTTTTTTTTTTTTTTGAGATGGAGCTTTGCTCTTTCACCCAGGCTGGAATGAAGTGGCACGATCTCGGCTCATTGCAACCTCCGCTGCCAGGTTCAATCCATTCTCCTGTCTCGGCCTCCAGAGTAGCTGGGATTACAGGCGCCCGCCACCAGCCTGGCTAATTTTTGTATATTTTGTAGAGACAGGGTTTCACCATGTTGGCCAGGCTGGTCTTGAACTCTTGACCTCAGGCGATCCATCCCCCTCAGCCTACCAAAGTGTTAGGATTATAGGAGTGAGCCACCGTGCCCAACTGCGTAATGTTTTTATGATTTTAAAATCACGAGTTTCTATTTTTTTTTCATGGAACCATAAAACTGTTTATCACAAGCATTTATTTTACTAAACTAGTATTTTGTAATGTTTAAGAGCATGGACTCGGGGGATCAACCCTCTGGGTAAATCTCAGTGTCATGATACTCAATAGTCGTATGACCTTGTGCAGGTTACTTTACTTCTCTGTCCCTCAGTTTTTTCATCTGTCAAATGGTAATACTTGTACCTATCTTGCGTAGTTACTGAATATACTATGTAACGGATAGAGATTAGGATAAGACAGCAAAAAATATATGCACACACACACTTGTTACCTGTGTGCATATATTATATCTACTTAAGTTTTATTCTAAATAAGGAGCTTGTGATAATTGTTTCCGTTTTGTAATTAGAAGGTATTATATGTTCCTATCATGATTTTTGAGCCTGTGGTTCTGAAACCAGTGTTTCTAAATATTTTTTTCTTTTCACATCATGTATTTACAGTGTTTTTCAGTGGTAGTCATGTTGACATCCTGAGTCGCACAGTTCTTGTTTGGGACTGTCTTCTTCCTCCTCCTTCCTTCTTCCTCCTTCTTCTTTCTTCTTCCTCCTCCTTCCTCCTCCTTCCTTCTTCTTCCTCCTCCTTCTTCCTCCTTCCTCCTCCTTCCTTCTTCTTCCTTCTTCTTTTTTCTTCCTCCTCCTTCCTCCTTCTTCCTTCTCCTTCCTCCTTCCTTCTTCCTTCTTCCTTCTTCTTCTTCTTTCTTCTTCTTCCTCCTCCTCCTCCCTCCTCCTCCCTCCTTCCTCCTCCTTCCACCTCCTTCCTCCTTCCTGCTTCCTCCTCCTCCTCCTTCTTCCTTCTCCTTCTTCTTCCTTCTTTCTTCTTTTTTTTTTTTTGGCATAGCAACCAACAACAGGGAACACTGCTTTTTTCACAACTCTGTGTAATAAATGTTGTTGAAATATCCAGGGTGAGATCTGTTGAGCTAAATTACTGACATTATCAGAGTGATTTAAAATTTTTTGGAGAGTTTTGATTTTAGAAGACATAAAACCCTGGGCTCTGTCCTGGCTTTATTGAAGCAAAATAGTAGTGTATTAGTTCTGAGATTGGGTAATTTATAAAGAAAAGAGTTTTCATTGACTCACGGTTTTGCAGGCTGTGCAGGAAATATAGTGGCTTCTGCTTCCGGGGAGGCCTCAGGAAGCTTCCAATCATGGCAGAAAGCAAAGGGGGAGTGAGGCACCTCACATGGTGGGAGCAGGAGCAAGAGAGTGAGGGAGAGGTGCTGCACAGTTTTAAACAACTGGATCTTGTGAGAACTCGCTCACTGTCACAAGAATAGCACCAAAGGGGATGGTGTTAAACCATTCATGAGAAATCCACCTTCATGATCCAGCCACCTCCCACCAGGCCCCACCTCCAACATTGGGGATTACAATTAACATGAGATTTGGTGGGGACACAGATCCAAATCATACCAATTGGATTTGTGGTGTGGGAGTAAATGTGTCTATATTTTGGAAAATCTCCCTTGGTAAGACTGACCATTGCTTGAATGATTTCTTTGAGCTTAACTATCAACAACTCCTTTTCTTGTAGGTGATAGAAATTGAAGATGCTTCACCCACCAAGTGTCCAATAACAACCAAGTTGGTTTTAGATGAAGATGAAGAAACCAAAGAACCTTTAGTGCAGGTTCATAGAAATATGGTTATCAAATTGAAACCCCATCAAGTAGATGGTAAGAAACTATTAGATGATTCAATAATTTTTAGTTAAATTTTTACCAATATTTGGGTGTGAGGCAGCTGCCTCACATCCTGCTAAGTCCTGGAGGTAAATTGGTGAGTGGGGTGGGGAATCCACAATTCCCCTGCCTTTATGGAGCTCATAAACAAATGAGGAAGAACAAAATTGGGTGATTTCAAACACAATGAGCGTTATAAAAAGAGAAAGAAGTGCTACTTACAAATGGGTAGATATAGCAAGTAGGTTTCACCTAATTAGCAAAGACTGGCCTAAGGGCAGCTAGGGGTTGGGAAGAGCTGTAGCTAGCTAAAAGCCTTTTTCAGAAAATGCTATTTCAGCATTTTTAGGTATGTTTTCTTTATTAGAGTTGAATCAGTAAGTCAGTTTTGAGTGTTTATGTGAATTAATCATAAGGGAGGTTCTGTAGTTCCTACCTTTTGAGTTGCTAGTCCCCTTTCTTGCTCAGTGTTTACTATCGAATAAAGGAAAAGATGATGAAATTATCTCATGGGTTTTTTTTTCCTGATTGACTCAATAAACTCAAAGGTATTTTTGATAGGAAGCCATTCTCTTTTTGGATAAAGTTGCTCTCTTTTTACAAAAATTATTATTATTATTTTTTGAGATGGAGTCTCGCTCTGTCACTCAGGCTGGAGTACAGTGGTGCTATAACAGCTCACTGCAATCTCTGCCTCCTGGCCTCAAGTGATTCTCCCAACTCAGCCTCCTGAGTATCTGGGACTACAGGTGCACACCACCACCACGCCCAGCTAATTTTTTGTATTTTAGTAGAGACGGGGTTTCACCATGTTGGCCAGGCTGGTCTCGAACTCCTGACCTCAAGTGATCTACCCGCCTCGGCCTTCCAAAGTGCTTGGATTACAGGCGTGAGCCACTGTGCCCGGCCACGTTTCTCTTTTAGAGTATTCTTATGTTTCTTTGAACCATCTCAGGGAATACAGAACATCTACTGTGGATAGCTTAGAGAAGATGAAGGAAAGTCCCCCTGTTCTATGTTTGTGTTAACTTGTTTCTGCTTTAGTTTGGTGGGAAAAAATCCCATTTAGATGTAAGAAATTATTTAGCTAAGTGTTTTTTTAATGCTGTTTCTTAGAAGTTTTGGTTATGTTTTTGATGTGTTTATGTAAAGGAAGTTTTTAACTTGGACCTTTAAATTTAACTTAATGAAGCTGTTATTTTTAGGTGTTCAGTTTATGTGGGATTGCTGCTGTGAGTCTGTGAAAAAAACAAAGAAATCTCCAGGTTCAGGATGCATTCTTGCCCACTGTATGGGCCTTGGTAAGACTTTACAGGTAAGAGCTGAAGAATATGAAGGTATCCTGTTTTTGTGGATTCATTAATATATATTGGATTCTATTATGTTTCAGGCACAGTCGTAGGGGCTGAAGATAAAGCAGTGAACAAGAATAACAAGATCTGTCTCCAAGGAGCTTATATTCTAGTGGAGGAGAGAGCTGCTAATCAAATAAGAAATATGTACTTTCAGAAAATGAATGTTAAGGGAGGATATTGAGTTAGGAAAGGCATCTTTTAGGAGGTAATGTTTGAGCAGAGGTCCTAATGAAGCGAGGCTGTGGGGTTTCAGGTATGGCCAACAACAACTGCAAAGATTCTAAGGTAGAAATTACCTTTTTTTTTTTTTTTTTTTTTTTTACAACTTTTAACGGTTTATGATGTTAAAGTAATGACAAAGTAAAGTATCTTTTACTATTAAAATTGCTGCATTTCTAAATGGCAGGAGTTGTAGCAGAGATGTAAAATTGGTGAATGTATTTGTACTTTTAAACCATAAAGTAATTATAGATTTAATGGGTCAGAACACATTAAAGTGGAAAAATATTATGTAACATGATTCTCTTCTAAATGAGCGATGGTATTTTTTGAAAGACTATAGGGACATTCTGTGGAGACCTAGGACTTAGTATTGGTATGGGATCATTTTATACTATTCACATTGATCATAGAATCATGGAGCTTTAGAGTTGGAAGAGCCTGATACATCATCTAGTTGAACTTTGGCATTTTACTATCTCTTTCCCTGTGCCTTGCCTGGTTTGGAAATTCTGGCCGTTTATTGTTTAAGCAAAACAAAGCTATAATATTGTAAGATTGCTTAATTTATTAAATTTTTTTGTGGATATTTAAACGAAGGTGACAATCTGTTTTCTTATAGGTGGTAAGTTTTCTTCATACAGTTCTTTTGTGTGACAAACTGGATTTCAGCACGGCGTTAGTGGTTTGTCCTCTTAATACTGCTTTGAATTGGATGAATGAATTTGAGAAGTGGCAAGAGGGATTAAAAGATGATGAGAAGCTTGAGGTAACTTATTTTAAATGTTTTCTATTATTAAAATAGTCACATGAAATTCATATAGTAAACTATTTTTAATTTTTTTTAATTTTTAATGTTTTTTAACCAGTGATGCATATTTCAGTGGGAATATTTAATATTCACATGTTTTTAGTAGCTACTTAAAAAAATCTTTATTTCCCCACAAAAGGTTTCTGAATTAGCAACTGTGAAACGTCCTCAGGAGAGAAGCTACATGCTGCAGAGGTGGCAAGAAGATGGTGGTGTTATGATCATAGGCTATGAGATGTATAGAAATCTTGCTCAAGGAAGGAATGTGAAGAGTCGGAAACTTAAAGAAATATTTAACAAAGCTTTGGTTGATCCAGGTAAGGTATTAATAGACAGTGACATAAAGAAGCAAGTTGAATAAAAAATGTGTTTATATTTTAACAAATAGTAATTGCACAGCTACTAAGTATCTGGTCTTTGTTGTGGTTATCCTTCAGGTTTTTGCCTTTTAGAAAATTCTTAGTATTTCAATAGAATAAAATCACCCTTAATGTCGCCAGCTGTTCAGAATTTATTTGCTGAGTCTGAAAGTGTTTAGGGTTTTAGGGGATACCTTGTAAACACTTAAAAATGCATCAAATGCCTGTGTTGCAATCAAAGATTCTTCCAGCTATCCAAATATTAGGTGATAACAAGAGCTCTCTCCATATCCTGAAAACAGTTTGTGTCTTTCCAAACTTCATGTCATTAGAAGAATTGCTGCTTGCTTATCTCCTTTTAAGGGGCCATCAGTATGAAAGGTTAATATTTTCAATACTGTTGATCCTTATGTGATAGTAATCTGATGTGAGAGCCAGATGTTGATATATTTGCCACTTGGAAAAGCAACACGTTGTACTGTCTGCAAAACTAAAATTATTTTTTAATCTACGATTATTAATTTGTGCAACTTTTTCTTCATATGTTTATCTTGTCATATCATATTTAAGACACTATTGAGGTTTTATTTTTGTTGAGAAAGTCTGGGTAATTGTCATTGTCAAAGTGATAGTAATCTTTAGAATCCTTGGCTTTGCCTCTTTTTTAAAGATAATGAGGTAGTTAATACATAGCAAAATAACTGCCATCACAAATCTAAGGCCTAATAATAAGTTTATCTCTTTCCCACGATTAAATAGGTGTTTATAAATCTTGTGGCTGGTTTATTGTTGAAAAATTATAAGCTAGTGTCTAGTATCATTGTAGCAGATTTTTTCCACAAGATTTCCTTGAAACTGTTTAATACAACAGTTTCAGGTGCTTAGTGTACTTATTTGTTCATGAAAAAAATGAAGAAAAAAAAAATTAAAGCTTCTAACATGAAGGGTAACATTTGTCATTGCCATATTTTATCATTTAGTGACATTTAAAAAAAATTTTTGGCCGGGCATGGTGGTGCACTCCTGTAGTCCCAGCTACTCAGGAGGCTGAGGCAGAAGAATCGCTCAAACCTGGGAGCTGGAGGTTCCAGTGAGCCAAGATTGTGCCACTGCACTCCCATCTGGGTGACAGAGCGAGACTCCATCTCAAAAATAAAAAACAAAAAAACAAAAAAAAACTTTTCATTTTGGAATAATTTTCTGTTTACATGAAAGTTGAAAAGGTAGTGCAGAGAGTTCCCATATACCCTACATCTGGTTCCTCAATTGTTAACATCTTACATTGCCATGGTAGATTTGTCAAAACTAAGAAATTGACACATTATTATTAATAACTTCAAACTGCATTTGTATTGCACCAGTTTTTCTATCCAGGGTTCTACATTGTATTTAGCTGTCATGTCTCTAACAGTCTTCTGGTCTATGACGGTTTCTCAATCTTTATTTTTTCATTATCTCATCAGTCTTAAGGAGGACCGTCCAGGTAGATATCCTGTAGAGTGTTCTCTGATCTGAATTTATAGTTTTTCTTGTGATTAGACTGAGATTAGACTGAGGTTTTGAAAGAATATACCAGAGGTGACATACCCTTTTTGTCACATCATATCTCATATCGGGGGTACATGATAAGCACTTGCTGTTACTGATGATGTTAACTTTCATCACTTGGCTAGGGTAGAGTTTGTCAGGTTTCTCTCCTGTAGAGCTGCTACTTTTACCTGTCCCTCATCTGTTCATTGGAATCCAGTCACTCAATCTAGCCCACCTGAATGGGAGGATGGTGGAAATTAAGCTGTATCTCCTATAGTGGGTAATATCTACACATAAAATTTGGATTTTTTTAAAGAAAAAATTATCTTTTCTTACCCATTTATTTAGCCTTTGATTTATATAATTATATACTCATCTATTTTTAGTTCGTGCATTGGACTATAAACCATTACTGCATTTTTTTTTTTTTTTTGCTCAAATTGTTTCACTTTGACCATTGGGAGCTTTTTTTAAGGTGAGGTCCTCTACCCTTTGATATGTCCCTATCCTTTTGGCTTTGAGCACTTTATTACTTTCTGGCATTACAGGATGCTCCAGGTTCATGTTATATTGTCCTGGCCCCAGAATCAGCCATTTCTTGAAGACATCATGGTTCCTTTTACTGAAAATTGACATTTACAAATGTAAACACACCCATATAATTTGCAAATATATCCTTCCATTCTGTGAGTTGTCTTTTTACTTTTTTATATCATCTTTTCAGTACTAATCTTTAAAATTTTGATTACATTTAATTTACCTATTTTTTTCTTGTGTTGCTTTTGCATTTAGTGCATATCCAAGTATTCATTGCTTAATCGAAGGTCATGAATTTTTTCACCTGTGTTTTCTTATTTTATAGTTCTAGCTCTTGTATTTATGTTTATGATCTATTTTCAGTTTATTTTTGTATATGGCATGAGGTGGGAGTCCAACTTCATTTTTTGTATTTTGATATCCAGTTGTTCTAACACCATTTGTTGAAAAGACTATTCTTTCTTCATTGAAGAGTCTTGACACCATTGTTGAAAATCAATTGACCATAGATGTATGTGTTTATTTCTAGGCTCTCAATATTATTGTATTGATCTATATGTCTGTCCTTATGCCAGTGTGACATTGTTTTAATTACTGTAGCTTTGTGGTAAGTTTTGCAATCAGGAAGAAGTCCTACAGCTTTATTTTTCTGTCTCAAAGTTGTTTTGCTATTTGAGGTTCCTTGAAATTTCATTTGAATTTGATGATTGGCTTTTATATTTCCTCAAAGAAACTAGCTGGGATTCTGTTAGATATTGCATTGAATCTGTAGATTAATTTGAGGAATATTGCCATCTTAACAATATTAAATCTTCCCCTCCATGAACATCTAATTTCTCTCCGTTTATTTAGGTCTTTAATTTCTTTTAATAATGAAATTTGATTTAGGTCCTTTAATTTCTTTAGTGTAAAAGTCTTGGACTTATTTTCTTAAATTTATTCCTAAATATTTTATTCTTTTTGAGCCTTTTGGAAATAAAATTGTTTTAATTTTATTTTCAGATAATTCTTTGTTAGTGTATAGAAATACAACAGATTTTTGTATACTGATTCTGTATCCTGCAACTTAGTTGAGTCCATTTATAAGTTCTAATAGTTGTATGTGTGCGCTCACGCGTGTGTGTGCGCGCGCACGCACGCGATTTAGTTTTCTATTAAGAAAATCATAGTCTATGAGTAGAAATAGTTTTACTTTTTCCTTTCCAATATGAATATCTTCAACTTCTTTTTCTTGCCTAATTGCCCTTCTTAGAAATTTCCATACAATGTCGAACGTAAGTGGTCAGAGCAGTTGGTTGTCATGTTTTTGATCTCAGGGAAAGCTTTCAGTTCTCCACCATTAAGTATGACATTAGCTGTGGATTTCTAATAGGTGTCTTTTATCAGGTTGAGTAAGTTCTACATTGGGTTATATTTTTTGTTTGTTTTGATAATTAAAAAAATAAATACCTAGATTACCCTTGTTAAAACTTAAGAGGGGCTGGTTTCTCCATTAGGTTTTACTGGATGTTCTTCAGGAAACTGAAGCTCTACTTTTATTTTCTTTTCCAGAGTATATATAAGTATTAGAGATAGTTCCTCTGCCATAGCTGGGTAACCATCTGCAACAAGAATATTCTAATATCCATCATGTATAACATGGAATATATTAAAACTGTTGTTAAGTTTTAAGGTTTAGTGATAGTATCTAGATATAATTTTCTTTGCCACCTAAGTCTAAAGTGTCAGGATCTGTTCAGTACTTCTAAATTTATTAGAAGGGATCTGTTCAGTATAACACTTAATTTTCCAGTACATGTTTTCCATTTTATGCCCAATTTATCTTCTCTGATTTGGAACAAATTAGTGATAGTGAAGAATCATATAAATGGCAGCAGAGTATGTGAAGACTGAAGTTTGGGTGTAATGTTAAAGAAAAGTCTAAATTGAAGTTCAAGATGGAAACAAAATGTCAGAACCAGACAGTTTTGGGTATGAGATTCTTAAGGATGAGCTGAGGTTGTAAACTTATAAGGTAGGCTATTAGATCAGAAGCCTGGAAAATTGGGAGTATGTATTAGGATTGGAAACAGTGTTTAGAGCTGACCAGAGTTAAGATAGTAGTGTTCATCTTTCAACTTAGCTGCTCTGGTTATCTCTTCCTGCGTAACAATTATCCCAAGCCTTAGTAGCTTAAAGTGACAAGAATCAGCTGGGTGCAATGGCTCATACCTGTAATAACAATACTTTGGGAGGCCAAGGCAGGAGGATTGCTTGAGGCTGGGAGTTTGAGGCCAGCCTGGGCAACATAGTGAGACCCCATATCTACAAAAAAATAAAAGAATTAACCAGGTGTGGTGGCACACACCTGTAGTCTCAGCTATTCAGGAAGCTGACATGGGATGATTGCTTGAGTCCAGGAGTTCAAGGAAGCAGTGAACTATGATCACTGAGATCATAATCATCACAGAGTGTGAGACCCAGTTTCTTAAAAAAGAAAGTGACAACATTTTGTTAACTTTCCTAGTTTTACTGGGTCAGGGATTTAATAGAGGTTTACTTGGACAGTTCTAAACATTTTATCAACTTTTCTCTCTAATATCTTTATGGTTTTTTATGTAAAAAAATTCACCAATAGGTGGCAATGTAACACTGAAAAATAATTTGCATTTGTTACTATTATAATAGCATGTGACAAAACCTTTATTTGACCTTTCTTCCCTAACTTACCATTTGTTTTGAGGCATATTTTTCTACTTAATGTACTTAAACAATCTGGTGGAGTTTTC
Source organism: Homo sapiens (assembly GCF_000001405.40). NCBI lineage: Eukaryota > Metazoa > Chordata > Mammalia > Primates > Hominidae > Homo > Homo sapiens. Next base: position 77,628,329 of record NC_000023.11, on the reverse strand, counting down.
TAATTCACATTACTGTTTTTAGAAGAATGTTCCACATTTTGTAGCTTGAGAGGACATAATTTTTATGTGTGTGCATGAATGTGCATATGCACAGGATTAACTCAAGGTACTGTTTGCTTTAAGCAATAAGATATATCTATGTAATTTTATAAAATAATGACAGGTTTCCATAGTGTATTGAACCATCTTAAGTTAACAGACTCTTTTAGTCAGGCTTGAATTTTTGAACAGAAGAAATTTTCTTCAAGTCTTTCTCTAAATTCCTGTTCTTCTGCTCTCCAGAGCCTCATGGCTGCCATTCCCCCTGTAGTTTCTGTATAATTATTTATAAGTGTAGGTATTTTGAAACCCTCCTATCTGATATATATATGTCATTGTTTGGGAATTAAGTTTTCTAGAAAGTATATAAGGTAACAAACATTTCATTTTATGTAAGTATGTATGTATGTATTTAGGGGGCAGGGAGATGGGGATCTCATTCTGTTACCCAGGCTGGAGTGCAGTAGCATGATTATAGCTCACTGTAGCTTCAAATCCTGGGCTCAAGTGATCCTCCCAGTTCAGCCTTCTGAGGAGCTAAGACTACAGGAGTGTGCCGCCATGCCCAACTACATTTTTTTTTTTTTTTTTGGTAGAGACAGGGTCTTACTGTGTTGCCCAGGCTGGTCTCGAACTCCTGACAACACCTAGATAATTATTTGGAGATGAGGATCTCACTATGTTACCCAAGCTGGTCTCGAACTCCTGACACACAACTAATTTTTTGGAGACGAGGGTCTCGTTATGTTGCTTAGGTTAGTCTTGGCCTCCTGGCCTCAAGCAATCCTTCTGCCTCAGCCTCCTGAGTAGTAGCTGGCATTACAGGTGTGAGCCACCAAGTCCAGCTAAAACTTACTCCTTTCGAACATTAAAAATACTTATTTTTAATTTTTTATGTTAGTAAATGTTATATACATTTCTATCTTATAATTCATATTCTATTTAATATGATGAATAACATGTTTAATATATGAATAACAATTTTAACTTTTTCATTGACTCAGGGTTATTAATGAGTGCATTTACTTTTATTTTTATTTTATTTAATTTTTTTTTTTGAGACGGAGTCTCACTCTGTCACCCAGGCTGGAGCGCAGTGGCGCGATCTCGGCTCACTGCGAGCTCCGCCTCCCGGGTTCACGCCATTCTCCTGCCTCAGCCTCCCGAGTAGCTGGGACTACAGGCGCCTGCCACCACGCCTGGCTAATTTTTTTTTCTTGTATTTTTTTAGTGGAAACGGGGTTTCACCGTGTTAGCCAGGATGGTCTCTATCTCCTGACCTCGTGATCCGCCCGTCTTGGCCTGCCAAAGTGCTGGGATTACAGGCGTGAGCCACCGCGCCTGGCTTACTTTTATTCTTAATTCTTCTAGTTCTTCAGATATCCGTACTAACCATAGGGCTACCACTCTCCTTCCATTGCCATGCCAACAAATAGTTCTTTTAAGTTAAAGAAATTATAAAAGTAATACATATCCTTAAGCAAAATAAAAACAGAAGAAAATGTTGTATATTGAAAAGTAAAAGTTCCCTACCTCCTAGTCTCATTATTGTTTCATTTATATCCGTATAGGAATTTTTTGTGCTTACAGAAGCATGTATTCTCCTTATTTGGTATTGCAACATTTAGGTGGTCCTCAAAGCCACCCTCAGGCTTGGTAACTCATAAGAAGGACTCACAGAACTCAGAAAATCCATTAGACTCATGGTTATGGTTTATTACAGCAAAAATATACAAATGGGATCATAATATGGATAACTATTCTGCAACACACTCCTTTTTATTTAGTAATATATTTGTCATATCTTTCAAGGTTTGCACATAGAGATATACATCATTTTTTCAGATTATTTATTTTTCTATAAGTTATTGGGGTACAGGTGGTATTTGGTTACATGAGTAAGTTCTTTAGTGGTGATTTGTGAGATCCTGGTGCATCCATCACCCGAGCAGTATATGCTACACCATATATGTTGTCTTTTATCCCTTGCCCTCCTCCTACTCTTACCCCAAAGTCCCCAAAGTCCGTTGTGTCATTCTTATGCCTTTGTGTCCTCATAGCCTAGCTTCCACATATCAGTGAGAACATTTGATGTTTGCTTTTCTATTCCTGAGTTACTTCACTTAGAATAATAGTCCCAAGTCTCATCCAGGTAATTGCAAATACTGTTAATTCATTCCTTTTTATGGCTGTGTAGTATTCCATCATATATATATATATATATATATATATATATATATATATATATATATATATATATATGCCACAATTTCTTTATCCACTCATTCATTGATGGGCATTTGGGCTGGTTCCACAATTTTGCAACTGTGAATTGTGCTGCTATAAATATGCATGTGCAAATATCTTTTTTGAATAATGACTTCTTTTCCTCTGGGTAGATACACAGTAGTGGGATTGCTGGATCAAATTGTGGTTCTACTTTTAGTTCTTTAAGGAATCTCCACACTGTTTTCCATAGCGGCTGTACTAGTTTACATTCCTACCAGCAGTGTAGAAGTGTTCCCTGATTGCTGCATTCACACCAACATCTACTGTTTTTTGATTATGGCCATGCTTGCAGGAGTAAGGTGGTATCACATTGTGTTTTTGATTTGCATTTCACTGATCATTAGTGATGTTGAGCATTTTTTCATATGTTTGTTGGCTATTTGCATATCTTCTTTTGAGAATTGTCTGTTCATGTTCTTAGCCCACTTTGTGGTAAGATTGTTTGGTTTTTTTCTTACTGATTTGTTTGAGTTCATTGTAGATTCTGGATATTAGTCCTTTGTCAGATGTATAGATAGTGAAGATTTTCTCCCACTCCGTGGGTTGTCTGTTTACTCTGCTGACTGTTCCTTTTGCCATGCAAAAGCTCTTTAGTTTAATTAGGTCCCGGCTATTTATCTTTGTTTTTATTGCATTTGCTTTTGGGTTCTTGACCATGAAATCCTTGACTAAGCCAATGTCTAGAAGGGTTTTTCCAATCTCATCTTCTAGAATTTTTATAGTTTCAGGTCTTAGGTTTAAGTCCTTAATCCATCATGAGGTGATTTTTGTATAAGATGAGAGACGAAGATGCAGTTTAATTCTCCTACATGTGGGTAGCCAATTATCCCAGCACCATTTGTTGAAAAGGGTGTCTTTTCCCCACTTTATGTTTTTGTTTGCTTTGTCGAAGATTAGTTGGCTCTAAGTATTTGGGTTTATTTCTGAGTCCTCTATTCTGTTCCATTGGTCTGTGTGCTTATTTTTATACCAGTACCAAGCTTTTTTGGTGACTGTGGCCTTTACAGAATAGTTTGAAATCAGGTAGTGTGATGCCTCCAGATTTGTTCTTTTTGCTTAGTCTTGCTTTGGCTATGCGGGCTCTTTTTTGGTTCCATATGAATTTTAGAATTGTTTTTTCTAACTCTGAAGAATGATGGTGTTATTTTGATGGGGATTGCATTGAATTTGTAGATTGCTTTTGGCAGTATGGTCATTTTCACCATATTGATTCTACCCATTCATGAGCATGGGATGTGTTTCCATTTGTTTGTGTCGCCTATGATTTCTTTCAGCAGTGTTTTGTAGTTTTCCTTGTAGAGGTCTTTTGACTCCTTTGTTAGGTATATTCCTATCTTTCTTGTTTATTTATTTATTTATGTATTTATTTATGCAGCTATTGTAAAAGGGGTTGAGTTCTTGATTTGATTCTCCACTTGGTTGCTGTTGGTGTATAGAAGAGCTACTGATTTGTGTACATTAATCTTGTATCCGGAAACCTTGCTGAATTCTTTTATCAGTTCTAGGAGCTTTGTGGAGGAGTCCTTAGGGTTTTCAAGGTAAACGATAATCGTCAGCAAACAGGGACAGTTTGACTTCCTCTTTACTGATTTGGATTCCCTTTATTTCTTTTTTTCTTTTTCTTTTTCTTTTTTTGAGATGGAGTCTCGCTCTGTCGCCCAGGCTGGAGTGCAGTGGTGCGATCTTGGCTCACTGCAAGCTCCGCCTCCCGGGTTCACGCCATTCTCCTGCCTCAGCCTCCCGAGTAGCTGGGACTACAGGCACCGGCCACCACGCCCAGCTAATTTTTTTTGTATTTTTAGTAGAGACGGGGTTTCACTGTGTTAGCCAGGATGGTCTCGATCTCCTGACCTCGTGATCTGCCCGCTCAGCCTCCCAAAGTGCTGGGATTACAGGCGTGAGCCACCGCACCCGGCCCAGATCCCCTTTATTTCTTTCGTCTGATTGCTCTGGCTAGGACTTCCAGTACTATGTTGAAGAGGAGTGGTGAGGGTGGGCATCCTTGTCTTCTTTCCGTTCTCAGAGGGAATGCTTTCAGCTTTTCTCCATTCAGTATTATGTTGGCTATGGGTTTGTCATAGATGGCTTTTATTACATTAAGATATGTCCCTTGTATGTCGATTTTGCTGAGGGTTTTAATCATATAGGGATGCTGGATTTTGTCGAATGCTTTTTCTGAATCTATTGAGATGATCATGTGATTTTTGTTTTTAATTCTGTTTATGTGGTGTATCACATTTATTTACTTGTATGTGTTAAACCATCCCTGCATCCCTGATATGAAACCCACTTGATCATGGTGGATTATCTTTTTGGCATGTTGTTGGATTTGGCTAGCTAATATTTTTGTTAAGGATTTTAGCATCTATGTTCATTGAGGATAATGGTCTGTAGTTTTCTTTTTTGGTCGTGATCTTTCCTGGTTTTGCTATTACGGTGATGAATAGGGATGAATTAGGGAGGGTTACTTCTTTCTCTGTCTTGTGGGATAGTGTCAAAAGGATTGGTACCAATGCTTTGAATGTCTGGTAGAATTCTGCTGTGAATTGGTCTGGTCCTGGACTTTTTTTTCTTGGTAATTTTTAAATTGCCATTTCAGTCTCGCTGCTTGTTACTGGTCTGTTCGGGGTATCAAATTCTTCCTGATTTAAGCTAGGAGGGTTGTATTTTTCCAGGAGTTTATCCACCTCTTGTAGGTTTTCTAGTTTATGTGCGTAAAGGTATTCATAATAGCCTTGAATGATCTTTTGTGTTTCAGTGGTGTCAGTTGTACTATCTCCTGTTTCGTTTCTCAGTGACTTTATTTGGATTTTCTCTCTTCTTTTCTTGGTTAATCTTGCTAATGTTCTATCAATTTTATTTTATCTTTTCAAGGAACTAGCTTATTGTTTCATTTATCTTTTGTATTTTTTGTTTTGTTTTGTTTCAATTTCATTTAGTACTGCTCTGATCTTGGTTATTTCCTTTCTTCTGCTGGGTTTGGGTTTGTTTTGTTTTTGTTTCTCTAGTTCCTAGTGACCTTAGATTGTCTGTTTGTGCTCTTTCGGACTTTTTGATGTAGGCGTTCAGGGCTATGAACTTTCCTCTTAGCACTGCCTCAGCTGTATCCCAGAGGTTTTGATAGGCTGTGTCATTATTGTATTCAGGTGGGTGTATTCAGCTCCCACGCAAACCGAAAGGCTGGTCTTGTCTCACTCCCATGGTGTACCGCACCCCCTACCCCTCCAGCGCCGAAACAGCCCCGAGTGTGTTTGAGTCTGGCTTGAAAACTTGTCCCCGGCTTTCCACCTCCAAGCTGCAAAAGAAAAGGGCTTTAGTTCATCCCCCACCTGTGAAGTCTGCAATCTGGATTTGCGCCCTCCCCGGAGTTCTGGCCAGGAGGCTTCTTGCCCCATTCAAATTGTTAAAAAGTTCAGCTAGAGAAGTCCTTCTCCCTGTGGAGTTTTACCCTCTGCTCTGATGGCCATCCTCCTGATGGATCCCTGTGTTGCCAGGCAGGAATGGGCTGCTTGGGGATCCAGCAAGCTCCCAGTGCCTTTCTGCTACTTCCTCTACCCCTGTATTTCGCTCGGCTTGGCTTTCTAACTTGACTCAACTCCAGCTAAAGTCAGGAATTTCTCCAGCAAACAGACCTTCAGCTTCTCCAGTGGGGGTGTGTCTACCTCATTAATTTTAACTCTGTGACTTATTCCATTATCCCATGGTTTAAGCCCCATTTACCAGATCCCCTCTGACAAATTTTTAGGTTGTTTTCAATTTTCCTCCGTAACAAACCGTGCTGCAGAGAACATTCTTTTATGTATCTTTGGGTGCCTGTGGAAGAGTATCTTTGGGACCAATTCCTAGAAATTGAAATATGGGTCAAAGGGTTTACACATTTTGCATTTTGATAATTATTGTAAAATTGACTTCCAAAATTTTTGATACTAATTTAGACTCCCACAGAGTGTATGAGAGTACCCATTTCAACGCATCCTCATGGATACCGAATATTAAGTGGTAAAACCATTTAAATCACTGCTGTAAAAGGCATTTTTTTCTCTGTAGAAAATGTTTTCAGATTCAAAGTAAGGGATGCATAATTTTTAAATACAAAGCTAGAGATTTTAGTTTTACAAAATATTAGTTTTTTTTTGTTGTTGTTGTTGTTGTTTTTTTTTACTATTTGTGTAGCCCCAACTGAATACTGAATAACAGTTGTTATTATTTGATCTGTCATACTGAAGCTGTTACTTTTGAAGTCATGTAAAAGTTGCATTTTCTCTAATGCTTACCAGATGGGAGATAGTTTGACAGCTGCTTTGTTGAAATCAGCAATTAAGTAATATGTGTGTATATGTTAACCAGCAAGCAAATAGAGTATGTATTATGCCCTGGAAAAAATATATATCAGCTGGGCGTGGTGGCTTATGCCGGTAATCCCAGCACTTGGGAGGCCAAGGCGGGCAGATCACTTGAGGTCAGGAGTTTGAGACCAGCCTGACCAACATGGTGAAACCTCGTCTTTACTAAAAATGCAAAAAAATTAGCCAGGCATGGTGGCGGGCACCTGTAATCCCAGCTACTCGATAGGCTGAGGCAGGAGAATTACCTGAACCCGGGAGGTGGAGGTTGCAGTGACCCAAGATTGTGCCACTGCATTCCAGCCTGGGCGACAGAGGGAGACTCCATCTCAAATAAAAAAGAAAAGAAAAGAAAAAAAATATGTATGTTATTTTAACAAATAAGCCTTTAGTATTTCTTCTAAAAGAGTCCACAGATGCTGTGGAACATATTTGTTCAGGTACAAATGCATTCCATAGTAATAAAATGTTGTTATTTTTTATATTGCAATCCCAAATATTTTCTGAGTTTAAGCTTTTAAGATCTTTTATAGCTTAAAAGCTGTTCTCCCTACCCTCCATACCCATGTAACAACCAGTTTCACTTTCTTTTATCAGTTAAAATTTTTCCCCAGCAATGAATGTTAGTTATTTGGACTAAGTGGGAAGTATTATATGGTCTGTTGTGACATATATTATTCTTAAAGTGTAACTTTTGAAATTTGTCTTTTCATGTATATATACATTGCTCTTAGTCTTTGCTGATAGTTTAAGTTGATATACTAATGCTGAAATAGCTTTAAAGACTTTTCAATTTTAAAAGACATTTTTAAAAATAGGCTATGTCTGTTGGGGGAACTTTTTCCCTCTTGTTGTTTTTATTTTTGCTTATTTTTGTAAACTCAGAGGACCCTGACTACCATTTATAGTGGTATTTCAATGCTCTACCATTTGGATATAATTAATATAGTTAGTGCTGTATTAACCAAATACGGGAGCAGATAAAATATGTTTATACTTACAACGATGTCATTTTATCTTCCTGTAAGATCAGCACTTTAAAGGGATTAACTTTATTTACTTAAATGGATCACATTTTCAGTTTTATTATATATTAATTGTGTTATTTTTCTGTTTATTTTTGTAGGCCCTGATTTTGTTGTTTGTGATGAAGGCCATATTCTAAAAAATGAAGCATCTGCTGTTTCTAAAGCTATGAATTCTATACGATCAAGGAGGAGGATTATTTTAACAGGAACACCACTTCAAAATAACCTAATTGAGTGTGAGTTAATATCTCTGATTATGCAGTAGAATATTGGTATTTCCTCAGATATATTTTTGTAACGTTACCATTTACCTTTCTTCTACTTATTCTAGTATAGTCCTAGACCATGATCTACATAGGTTCATCTTAGTCTGCTGTGAAAGAATAACATACTTTTCAAATGAGATGCTTTATAAATGAGTGGTAAAATACAGTTAAGAGATACGCTATTGTGAATGTTCATATATAAATATGGAATGTGAATTATTGCAAGAGTATCAGAAGTCTTAATGATTGCTTTAGAAAGTACATAAGCATATGTGATTACTCCAGATAATTTTAAGGGGATATTCCAGTTTTGGGGCATGTACTGTCAAGAAATCAGAAAGAAATGGGAACTGTGAACATTTTAGTAAAGTGGAGATGGGAGAAGGAGAGGTTTGCTGAATCCATGGCAGGACAGTTTGCTGAGGCTAAAGGTAGTTGATGTGAACCTAGGGAAATGACTTGTGAATTACCCTCATTTTCGTATGTCTGTGGTGACACTAAAGAAGGGAACATGAGATTATTCAGCAAGTAACTAATTGAAATTTCCTGTTATAATCTCTCACTTTTTTTCTTTTTCCCACTGTAATGGCTTTTTGTTATTTTTCTCTGTGTTACATTCCTTTAGTGTATTTATGGTAACTTTTTGCTATTTTATTATTTGTAATACTAGTCATTTCACTTTAGCCTATACTTTATGTTTGTTTTTATCTGTTCCAGTTTTCCTCTTTTCTATTCTGTTACCCTATTTATAGAAATGCTGTTTCATATTGTGGTCCTATATAGTATGGGACAAGTGATGGCTCTGTTAATTTTTACAAAATGGGTTAGTCTTACAAAATACATTAGTAATTAATTTTTTTTTTTTACTATTTGTGTAGCCCCAACTGAATACTGAATAACAGTTGTTATTATTTGATCTCTCAAATATTATTTGGTTATTCTGGAAATGAATCAGTTAATATAAATTAACTTGCTTAGTAGCTTATTACCTCCTATTTATTGTTTTGACTTAGTATCTCCTTTCTTCACAAGATAGCCTCACTGACCATAAAATCATGGTTAGATTAATGGACCACTTGTTTTATACTTCATATCTCTTATAAAGAATAATAGTGAGTTTGAATAAACTGTCCTTAGGTATTTTTAAAAAACGTTCATGTCTAGTATTTAGGGATGGTTTTTACTTCAATTTTCTCTCTCGTTTTGGTAATTCACTTGTAGATCAGACTTATAACCATGTTTATTCTATACTTAGCTTGATATTCTTTCTTTATAGCTTAATTCTAATGCATGTGTTTTTGACATGAGCATTTCATTGGGGAATTTTTCTAAGTCTTTTTAACGATTGTTAATGTTGTTAATGAATAATGTCTTCTCTCTTAGATCATTGTATGGTTAATTTTATCAAGGAAAATTTACTTGGATCCATTAAGGAGTTCAGGAATAGATTTATAAATCCAATTCAAAATGGTCAGTGTGCAGATTCTACCATGGTAGATGTCAGAGTGATGAAAAAACGTGCTCACATTCTCTATGAGATGTTAGCTGGATGTGTTCAGGTACAAATATGTTCCATAGTAATAAAATATTCTTACTTTTTTATATAACAATCCCAACATATTTTCTGAGCTTAAAGTTTAATAATTTTGTGTTTTCTTTCCCGCTCTTTCAGTAGATAGTTTTACAGTTATATCTCCTTGCGTTGTCTTAAAAAATTTCTGCTGCATTCAACTTTTAAAAAAGAAGTTCCGCTGAGTTTAAAACATAGTTGATTCATTTGCCAGGTGTAAAGCCTCATATCTTATTATGTTAATGTTTAGATTTTTCATCCTTAAGATAGGGAGTTCCTTAAGAGGAACATAGCTACTATGATGAAGTTCCTATGCTCACCCTAATTCTGTAGTACAGTATTATAAATCTCACTTTTTTGAAATGGTTATAGGAGAGGCCAGTATGAATTAAGAGAGGAGCCACTTTTAAAGTAATCCTGGAGAAACAGTTTTGTTACTTTCAAGTATATATAATAACCTGAACAGACTAGTGGTGTCGTTTACATACAGATTTTCAGTGAATCTATATTAATGAATGGATAAGTGTCTAGAGACTGAGCTGGCAGTTAATAGATCTCAAGATACGCACTTTCTCTGTAGATGTTAGGTACTGATGATAGCCTCAAAGATGTTTTAACAAATGAGACAGGCTATTCTTTTGGTTGGATATACAGTTTGCCCTCCATATCTGCAGGTTCTGCATCCATGGATTCAACCTACCATGGATCAAAAATATTTTTTTAAAAAATAGATAAAATGGACAGAGGCTAGGTACAGTGGTGCACACCTGTAATTCCAGCACTTTAAGAGGCCAAGGTGGGAGGATCACTTGAGCCCAGGAGTTCAAGGCTGCAGTGAGCTAAAATCATGCCACTACACTCCAGGCTGGGTGACAGAGCAAGACCCTGTCTCTAAAAAAAGTTTTAAAAAATTAGCCAGCCACGGTGGTGCGCACCTATAGTCTCTGTCACTTGGGAGGCTGAGGCAGGAGGATTGCTTGAGCCCAGGAATTCAAGACTGCAAGGAGCTAAGATTATGCCACTGTACTTCAGCCTCAATGATAGAGTAAGACCCTGTCTCTTAAAAAAAAGAAAGAAAATAATTAAGAAAAAAATGGATGATTGTGTCTGTACTGAACATGTACAGACTTTTTTCTTGTCATTATTTCCTAAACAATAGAGTATAGCAACTATTTACATAGTATTTGTATTGTGTGAGGCATTATAAGTAATCTGGGGATGATTTAAAGTATATGGGAGGATGTTTATATGTTATATGCAAACACTACATTATTTATATAAGTGACTTGAACTTTCATGGATTTTGCTATCTGTGGAGGTGGGGTGGGTTCTGGAACCAGTCTCCCATAGATACTGAGGCATGACTGTACTTGCCATCATTATAAGGAGTAGTTGTTCCGTTTGGTCAGGTTGGCTACATGTGCTAGCAAGTACCCTGTTTCTGTATTGCTGCTACTACCCAGGCAGCATTTTTCTTTCTGGTTTAAGGAGTAATTTCTATTTAGCACATTGGTGTTCTGTTTTTCTACTCTTACAATAAAATGGTTTCAAGAGTGCTTGTAGAGGGGTTGCTTTCTTAATTGGGCAAATATTCCCTCTAAAATTATATGTTATTGTTTGACATATTAGCATATCTTTCTAAGAAGCCAACTCAGACTGCATTAGACTTTGATTCCTAGGTTTTATTACATGATTAAAGCAAGGCATTTTGCTCACACTACCTACTACATCCCCTCCATACCTTTTGTTATTTTTTTTTCTGTACAGAGAAGACTATTTTGAAAACTTAAATTGCTCACTTGGTAATGTGATTGCTTCAATTTAAAACCTACCTGGTGTGTTGCAGTGTCTTTTTACCAGTGTACCATATTGTATAGTCATATGAAATACATTGTGTAGATAATTGTGGGTTTAGAAAGGGTAAATATATTTAAGAAAATGTTTTCTTATATGTTTAGTGCCTATTTATTTATGTGTATATTTCAGTTATAAGCAATGAGAACTTGTAGTTCATTCCTGTTAAATATTTAGATTAATTTTCATTCTCTTTCTTGTTAATTACAGAGGAAAGATTATACAGCATTAACAAAATTCTTGCCTCCAAAACACGAATATGTGTTAGCTGTGAGAATGACTTCTATTCAGTGCAAGCTCTATCAGTACTACTTAGATCACTTAACAGGTAAACAATACACCTTGTTGATTTCATCTTCTCTATAAAGACATTCTTTTTCCAAAGAAGATTATTTCAGTCATCTTACTATGTCTGTTGTTCTTTTTCAGTTTTGCATTTGAATAAAATGGGTATGCTTAAAAGCATAAAATATTTCTAATTAAAACACTGATGCTGTCAAAATTAAAATCAAGAAGCAAATTGATGAAAAAGATATACAGCACATATGAATAATGCCCTTAATTTGTAAAGAGCTTTTATTTCAGAAAAATTATGAATGTGAATAAATCCATAAAAGAAGATATACAAAATTCCAGAGTATTTTTTTAAAAAGTATTTACCCACATTAATAATAAAAGGTGTATAAGTTAAATTCATGAGTTTGTTTCTCAGTTATTTAATTAACAAAGGTTGAAGGCAAAAGTAAAATAGAAGGCAAGGCATGTAGTATGCCTAAAATACACCAAAATGCTAACAGAAGTTGTTTTCTGGGTGCTTTTGTTATGAAGACCTTCTAGTTTATTTCTTGTATTTTTCTATGCTTTAAAATAATACAATGAATAGTTTTTGTTTTACCATCAATAAGCTTTTTGTGTGTGTGTGTGTGTCTGTGTCTCTCTGTGCCTGAAGATGTCTGTCTTCACACAACAAAACCTAATCTTTGGACTGGAGTGAGATTTCTTACTTGTTGATCACTTATTCTGGTACCTTTCCCCAAATGATATTACTGATTTAATTAGGAGATACAGGTTAGAGGGTGCTCTTTGGCCAATTGTGAATACAGTAATTGATCAAAAAAAAAAGGAGGATGGAAGTACGTACACACATATTAACATGATAATTATAGCTAAAGTGGTACTCTTTTTTAATAGCAGTGCATCCTAGAGAGTAAAATATGATGGTTCTCAAGAAACATTCTGCTGGGGAAAACAGTGTTTGAATCTTAGTATTTTATGGAACTGCTTTTTTGCTTTTATAAAAGCAATTTTTGTATTGACTTTTGGAAGAAAATCAGTTCCAATAAAGCACACATTTTCATTTGTATATCTGTCAGAAGCTGATAGATTTACTATACTATTCTGTTTTGAATAATAAAAATTGCAGGCATAATTAAATAACCAAATAGTTATCCCAATGAGAGAGTTGCTGTATAGTTTAAGAGACAGATGTTCAGATCTGTCTTTAATTAATCTCTGAGTAATAAGGAGTAATAAATTTGGTCATTTAATATTTTTTCCTTTTAAAATGTTTTATATTAGGGAAAATGCTCACAATAGTGTTTTCAGGTTTTATAGAATTAGTTGTCTTTAATAACCAATCATAGGCTGAGCATGGTGGTTCATGCCTGTAATCACAGCACTTTGGGAGGCTGAAGTGGGAGGATTACTTGAGCTCAGGAGTTGGGGACTAGCCTGGGCAGCATAGTGAAACCTTATCTCCACGAAAAATCAAAAAATTAGCCGGGTATGGTAATGCACACCTGTAGTCCCAGCTACTTGGGAGGCTGAGGCGGGAGGTTTGCTTGATCCTGAGAGGTCAAGGCTGCAGTGAGACATGATTGTGCCACTGGATTTCAGCCTAGGCAACAGAGCACTACCTTGTCTCAACAACAACAACAACAACCACCACCACCAATCACAAATGGTAACAGCTCAGGTATAAATGTTAAGCTCTACTCTTTTGAGTTGACCTCATGGAGGTAGATAGAATGATAGATACCCGAATCTGGGAAGTATGTGTGTGTTGAGGGAGGGATAGAGAGAGGTTGGTTAATGGGTACAGACACATAGTTAGATAGAAGGAATAAGTTCTACTGTTTGATAGCAGAATGGGGTGACTGTAGTTAACAACAGTGCATTTTATATTTCAAAATAGCTGGAAGAGAGGACTCGAAATGTTTCCAACATATAAAAATGATAAATACTCAAGGTGATGGATACCCTGAATACCCTGACTTGATCATTGCATATTCTATGCATGTAACAAAATATCACATGCACTCCCAAAATATGTAAAAATAATATGTATCAATTTTTAAAAATTTTAAAAAAACACTCTTTTTGAGAGCAATGCAATTATTTAAGAATTTAGGGGGCTTTGCTTTATTCTTTGTGACTATCATTGATAGGAGTAAATATCTAAAGCACTAATTGCCATAGCTAAAATCTAAAAGATATGATTGTTAAATTATCACCTGGTACCGTGAATCTTTAAGTTTTAGGGTGTGGGGTTTTCCCCTTACCAAATGCAATATTACCCATAGAGTAGAATAACCTGAGTTAAATAGCCTCTTTGAAAAACATTCATAAAAGGCCAAGTGGGTTATATGAATGGCTACTCTGTCTTGATTCTCAGTACAAATCTTCACAGTATTTCTCTTGAAATATCACCTGCCTATTTTACTTGCATTTAAAATGTTTGGTATTTTGTCTGTTAAATATTCCAGAAATTTTTTGTTTCTACATTAGGCTTTTTTAGACTGTGGTTACTTTTAAGAAGTTCACCCAAATTTTGTTTTTAACATTAGCAGCAGTTTCATATTAATTTTAGTGATAATTTATAAT